>NC_000005.10:167882536-168185566 GCF_000001405.40 Homo sapiens | reverse complement strand
GAATCTCAGATTGACTATTACCTAGCTGTTGACCATGGGCAATTAACTGCTCTGTGCTTCAGTTTCCCTCATGTATAAAATGGAGATGATGATGATGTTGATGATGATGATGATCACGATGGTAGATAGTGCTGCTGGGAGGGTTAAAGCAGTTATTGTCTGTACAGTACTCAGAGCAGTGTCGTATAATGAATGCTCAGTACATTATCTTAGCTCCATTATCACCATGCCACCCACTCTATACCCACCTATAGAGGATGCAACTGAGGCTTGGAGAAGGTGGATATCCAAGTGGCTAAGAAGCAGCTATGAATAAAAAGTAGAGAAAGGCAGCCGATGAGATTATCACCTTTTGTCTTCATTATTAGGAGGGGTGACGCTTCCTTCCCCAAGGAAGTCTGAAGACAAGGCAGTGGACACCCATCAACAGGGGTAAGTGTGGGCAGCTGTGAGATTTAATCACTTCTGAAGGCCTGTCTACTCCTATAGCTGGGAAAGAATGTGGCTGGTTGAAATGAGCATCTGAAGAGGAATCAGCAGGAGAAACCAGATGCCTGGGAATTTATTCCTGGCATTGTAGGCTGCAGAGGACCACACTATTTACCTGTGAGACACAATCCCCTTTCAGCTGTTTACCATTGGCACAAGGTGGCACTTACTTTTGTGCTGGCTATAGGTTTTTGTCAGCCGTTTCAATCCCCTGTCTAGTGTACTCTGCTAGATTTTAAAAGGAGCTCCTAACTAGTAAAGAGATTTAAGCTCAAAGCCTCCATTAAACGCTTACTAGTAAAGCTACACTCAGGAGGAAGGAGGCCCTGTGTCGATGGAGAGGCTGTAAAGCAGCCACAATAAGCATCTGGATCCTTTGGAGTTGGCTGAACCATGCACACCTTTCTGCCTGGAGGAGGCTGTGTGAATTCTTGCATCATCATTCTCATAGGAAATGGCTCAGGGAATGAGAAGATGTTGATTTCACTTATTTTCTTCTTTGATCTTCTGGGCAGCTTATAGAGAATTTGAATGGAAGCATTTTGTTCAACTTTTCTCCCTGTAGCTTGGTTTGCAAGTGAGTCTCTCTCCAATGTGCATGAACTCCATGGCTTTCCTAGGTATTAAAGGCTCCAGAAGAACACCTACATTTACTTTTCTAAGTTTCATTTTGTGACAGAGTGGTGGAGATGGCCTCTAACAAATCACTGCAGGTGCTGTGGATGGCTCTTCTAGTGTCTGCACGCAGCTGCTGGTTGGGGACTGGTCAGAAGCTCAGATTTAAAAATAAGCTGCACTCTTTGCAGTCATGGTTTCACAGAGGAACCACCAAGCACCAAATCTACCTTTCCTACTCATTGGGCCAGGAAGCCATAGAGTGGATTGGTTAAAAACATGAGCTTTGAAGAGTACTCTCTGACCCATCGATAGGATGTTCAAGAACAGGCAAAGTTAATCAGTGATGATAGAAAGTTAGAAGTTGTAGTTACCTTGATGAGGAGGTATTAGTTGGGAGGGCACAGGGAAACTTTCTGGGCACTGGGCATGCTCTTGATCTTCATCTTAGTCACCTGGTTCCCCAGGTGAATTGACAAAGTGAGGGCAGTGATGATTATACCCAAAGGAGTGCTGGGAGGATCCACAGAGGTAATCCACGAAAGGTCCTTACAACAGTTGTGAGCACCTTGTCACCTACTAAGTGCTTCTGAGTCATTTCTATGTTTTTTTTTTCTTTTTCTTTTTGAGTCTTCTTGGCATCATATGGGTTTTTTTTTTACCTATACAGAGCTAGGTGCTTGCCAAGCTGTCACTTCCCCAAGGAAAGTCTGGGTAGTCAGGTGGTGAACCCCGTGACTCAGGGTCGTTTTTGAGATCAGCTAATAATGATGAAGAGGTGAAAAATTAATGCAGCAATAAAAAGGAGGGAAGAAGCAATAAGTTGGGGCAAGAAAGATGAAATCTGGTTGTTCGTGATGGAAATGAAGAAGGTGCAGGGGTCCTGGAGGGCACTTAATGCTGGCCAGCAAAGGCCAAAGGCTCCTGCTGAATTTGAGATAGAGATGGAAAGAGTTTCCTGAGTAAAAAGGGGGAACCATAGGATTGGTTTTGCCTTGGGAGTTAGTTTGTTTTGAGGTAAACTCCTGCAGGGCATGCCTAAGGTATGCAGCACCCCAGTCAAAGGGCATTTTTTTTTTTGTGCTGGGCCCCTGGCTATATAAACAATTTGAGTCACCCCAAATCAGCAGGTCAGCACCATTCTGGAAGCTTGGTTTGCAAAAGAGAGAGTCCTTTGGCCAGTGCTTGCTAGGCTGCCTGCTGGAACTGGGGCTGGCCGTTAGGCCTTAGGATATCCCATAGATGCAAATGCCAAAACAATTTGGGGCATCTTATTGACCCTACATGCACAGGAGTGGGGGTGAGGGGTGGCAGAGGGTCAAAGAGTACCCTGGGCCGGGGGCGGTGGCTCACGCCTGTAATCCCAGCACTTTGAGAAGCCGAGGCGGGTGGATCATGAGGTCAGGAGTTCAAGACCAGCCTGGCCAACATGGTGAAACCCCATCTCTATTAAAAACTACAAAAATTAGCCAGGCATGGTGGCGCGCACTTGTGGTTCTGGCTACTCGGGAGGCTGAGGCAGAAGAATCGCTTGAACGCGGGAGGCGGAGGTTGCAGTGAGGCCCAATTGCATCACTGCACTCCAGGCTGGGTGACAGGGTGAGACTCTGTCTCAAAAAAAAAAAAAAAAAAAAAAAGAGCACCCTGAAGGGGAGGAACAGGGATCAGGGCTCACGTGGGTCCTAGTCTGGACTGAGGTGCTCCTCCCAGTTAGCATTGCTGACTCTGGCCAGTCCCTGACACTTGGGGAGCAACTTAGAAAATTTCAAGGGAGTCATCCCAAAGCTCAGGGCCCGCTGAGATGCAATGCTTGGTCCCTGCCCTGCCCCATTTGCCCAGGGTGGTACTGGACTTTTGGCTCAGTTTGAAAAACAGCAAACAAACACGGGCTTTAGAATTAGAATGGTCTGGCTTTAAAACCTGGTCTATTATTTATCAGCTGTGTCATCTTGGGCACGTGACTGAATTCCTGTGGCTCAGTTTTCCAATCTATAGAATGGACTTAATAATGCTGACTGCACTGAAATGCACAGAGGTGCTCTAAGAAGGTGCGTGTGAAATGAGATGATGAATGTATAGCACTTAAGATGGAGGCAAAGCTCAATACATGAAGGTTATTCTTAATGATATTTCCTGCTCTCCACGAGAGAAAGGTACTGTTCCATTTGCATTTTACCCTACGCCTGCTGACAAGTTGGAAGTGAGGATAATTGAAAGTATTTGGGCTTGATGTAACTAAGAAGTGAAAGGAATAGGCAAGGCTGACTTGATTTAACCTGGCAATATGAGATTAGTTCTTCATTGCCTCTGTAAGGTCTCCTGCATTGCGAACCTTTTAAAGCAATAGATTGGCTGACAGGATGCTCGTTTGGAAGGTTTCACCTGCCATTAATACCCTGGCTGCCTGATGAACCGTCGCTCCTCAGGCATCCTCCTTCCCTGCACAGAGCAACGGCCATTCTCAAATATTGCAAGAAGTAAAACTGGGCTGGGTGCGGTGGCTCACGCCGGTAATCCCAGCAGTTCGGGCGGCTGAGGCAGGTGGATCACCTGAGGTCAGGAGTTCGAGACCAGCCTGACCAACATGATGAAACCCCGTCTCTACTAAAAATACAAAAATTAGCTGGGTGTGGTGGTGCACACCTGTAGTCCCAGCTATTTGGGAGGCTGAGGCAGAAGAATCGCTTGAACTCGGGAGGTGGAGGTTGCAGTGAGCTGAGATTGCATCACTCCACTTCAGCCTGGGTGACAAAGCGAGACTCTGTCTCAAAAAAAAAAAAAAAAAAAAAAAAAGAAGTAAAACTGTATTTGCACTCCTTCTGGAAGAAGACCTGTTGGAAGTTTTCCTCCTACTTCTTGCCAACTCTTTTGGTCAGACTCTGACTTCCAAGTCCAGAGATCGTTGTACCAAAGCACCTTCTGGCCTTTCTTATGACTTAGTCATGGAAGATGAATCATGTCTGACCAGAGATCTGGCAGAGAGGAGGCCCCAGTGAAAGCTGTTTGCTGGCTTTTCTACTCTTTAGGATGGATGTGGGAAAAAAAGCACGGGCTGCTTAAGAAAATCAAGGCTCTGCTACCAAAGGCAGAAATCTGATTCAGGTAAGGCCTCTCTTTAATAGACTGTACCTTGAAGCCACTGGGGGAAATGTTTGACAAGGGGATTATAGTGTTGTCCAGTTATTTTTAAAAAATGGTTCTTCACCAGCAACTAATGGACAAAAACCAAAAACAAATGCCATCAACAAAACCTTTTAAACCAATGCTTCTCAAATTCTAATGAGCATCACAATCACTCAGGGACCTTGTTAAAATGTAGATTCTCATCCCGTGTCCTAAGGTGGGGTTTGAGAGCCTGCATTATTTATGAGCTCCCAGGTGATGTCTATGTTGTTGCTCTGAGCACCGTATTTCCAGTGGCTAAGCTTTAAACCAGCGTTGCTGAAGGTGTGCTCCCTGACTACCTGCTCCGGTATGGTGTTAAGATGCCATCAACCCAGACGTACTGAATTCCTGAGACTAAATATTGGGAACCTGCATTTTTTTTTTTTTTAAATTTTAAGATGGAGTCTCACTTTTGTTGCCTAGGCTGGAGTGCAATGGTGCCATCTCAGCTCACTGCAACCTCTGCCTCCTGGGTTCAAGTGATTCTCCTGCCTTAGTCTCCTGAGTAGCTGGCATTACAGGCGCCCGCCACAATGCCCAGCTAATTTTTTTATTTTTATTTTTAGTAGAGACAGGGTTTCACCATGTTGGCCAGGCTGGTCTCGAACTCCTGACTTCAGGTGATTCACCCGCCTTGGCCTCCCAAAGTGCTGGGATGACAGGTGTGCACCACTGTGCCTGGCTGGGAATCTGCATTTTAAAGAAGATTCTCAAGAATGATTATTTTGCTCACTAAAGCTTGAGACCTCTGTTCTGAGTGACTGAGAAAAAGCCTTCAAATATCCACAGCAGTACAGCTGAGGGGCTACAACAGTTTTTCCAAACTCTGTCTCCTGCAGGATGTTAATACGCATTCCCTGAAACACAAAAGTGGAGGTGGGAGGGGAGGATCTGCCATCAAATGTAATTTGGGAGTCAGTTAAACGAAGTTAAACTTTACAGCAGGACTTCCTGGAGGCTTTGATATATGGATACACGTTATGAGTCTTTAATATTGTCATGGAGTACGCAGCATTTCCTGACCATGGACCCTTCTGGCTCCGAGCCTCTCCCTGCAATTGCATCTAGTGCCATGCACGTTGGAAAACAGTTCATGAGAACATAGGGCTCTAGGTTTGGGGGCTTTGTTCTTGGAAGGACCAGCCATACCTCCATCTACTCAATAGTCACAAGTGGCAGTCTCATCCTTGATTGACTTCCTATAAAGTGCAGGGCTTTTGGTGATCAGGCCCAACACAAACCACGTCGGTACTACTAGCATATCAGTTCAGAGCCCCTGTCCTCCAGCTCCCAGTGTCTCCCAAGGCCAGTGCATTTTAGAGTGGGGACCCTGTGCTAGGTGACAACATCCTGGCGTCAGCAAGACAATGGAACATTAATGGCAACCATGTCTAATGAGAACCAATGGTTGGTGCTCAGGAGGAGCTTCCTGGGTGCCTGGCACTGGGTTAGGTACTTTAAACGCATGCCTTTATTAAGACACCACCAGAATCCTGGGTGCTATTAACATCATTATTTACAGGTGAGAAATGGGAGACTTCGAGATTAAATAATTCACCTATGGTCACCCTGTTTTTAAGTGGTAGGACTGGGTTTTGGACCCTGTTTGCTGCACTCTGGAACGAAATCCTACACAAAGCTGCCATGTAAGGTTGTGTGACTGTTATGCTGAGTGTCCAACACACAGGAGCCTGTTGTACCCTCTGCCATGACATGTTTGTACAAGCATGTACATATGAGCTCTTTTATCTAAGACAGTTAGTGAGAGTAACCATTTACATACCTAGTACAGGGTGATTTATGTTTTGGGAAACTGGGCAGCAGAATGTTTTGGCCAGCCCTCTGCCCCAGCTCCTAGCTTCATCCAGTTCACACTTTTGACTTAAGTTTACAATTAAGTGCTTGGCCCTCTGCCAGCCACTTAAGTCCCTCTGTGCTTGCTCAGCCTGTGCTGTGCTTCGATCCAGCCAGCATCCAGTCATGCTCTCAAGAACCCTTTGTGGTGGGTTCTATGATCCTCATTTTGCAGATAAAGAAACTGAGGTTCATAGAGCTTAAGGGCCTTGCCCAAGGTCACAGTGCTAGTAAATGATGGAGAAGTGATTCATGATTCACATGTTGGTTGTCTACCTCAAAGCTTCTTTTTTTTTTTTTTTTTTTTTTCAGGCAGAGTCTCACTCTGTTGCTCAGGCTGGGGTGCAGTGGCTCGATCTCGACTCACTGCAACTTCTGCCTCCTGGGTTCAAGTGATTCTCCTGGCTCAGCCTCCCAAGTAGCTGGGATTACAGGCACCCTTCACCATGCCTGGCTAACTTTTGTATTTTTAGTAGAGATGGGGTTTCACCATGTTGGCTAGCCTGGTCTTGAACTCCTGATCTCAAGTGATCCATCCGCCTCGGCCTCCCGAAGCCTCTTGACTTCTGGAATTACAGTGCTGGAATTAAAGTGCTGGGATTACAGGCGTGAGCCACCATGCCCAGCCTCCTCCAAAGCCTCTTGACTTCTGTTCTCGGTTTTTCACAGGGGGCTGGAAGCAGTCACAGCCATATATAGGTACCCTCTGAATGTCACAGGACTTATGAAGGGAAATACTGAAGCTTCAGAAGACATGTTCATTTCTTAGTTGTTTTTTCTGTCTCTTTCCCCTTCCTTCTTTTCCTCTCCCTGTCCCGCCCCTGCTGACTCTCAACCCAGAAAGGGCCTCTGGGAATCATCTCATTTGATCAGAAATTTCCCACCTTGGACAGCCTCTGACAGGCCTCTCTGGCACAGTCTCACCCTTGTTAGCCTAGAGCCACGTTTTTTATACCTGGGGGATTTCTATCCTGGCTGCAGCTGTCTCCCCACTTTGCTGTTACAAAAACCACTGGCAACAGAGAGCAGGGGCCTCTGCTCTTGGCCTCTGATTTCCCCAAATGCTTGCCCTCTGCCTGCTGTTCCTGGCCTCTCGCTGCCTGGTCTACCCTGCTCTGTTCCTCATCAACCTCCATTTCAAAGAGCCCACTGACAGGTCACACAGAACTGAGCCGACGGCCAGTGCAGCCGAGGCCCGGCAGGGGGTGGCAGCCTGGTGCCAGACAGTGACCTGCTGGGGCCCTCAGAAAGAAAAGGGGCTGTCACCACCGACACCTCAGAGCAACAAGGTGAACAGTTACTTTCCGCCTGAGGGGAGACCTTGTCCCTGGGGGGAAGATGGGAGGCTTGGCCCCAGAGTGGAGAGGATTAGTAGGGGCGCATGATGCTTCTCCTTCTGCTGCATAAAGAAATGCCCCAGACTGCCAGCTGGGAGAAGGGCCCGGACTTGGCTATTCTACGAGCTTCCTGTGGAATTAGAGGAGTTGGAAGTACTAATTTCTAAACGGTGTCATTCCTAAACGTGGCTGCTGCCATGTTCCAAGCACTGTGCTTAGCACTCGCTGGAGATTTTCTCGTTTATTTTGTTTTATACTTATTTATTTTGAGAGATGAGGTCTTGTGCTGTTACCCAGGCTGCAGTGCAGTGGTGCAATCTTGGCTCACTGCAGCCTCAAATTCCTAGGTTCAAGAGATCCTCCTGCTTCAGCCTGCTGAGTAGCTGGGACTATAGGCACCCACCACTGTGCCCAGCTAATTTTTTAATTTTTTGTAGAGACAAGGTCTTGCTATATTGACCAGACTGGTCTCAAGTTCCTGGGCTCAAGCAATCCTCCTGCCTCAGCCTCCCAAAGTGCTGGGATTACAGGCATGAGCCATTGTGCCTGGCTGTCATTTAATCTTCGCATCTACTCTATGGTGTAGATAATAGGAATTAGTATCATACTGCCAATTATGATCACGGGATCTAGAGGCAGCTGATCTGTGTTCAACCCCAGGTCAGCAAAATATTGGCTGTGTGGCCTTGGGCTAGTTACTTTACCTCTCTGAGTCTTGGTTCCTTCATCTGTAAAATAAAAATAATCACACCAGCTTAATAGGGCTGTTGCAAAAAAATCAAATAAACTGTATGCAGAAGGACTTGTTGTATAGTAACCATTTGTTTACTTCCACTTTTCAGATGGAGAAACCCAGTCCTAGAGAGGGTCAGTTACTTGACTAAGGTTGGGCAGCTGCTGGTGGGTGGGGAAGCTGGGATTCACACGCAGCTGGCCCAGCCTTAGACTTGCTGTTCTTCTCCCCTACTCTATGCTTCTCCAGCAAGCTGTAGTTTGGGAGGTCGGAGTTCACCCAAGAACAATCTGCAGCTGCCTCTGCCTTTCCTCTTGTTTTAAAGGAGGATTATGAGGCTTGCATACCTACTGCACCAACCCATACGAAGTCAATGAACAGGATGAGGCCAAGTCAATAATACAGATGAAGAGCAGTACAACCATGTCTTCATGCCTTACTGAAAAGCAAAGATGTATTTTATATCTGGATTTTCTTTGCACTGATAAAACGATATCAGCGGTATATAGTGACTTGGGTGTCACTGTATGCATGTTTTTTGAAATCCTAAAATGAAATGTATTTATCTCCCAATCATCTATTGAATAAAAGACAATTGCTTCTGATCCCAAACACTTCTCGTGAAAGCTTTTACTCATTCAATTCGTGTAACAATGAGTTGACCAAGGCAGACAAGGACCCTGTGATTATGGCCCTAGATTCTAGAGGGGGAAAATAGACAATAAACAATGAATGCATGATGGAATTACAGTGACAGTGTTCTGAAGACACTAAGTAAAGCAAGGTAAAGGGCTGGACAGTGATGAAGGAGGGGATTTTCTGCTTTAGACAGGGAGGGCAGGGAGGGCTTCTCTAAAGAAGTGATGTTCGTGTAGAAACCTAAACGAAATGAGGAAATGAGTCATGGAAACATCTGGAAGAAGAACACTCTGAGCAGAGGCAACAGCAAGTGCAGAAGCCTAGGGTGAAAGTGTATCTGTGAGTTGTAGGAATGGCAAGATGGCAGGTATGGCAGAGAGAGGACGAGGAAGAGAGAGAGGAAATGAGATCAGCATGGAAGCAGGGACTCACTAATGCAGAGCAATGGAAGCCACTGCGGCAACCTGGGTGCCATGCTACGGGAGATGAGAGGCCCTGGCAAGGCTTGAGCAGGGGTGTGATAGGATCTGACTTCTGAAAGGATTCTTCTAGCTGCTCTGTGGGGAACAGATTAGAAGCTGGAGGACCCATAGTCCAGCGCAGAGAAGTTGTTGGCATGATCTGAGTGGAGGTGGAAAGCTATTAAGAAATCATGGCCTTAAGGATTAAGAGTAGGGAATGGAGAGGCCAGGTAAGGGGGCATCCCAAAATCTGTGTGGCAAGATGCATAGACAAAGAGGGCATGTCAAAGGCCTATGCAATGGCCTCCCTGGCAGACGGTGTGCTAGTTGGGTAGTGATGATATTAGTGTTGCTCGTCAAAGGGCTAAGACTTTGAGTGATGGACCCCAGGTAGGCTGGGGTTTTCTCCCTGGTTCTACACTCCCTGAGCCACAAGCTTTCTGAGTGAGCATGGCAGAAGTAAGAGCAGGAGAAGCTTGCTCCGGGGACTGCTGTTTCTCTTTTCTGCATCTGTCTTCTCCATGGATTCCTCTTTTCCAGCATAACCCCAGACACCTAGTGGCTTTGGACTCTGGCACACCTGGCATAAAAATACTTTCAGAAAAAGGGTCTGAGAGAAGAATGAACAAGACATTTAGAATCAAAAGAACTGGGCTCCAATCCCAGCCCTTCCACTGTTTGACTCTGGGCAAGTTAACCTCTAGGCCCTCAGCTTCTTTGTTAGTTAAATGAAATCCTCTAAATGTCAGCAATGAATGCAAAGATTTTTGTAAGCCTATGTGGCTAAAGGGAACATGACAGTGACCCACCCAGCTTGGGGGTCACCGGTTCATGACCTCTGAGGGAAGACAGCACTCATTCCAGAGCCAGTGGGGATGAAATTGAGGGAAATGTATTATAACAGGGACCAAAAGATGGGTTCCTGATTTTGAAATGTATGTATTATTTGAAATGATGAGTTTTTGATTGGAAGGCAGTGTATGTTTTTAGAATCTCTGAACTCACATCATACAGGGAGATGCAAACACTTAGAGCAGCCATTTAAGTAAAGGGGCATTAAGTTGCTGTCTATAAACTTTCTAGTCAAACCTTACAACAGGCCAATGAAGTTGATATCATTGTTTCCAGTTTACAGATGAGAGAACTGAGTCTCAGACACGTTAGGTCCTTTGCTCAAGGAAGCACAGCTAGTAAGAACCTGAGTCAGAATGTACAGCTAGGTCCGTCTGATTCCAAAGTCTGTGGACCCCATCAGTAAATGGCACAGCACCACCTGTCCTAAGTGGGGCAGGGGGCATGGGAGAAGCAGCAGAATGTCATAAAAGGCAAGGAACCAGGGCCAGCTACCACTGCTCTCTCCCAGCAAACTCCTTCCACATTTTTCGTTTATTCCAACACTCTTGAAGGAGGAGGATGGATCCCGGGAAGTTGGAGCCCTGACTCCTCTCCGGATGACAAGCTTCTGTGGAAAGGACCTCAGTGAACCCAGGAATGTACCCAAGGTCCATATGCTAATGAAGTGGCCACCGCCTCAGGATGCAGAGCTGTTTGGCCTGTCTCTCCTCATCAGCTGGCCCAGGGCTGACACGCTCGGAGGAATCCCTCTGCCAGCACTTGAGCTTCCCTTCAAAAGGCACGTATTACGCTAAGTCAGTGGTTCTCAACGCAACAGCATCATCTGGGCACTTGTGAGAAATGCACATTCTTGGGCTTCCTGCCAGACCTACTGAATCTGAAACTCTGAGGGTGGGGCCCAGCCATCTGTGCCTGAAGCCTTCCAGGTGATTCTGATGCTCACTGACGTATAAGATGTATACGAACCGTTGTGCTGACTGTTTTGCATCCATTAACTCATCTAAGCCTCACAGTATCCTATGAGGTAGAAATTAGCCCTAGCTCCACTTTACAGAGGACAAAGCTTAAATTTAAGCTCATATCTTGAGGAAGTGGAGGAGCTGGGACGTGACCTGAAGCTCAAATCCCAAAGCCTCTTGACTACCCTGCCAGGCTGTCTCCCCTCCCTGGGAGAAAGAATGCCCATGTGCAATGGAGGCAACACAACAAAAGGCCACGCCTGCTTCTCAGCTGTGGTGTGTGTGTTTATAATAACTCAAGCAGATATATCAGCCTTCTGTCTGAGGGGCAGGCATGGTTGCAATTTTGAAGACTGAGATGCTATGTTGATGGGAGGCACAAACAAATATGATGGCTGTATTGCGCTCTGCCCAGCACTGCACGCAAACCCCATTCTAGCCTCATCCTCCTCCATTCTCCATGTGGACTAGGCTGCAAGGTACCAGGCTTCTCAGAGGTCCCCACACAGGCATTGCTGTTCCTTGCCTCTGTGCATTTGCCGTTCCCTTCGTTCACAATGCTTTTCCCTCCTTCCTTGCCTAATTCCTTTTTATCTTTTAAGATTCAAGCTGTACCTATTTTGGAAGTCTTCAGTGCCTCTCTTGTGAGCGGCCATGGTCTCTTGGCCTTACTTCTATTATGGACCCTTAAAATGTGGCTCTGCAGTGACAGCTTTAGTGTGTATTTTACCTCCCACCAGACAGAGCATCTTTATGGGCGGAGTTTGAGTCTTATTCATTCACATGCCCTGCCACAGAGTGGGGGCTTGGTATATGTTTGTTGGATGAATAAATGATTTTGGTGGTGAGTGGTCTGTCCAGGAGTGTGGCTGGTGTGGGGGAGGGTGTTTTCTGTCATTGCCATCAATGACAAGAGGTCTGAGCAGGGTTGCAACTAGGAAGAGGTGAATGAGGGGCTGAGGGGGCGAAAGTGAAGGCGACACTCACTGTGAGGTACCCTAGGCATCTCCACTCATTCTAATCTAGGTCCCAGGTCTGAAATAGATCTTGGCTCCAACCAGTAGTGGCAGGCACCCATTCTCCTGAGTGTCACTGAGTCCTTTTGGTGGCAACGCAGCATTGACAAAAGCACACTGGATTTTGAGCCAGGAAACCAGGACTCCAGTCTCAGGTCTGCCCTGCCTGCTCCTTGGCCTTGAGTAAGTGGCTTCCCTCCTTGGGTTTTGCAGCTGCCGGGGACTCTATAGTTTAGCCTTTTTGCATCTGACATTTCCAGACTCCCATAAATGAAATCATCCTGTGATTCTCATAAATGAAAGAGGTAGTGTGCCTCAGTGCACGTGGCCATGGAGTTCCAGGAAACTGAAGGAGGTGGGGAGAGCTCCATGATGACATACCCTGAGGACAGGCAGAGGAGGAGAATCACCTTGGAAAGGTTTGGTCTTGGTTGTGAGTGGGGAGGAAGAGAAGCATTAGGCACAGAGGTTTGGGGGAACACCTCGCAGTTTTCTCTGGATTTGCATTTGGCCACAGAGTTCTGGCCCCTCTCCAATCCCCCAGAGCTCTTGGCTGAGAAGATAGAAAGTCAAAGAAAAGAGCACAGGCCTTGGGCAGCTGCTCTTGCTGTGCTGCTTGCTAACACCTTGCTATTTAAAGTCCAGCTGCTCAACTCTCCCCTGCTCACCCCCTGGCATTTCAGTGCCTAAGTGCTTTGTGGCAAAAATGCATTCCAAATCCAAAACCGGAGGGAAAAGCTAACGCCGATGGTATTTTTAAGCATGCTGCAAAATTCGTGTTTCTGAGGGGCGGAGGTTGTTCAAGCACTTATGCTCTGCCTTGCTCTGAGCCCAAACACAACAAACACTCAGGTGCTGTGAGGGGCCCAGAGGAGGGTTCTTGACCCAGGTTCTGAATCCTGGCTTGGCTATGTTTTCGCCGTGGGAGCTTGGACAAGCCACTTGTTCTCTCTGGCTCCTAGTTTCTGCTTCTATATAAAGGATAATGAAAGACTCCCAGGGCTCTTGTGGGGATTGTCATGATTTATTTAGGCAATGTGGGTGACGTTTTAGCAAGGGCCTGGCCCTTAGTAAGGGCTCAATGCCTTAGGGTTTTGGACATCACGTCCTTTCAAATCAGGCCCATGGACACTGCCTGTTTTGGGACCCTCTGGTCCCTCAGACAGATGTGTTCCTGGGACATTAAATGTCTATATCGGATTTCTCAGCCTTGGTGTTATTGACATTTTGGGTGGGATCATTCTTTGATTTGGGGCTTTCCTATGTGTGTAGGGCATTTGGCAGCAACCCTGGCCTCTACCCACTGGATGCCAGTAGCACCTCCCCACCTCCCCACCACCATGACTCGTGAATGCTTCCAGTCATTGCCAGATGTTCCTGGGTGAGCGAGTTGCCCCGGTAGGGAACCACTGGTCTGGACTTGGGGGAAGACTGTGGGAGCAAGAGAGCTAGTGATGGCACGAGGACCTTGCCTCTTTATTCAAATGCTGGTCACAGAGACCGGGGGATGGCAAGGGTGTGCCTGCCACCATCTAGGGCAAGGCTCTGGCCAAAGCACAAATACAGGAAGCCAACATAACGCTATCAATATCACCTCCTTGCCACCAGTGAAATCTGCGTTTTCATCCTTTAATTCCCTAAAATAAGTCCATAGTGATTTACATGATTAAAATTTTTTTTCAGATTATGCATTTTCATCACAATTTCATAATGGATATTTGATTTGTCATCTAATCAGGGGGAAAAAAACATAATCCCTTAAGAGACACTTAATAACCATTTAAACTAATAAAGACTTGATTAAAAAAGACTGAAAGTGCTGTGTTGGGTAAATTATAAACTTTAAACCCCTTTTTTTAAAAAAGAACACAACTAATTCAATGGTCAATTACATGTACCAGGAAAAGGTTTTCAATGGAAAAGTTTTGTCTTTGAGGTGTTTTTTTCTAAGGCTTCCTTGCAGCAGCACACATTCTGTACTTGTTTGAATCTTCTTCAGAAACACTGTCCAAATTTTTTGAGTGTTTTAGAAAAAAGGAGCCAATGGTTTTAAAGGAGAAAAGCCATATATCATGGTGGTTAGCTGAAAGGGCTATTCTGAGTCTTAACTTCTTGAGCCTTTGTATCCTTATCTGTATAATGAAAATAATATGATGAAATAGACTCATTGAACTTACAGTCTAGTGTGAAGAAACAGACAATCTGCAAGAATAACAGCGTGAGAAAATTTAGGAGTGTGATATTTCCATAAAGGAAACACTAATGGTTGATGGGAGAGACACAGAGGAAGACTTCGTAATAAGTCCTTCTGAGGCATTTGAGCTGAGAACTGAATGACTACATTGAGCCAGTGATACAATGTGCCTTGACTGAGCATTTCCACCTTGCACTAGCAAAGACCCTCGGGTGGAACTAATCTTTGCACTTGTGCAGTCTAAACACCGGCCAGAGTGGATGAGGCAGAGCTTCCGGAGAGGATGGGGGAGGACAGGTCAGAGACAAGGCAGGGGATATACAGAGGGCCCTCTAAGCCAAGGTGAAAAAAACAGCTGATTTTGATTCTAACTCCATGAGAAACCCTTTGAGAACATGGAATGATGAGATTTACAATGTATTAGGTTGGTGCAAAATTAATTGCTTTCAATGGCCAAAACCACAATAACTTTTGCATCAACCTACTAAAACACTCCCTCTGGCTGCTGTGTGGAGGAACAGAGAGCAGACGGCAAGAGGAGTGCAGGGAGACCACTTGGGAGGCTGTTCCCGTAACCCAGGTGCAGAGCAAGCTCAGCACAGTGCTTGGCACATGTAAGCTCTCAAAAATCTTACTGATTATTATTTTTATATGCAAGAGAATTCCTTCCTTCCTTCCTTCTTCCTTCCTTCCTTTCTTCCTTCCTCCCTCCCTCCTGTCTTTCTCTCTCTCTCTCTCTTTTTGAGATGGAGTCTCGCTCTGTCACCCAGGCTGGAGTGCTGCAGTGGTGCGATCTTGCCTCACTGCAGCCTCCGCCTCCTGGGTTCAAGCGATTCTCATGCCTCAGCTTCCTGAGTAGCTGGGACTACAGGTGTGAGCCACTATGCCCGGCTAATTTTTGTATTTTTAGTAGAGACAGAGTTTCACCATATTGGCCAGGCTGGTCTCAAACTCCTGACCTCAAGTGATCTGCCCTCCTTGGCCTCCCAAAGTGCTGGGATTACAGGTGTGAGCCACCGTGCGCAGCTGGTTCTATCTTTTTTCTAAACCTCAGTAGCATAAGAGAAAACTGAACCCCTACCTTACAGTTTTCTAAACAGAAGATTCTCTAGTCAAATATGCCCAGGAAGTCAAAGATCTTATTTCAACTGGAAGAGCCAGAATAACTTCAGATCCCTGTTGCTATGTGTTCCCTGAAGATCTCAGTTGAGGCTAATTCTGCTTCCCTCCTAAAGAAGAGAGACCCAGCATCTGGCCAGCTGGCAGTGTCCTCAAGGCCAAGTTTTCCTCCTAAGCATTAGAGACATTGCTTTTCTCTCTGGGAGCTAATCAGGGACTCTGTTTATGGCTCCAGCTACATTTGCCACAAGGTCTTTGGACTGCAAAGGGAATCCTCATCCAACCCAATTAATAGCTCAATATTGTATTTTTAAGCTGTCCCCCACCCAACCAATCCATCAACACGATTGGGATACATTAATCAAGGCATTTACAGTGGGTTCACCAAGCTTTGTGTCTCATTGGAGGAAGAAACTGGACTATTTGGGCATGGGAACCAGAACCCTTTTGGAGTCCCTGAAGTCCCTAGCTTGGCTCTGCTAAATGCACAGACAAGGTGAGTTATTAATTAGCAAGTGAGATAAATGCCGGAAGAGCATTCCTGAATCGTGTCAAACCAATTTGGATGGCTACGGGATGGGGAGGGAGCGGGAGGAGGCAGTGGGCGAGGGGTGAGTTTTGTCTGTTCCAAGTGCTTTGGACAGACTCCAGTGTTATTTCTCCTCATTTAGACCTGGCTGGAGTGCCTTGGATGGCATGCCCAGAGCTCAGGCCAGGATCCACGTCTCTTAACCCAAGGCAGCCTCCTTTGGAGTGAACCAAGGAACCGAGCCTTGCAGATGGAGGTAGGGTGGGAAATACTGCTCTGCAGAGAAGCCAGAGTGGAGTGCTTCATTTAGAGAGGGAACTGCAGTAACTGCTAGTGACCTGAAGAGCCTCTACCACGGGTTACTGATCACACGGATTTGTGGCTTTGAGGACACTCCATGGAGACGAGCTGAAGAGCCAGTCCTTAACAATGGGCTGCGCTTTCTCTCATGTCATGTTCCTGACACCCATACACGTGACAGTCCCTTTGCTATGCTCCCACTGAACTATTGCCGTCTAATAAGATGGTCCATCTCTGTCACCTCTCACATGCTGGACTGTAATAATAATAATAACAATGTGTTTATCCATCTTTGTAGATGGATAGTGAGCTCTTTGTGGACATATGTCATGTTTGCTTTAGTATTTCTAAAGGCTTATTTTCAGGGTCTAACATTTAGTAAACCCTCAACAAATGTTTGTTAAACCATAAATGAATAAGCTAATGAATGGATGGATGGATGGATGAGTGGATAGACGAATTCATACCCTAATGACAGAGAATTAAAGGTTTTTAAACTTTGAAACAAACATCAGCCAACTCTCCACCCAAGAATGGAGAACTTCTAAATCATACTGAAGTCATTCACAAAGGACCTAAACATAAAGATATCTTCATGTCTTTTTTTTTTTTTTTTTTTTGAGACAGGGTCTCACTCTGTCGCCCAGGCTGGAGTGTAATAGCACAATCACGGCTTACTGCAGCCTCAACTTCCTGAGCAAGCGATCCTTCTACCTCGGCCTCCTGAGTAGCTGGAACTACAGGCGCATGCCAGGATGCCTGCCTGGCTAATTTCTCTATTTTTTGTAGAGATGGGGTTTCACCATGTTGCCGAGGCTGGTCTTGAACTCTTGAGCTCAAGTAATCCACCCACCTTGGTCTCCCAAAGTGTTAGGATTACGGGCGTGAGCCACCATGCCCAGACTTCATGTCTTTTCAGCTACTTATTTCTTCCTGAAATAAAATTCCCCTCTCCTCACTGCACTCCTGTGTTCTGGGGATTTTAGGGGAAAGGGTTTGGGGTATAAGCACTATGACATTAGGCTGGGTGAGCCCACCCAGGGAACACCATTATTTTAAAAAGTTTATCTCAAAATGTCATCTGCAGAGCAAACACACTTGTATCAGACACTCTGGGGTGCGTGGTAAAAGTGCAGACTCCTGCATTCTATGTCTGACTAATAAATCAGAACCTCAAAGGTGGGGGCTTAGAAATCTGACTTTTAAACAAGCCCTCCACACAGTCACGCAGCACTAAAGTTCAATAAGCACAAAGTTAGAATCTTTGTGGTTGTGTACACTGGAAAAATTATTGGTTGGGTTCCATCTATATGAATTCAGTCTCCTTTCTAGAAAATAACATTAATATTAATAATGTTAATGCT
The DNA here is from genome assembly GCF_000001405.40 of Homo sapiens. Taxonomy (NCBI): domain Eukaryota; kingdom Metazoa; phylum Chordata; class Mammalia; order Primates; family Hominidae; genus Homo; species Homo sapiens. The sequence goes on along the minus strand of NC_000005.10, from coordinate 168,167,937 downwards.
AGCAGCAGCCAACGTGTGAGGGCATCTATGAGCCAGGTGTCTTGTAAAATACATCACATGCATTTTCTCACTTAAACTTCACACCAGCTAGTGACATTGGCATTGCCATGCCTATTTTACAGATAAGAAAACTGAGACTTTGAGAAGCAAAGTGACTTGCAGAGCTGGAATACAAAGGCTGACTCTGAAGCCCAAGCCCTCAATCAATTATGATGATACAGTGTCACCTGTTCAGAAACCAGGGACATGAAAGAGAAGGTGCAAAACATCTTTCAGTGCTGTGTTGAAACGGAACGAGGGGAAAAGACATCTCTCCTAGTTTAGTAAGGAAGAAAGTGATGCGGGGTGACGGGACAGGCTCAGCCTAAAAAGGCTTCCTCCTACCCTACCTCCAGGTGATGTGGTTATGACATCACCTCCCTTGGTCTCCACTGTCACCGCTGCCCACAGATGGGAGAAAGCATCTCATAGGATTCCACAGGAGCTTCAGACTCACTCCGATGCCGGCTTGAAATGATGGAAGGGCTAGGGCTCCTGACTCTAAGTTCAGGGTGATAAAGGGGAGTGGGGAAGAAGTAAGGACTGTCTCACCAGGCCAGACAGTCTAACAACGCCTCCTCACCTTGCAGTTCCCACTTTTAGAGGAAACCTACACCCTCTCTCCTACCCCTGGCTGTGATGAACTAAATCTCACACCTCTGTCTTGGTGGTGATAATTAAATATTATCCGCCTGTCACTTGGTGCACATGTTGTGTGTATTCTCAGACTTTAATGAGCTGGTATTTGTCTTCTGTAAGCAAAAATATTTCTTTGAGTCTCTTCTTTTTCAAATTGGGGTGAGCAGTTCAAGTGAAGATCTCTCACTATTAAAAAGACAGTCTGCCAGCTGCCGTGTCTGTCTGAACCATTTCCACTTCTTTTTAGTGGCCATGGGCAGGTGTGGCTTGTCCCTTCAGAATCAGCCATTGCTTCCTGAGGTTACATGAGTGGCGGTCACATGACTGGGGGTGTCTGGAGACTTTGAAAGCCAAGGGGGTGAGAAGGCAGGGAGTTGGCATAAACTGTTTTGGTGGGGATATTCTAAGGCAGCCTTCTCCAACAGGGATTTTCATCTCAACACTGCTGACTACAGAGCATATTTGAGTGAAAGTTTTCTCAGTTCTTCCAAAGGAGTTATTTTATCCAGTACCATTCTAGATGCATAGGAGAGAAGTTAATTCATTACATAGAATGGATGGCTTAGGACAGTGGTTCTCAAAGAGGACCTGCATCAGCGTCCCCTGCGTCAGCACTGCTGGGATATTTACTAGAAATTCAGTCTTGCACTGCCCTCCCCAGACTTAGAGAATCAGGAGCTCTAGGAATAGGGCTTAGCACTCTGTGTTGAATCAAGGTGGTTTTGCTGCATGCTGAAGTTTCAGAACTACTAGTGGCCATAAAGTATTAGGGCTTAATTCTCTCATAGAGGAACCCAGGTTGAAAAAAGGCTGTTAAAGGTTTCAAATATCTCTATCTGTTATTTGTATCTATATCTATCTCAGTTTAAAATAAAAAATACATATCCCTTCAAACAGATTCTTTTTTTTAAAGTAGAGTGTTTCTAGATGGAAAAGTGATTTGTCTTTTCCAGTCCACTTTGGTAGATAGCTCTATTATTTTGCTCGTTCATGAAATTTATAACAAATGTGTTCATTGCTGCTGCTCCCCGGGTCTGCATTCATGTTCTGCCCGGGTGCCTCTCTGACCCACTGCCAGGTTTATAAACTCACATAGCCCTTCCTGATAACTCACGAAGCAGGACAGAGACGAGGGCAGAACTCCCATCCCCACCCCAACCAAACAAAAAGAGTGATATAATTAGTGTGCTGCAGGATTGAATCTGGAGTTGATGAGGAGCAACCTTAATATTTATCAATAAACAGCAAAGTGCTTAGCACACCTCCTAGGGAAGTCACTAACCATAAAAAGGATACTCTACACTGAGGAATCACCTCCAAAAAAAGAACTCAGTTAATTGTGAATTGCTTATGCCAGGTGAGAGAGAATTGGTGTCTACCCCTCTCACCTGACATAAGCAACTCTGAATTAACTGGGAGTTTCTTTTCATAAACACCATGCAGCCTTTTTTTTTTTTTTTCTTTGTGGTTAATTACTTCCTTGGGAGGTTTGCTTTAACAGTTCCCGTAACAAGGCCATTATTGTCTTTAGCATAATCACCACTGCCTCATTTGCTTTTGTGCCCTGCCTTTGGACTGCTTTGTCTCTGCCAGCCGGGGGGGGGGGGGGGGTTGGGGGGGGGATCCTGAATTGTGCCTGGTGGGCAACCCTTAGGCCCGGGGACCCTGTGAGCCTCTTTTAGCTCCATCACTTCAGGATTTTGGTTTTGGCCGGGTGGAAGCTGGGATCAGGGGTAGGGCTGGTGGGGAGGGAGGTGGGTAAGGCAGGGTATGCTGGGGAGACAGTCCCCCAGAGTTTCCTCTCTCCCCTCTGTGTGGCATTCCAGCCATTTGTTATGCTTTCAGCTGCTGACACCAGGAACGGGGAAGGGAGCCAGGAGAGCAGCTCCTTTCTGGAAGTAGAAGCTGATCTGTAAGCAACCGCTGTGCTCAATGAAATCGCCAGGGAGGCAGAAGGAAAAGCAGTGAACCTTACCAGCAAAAGTCGTGCGATTCTGACTTGAAAAAAAATGCATTATGTAGTTATGCCTTAACTTGTTAAAAAATGAATTAAAGTGACTTCTCTTTGGCTCTGTTTCAGGAAAGAGAAAATGAATGAATGGGAGCTCTGTAAACCACATCAGGTCTGTAAACTGTTTTGATTGTGTACTCCTATCAGTGTATGTACATCTGTTTATTTACAAATTACATACAGGCACAATGGCAATCATAAATTATGGAAACTGCAAAATACCCATTAAGAGGATGAGAAAAAATAAAAATAGAATATCTAATACTCTCATCCACCACCCCGATGGATTCCACCCTGCTCTGGACACCACTGAAAGGACCTGTTGGGGCCATGAAGGCAGTGGCTGACTTTGACTTGGTCATTGATATCCCTAGAATTCAATGACTGGTCCAAGGTGGCACTAAATACATTTTTGTTAAATCAAATGATTGGACTCATGGATCTTCCTACACTCTGAAACAACCTCTGCCCCCAGTGAATTCTGATCAGTTAGTAATTTTGATGGGGGTGGATAACATACCTGTACTGAAGTCTACGGAACATTCCACAGTATTCTTAGGAGATTAGGTGGCCCACATGCTAACCCAACCTCATTTAGCCCCAGAATCTTAGCACTCCATCAGGAAGGAACATGGGGAAATTCAGCTCAGAGGTTTAGAACAGGAGACAGAAAACTTCTCCTGTAAAGGGCCGGAGAGTAAATGTTTTAGGCTTTGATGGCCAAGTGGTTTTTGCTTTGACTCCACTCTGACATGGAGAGTGCAAGCAGCCCTAGGCCAAACATAAACAAATGGGCATGGCTGTATTCCAATAAATGGAGAGGTGTGGGTTAAGGGGTACAAAGTGTCAGCGATACAAGATAAATACATTCTGGAGATCTACACATAGCATAGTATCTATGGCTAACAAAGTAGTGTACACTCAAAATTTGCTAAGAGGGTAGATCTTACGTTAAAATGTTCTTACCACAAAAACTCTTAAAACCAAAAAATCACCCCAAGACAATAATCACAAAGAGAGCAGTGTGGCAGGCCAGGTCTCACCACCAGCTGAACAGGCAGGCCTCCATGACAACTGTTTTGGCACTGAATGAATGGTTAGGTTAAATATTAAAGGCGGAAAGAGCCAGCGCACTTACACAAAGGCTGGAATGTAACAAAAGCTCACCAAGAGTCTTGCCTAGGCCTTTCCTGGGCCTTGAACCTTCACAAGATAATGAAGAAATTCTCATGCTCCTCATACCAGGACCCATTTAGGATTAAACAAGTTTTACTGGGAGTCTAAAGGAACTCCCCAGACCTCCACACCTTAGCTGGAGAAAAGATAAGGGTAATCACCCCCGGCACCAGGACCCATCTAGGCTAAGCAAATTTACTGAGGCTCTGGAGGAAGGTGTCCAGGACCCAAACCTTAGTTATAGATTAGATGGAATCAATCATTTGTGTCTTCAGATGAATGCACACTTACATGTAGACACATAGCTTAGAAGGTATATACACACTGGAAAACTTTGTAATTTAGAGATGGCCTGGTGAATTATCTCTGGCCTTCTCCCTGTACCTGGGAGAGTTTATTTCTGGTTACTTTCCCAGTGTGTCTGCATCTTGTTATTGGACCTTGAAAACAAGCAGCCCAACCCTTGGTTCAGTCAATAGGAAGAAACTTTGGGAAGCGATGGACATGTTTATGGCCTTGATGGTGGTGATGGCCTCCCAAAGTGCTGGGATTACAGGTGTGAGCCACTGTGCCTGGCCATATACGCAACTTTTTATATGTCAATTATACCTCAATAAAGCTGTTTAAAAATTTATAAACATCAAAATTTGAATTTCACATAACTTTCACATTATCAAATATTGTTCTTTTTAATGATTTTTTCCACCAACCATTAAAAATGTTAAAACTATTTTTAGCTTACAGGCCAGGTTTGGTCCATGGACCATAGTTTGCCAACTACTGGTTAGAAAAGACGCTTTGGAGCCACAGCTGGGTTTGGGTCTCAATTTTACTAATGGTGGTTGGATTATCTCGAAAAAGTTACTTAATCACTCTTCAGGCCTCGGTTTCCTCATCTGTAGAGTGACATCTCAAAGGGCTGTAAGGATGAAGGCAGCAGGCATTGCTTATGACAGCTTTGTGCGTTAGGCATAGATTGTCATCCTCATTGTCACCGACTGTTATCCGCAGCCCTGAAAGTTCTGGCAGGACTGGTGACCCTGAAGGCAGCGCCAGGGCCCAGCCACCTTTATGTGGCAATGGGCACTTGGGAATTCTCAGCCAGTATCAACCCCCAGTGCCTCCAGCCGGTGTCTCCCAGAGATCCCCCCTGGCATAAGGACACCTGTTCTCTGCTGCATTTGCTTCAAAGAAAATGTTACAACAACATTTGACAATAGTGCAGGGGAGGTCTTTCCGAAGAAAAATGACTTATGACAAAAGCATGGACAACGCTCTGCTCTTAGGGGCTGGGAATGAGAAGACGCGTGCTCACCTCCCTCATTATCCTTGTTATCAGCACAGGAAGTTTCCATGGCAACGTTGCATCCGGGCCCTCTCCAGCCGGTCTGGCAGACACACTGCCAGCTGTTCTGACCCAGTGTGCATCTCCCGTTACCGTTGCACAAGTCAGGGCAGCCATCTGGTTGGAGAAATGGAGAGGATGAGAAGGAGGGACGTGAGGCCGCGCTGGGGAAGCAGGGGAGCCATGCAGAGGGGAGCAAGGCCGCAGGGCAGCCGCTGGGCCAGCCTCACAGTGGGGCCCGCGCCTGCCTTCCACAGAGTCAGGGGAGCAGGCAACGCATGCAGTAGCAAGACACAGTGGGGTCACAGATGCAGGGGATCCCCAGTGACAACTGACCTAGGTCAGAGGCAACCTTCCCAAAGCGGGGAGTTCAATGCACATCCCAGACAACTAAACCAGTGCTGAGCTGACAACCAGACTAGCTAGGCTGTGGTTTCCAGCCAATAGCTCAGGATTGATGCTACTGAAAAGAAGCTTTTCTTTCTCTCTTTTTTTAAGAAGTGCTCTTCTGTAGAAGAGAAAAAATTCCCTATCAACCCAGGATGGAGGCAAAGTGCCCGCCATCTTTCAGAGTTTTAAAGATATATTTACATAGGATTATCATGAGCTTCTCATGACTGAAAACTGGATGGTTCTGCTGGGCTATTTTCATATGCTTGTACAGGTAATATTTAGTTTTAAGGGGCACTTAAAGATGTTGGCTGCTTATCACTCAACGTATTTATGGCACAATTTAAAAATACTGCAGGATTCGAAGGCTGTGGAGTGGATAGATGCTGGGTGCCACGAATTGGGGAAAGATAGAAGAAAAAATATATGTGCTCGGGGAAGGGTGGTGGGGTAGGAGTAGTTCTTATTTTGTGGATTTCTTTTCCTTTATTGATGTGTGTGTGTGTGTGTGTGTGTGTGTATACATGCGCTCACGTGTCTGTGCAAAATTGGCTGCCTGTGTAATTTTCTAATTACTCCAGGACCCAAAACAATTGCAGCCAGCACTCTCCTGACCTGAGTTTGGACAAAGGGAGACTGGGGGAGAAAAGTGGAGAAAGGAGGTACACTAAAGAGACATGGGAAAGGTCTCACTAGCAGAGCCTCCGTGACTCTTTATAACAGGTAGGAGAGAAGCAGAGAACTACTAGGATGTGGCCACACTCACAAAACCTACGTGCTGGCAAGAATTCCTAGACATGTTTTCATTTTTCTTTCTTTTCACAGCTTTGTTGGGGCATAATTTACACACCATAAAATTCACCTGTTTTAAGTGTACAATGCGATGACTTCTAGTAAATTTGCAGAGTTGTGCACTTGGGATATGTTTTCTTGCTTAATTTAAATATACCCCAGTGACCATTAATTTACTTTTCCCCAGAAAGTAATTTCCTTGAATATCTATCTCGAGTCCTATCTCTACCTCTGCCACCATCTCTGTTTCCATTTTTTTCTACATCTATTTTTAAACTACATAAAGTGCAGGCTGGATTGGGCCATGGCAGAGGATAAAAAGCTTTGTAATGATGGAGGTAATTGATTTGAAACCTTCCTGGCCCAAATCTTGTGGATCAAAAGCATGCATCTCCCCTGCTCTTCTCTCCGGTGTTCCAGAGGCCTTCACCTAGCATCTTCCTTCTTTTCTCTTGAGTACCCCTTATGAGAATGCTGATAAACCTAATATATGCATATGGCAGTGGTGGGAATTTGAGGTAGGGTCTCACTCTCTCACTCAGGCTGGAGTGCAGTGGCATGATCATAGCTCACTGACACCTTGAACTCCTGGGCTTGAGTGATCCTCCTGCTTCAGCCTCCTCAGTAGCTAGGACTGCAAGTGTGTGCCACCATGCCCAGCGATTTTTTCTTTTTAATTTTTAGTAGAGATTGGGTCTTGCTATGTTGCCCAGGTTAGTCTTGAACTCCTGGCCTCAAATGACCCTCCAGCCTCAGCCTCAGCCTCCCAAAGTGCTAGGATTACAGGCATGAAGCATTATGCTTGGCCAGTGGTGGGAATTTAAAGGCATCTTCCTAAGAAGCAAGGTCTCAAGGGTATACAATTAAGCTTTACTTCTTTAGGAAGAGGAGTTTCACTCTTCAGTGCTTGCTGCCTCTCATCCTTTCCAGAAGGTGGTATTGGATTAGGATCTGAGCAAGGAGTGCATGCAACAGAAGAGACCTATGTGGGCCAGTCCCTAGGGAAGCCAAGCTGTCTTGAGAGGGCAAATAAGGAGACTCTTACCAGGGAATCTGTTTTCTTTTGTTGCACAGCCTGGCACTAAGTCCAGCAGGCAAGTAAAGCACCAGTGTTTGCACACCTGGAAAGGCTTGTTTGGTCTACACACCTCTCCTCACAAAGCCCAGATTCACATTTCCATGCTTTTCCTGACTGTGGTCCTGCCTGGAAAACCCCTGTTCACTTCATACCGTGAGACGGTGTGTGGAGGGAAAGCCGTCCCCAGTTGCAGAGAAATGCCACAAACATTTCTGCAGGAACAAAATGAGCTCAGTAGGAAAAGACCAAGGGACATTTCACAGGTTCTCAAGGAAAAGAGAATTTCTCCAACCTCCAGCTACCTTCAGCTTTAACAATTTCTACTGGTAGAGTTTTGGGGAATGGATCACGGAAAATACACTAAATGACAGACCTACCAACATTTGCTCAGCATGGTATCTATTTGGTGGAGCTTTGTTATTTAGCTACTTTGAGGTCTCATGTCTGACTAAATTCATGTCCAATGTGTCAACAGAAGCCTCATTGTATAGGAAACCCACGTCCGCTACATCAAATTTAAATCTGCAAAAAACACTAGCGTGTCAGTCAGAGATACGCACTCAAAATACATATATTTCTAGATTGAATGAGGCTTTTTTTTAACCCCTTCTCTTCCTCTCTTGCTTCCTCCCCAACCTGCCCCTGCAGACCAACTGAAGTGAAATAAACAGACCACAGTAGCAGGTTTTCTCCACATCACATGAGGAAGATGAAAACAAGAAAAGTAGGAAGCTGGCAAATCTCTGAGAAGTTTCAGGGCAGCTGGTAATTAACGGACAGGACTTTGCTTTTAGCTTGAAGAGGAAGAGAACAGCCCTGGTAGGTGCATGGCGTTGCTAGGCAACCCCAAGCTAACCCCAGCACAAGTTCATTCTACTGGTGGCCTTCTGAGGAAGTGATCCTTTGTGTTTGTAAAGTGCAAAGCCAGCTTCTGCTTAAGGAAAAACAAAACCTAGGAAGTAATTAGTCTGGAGGGCAAAATGGGTATGAGGTAGAGGCTTTTCTCTGGAGAGGATGCTATAACCGAAGTTGGATTGGGCTAATGGGCTTATACTGGGGCACCCAAGAAGTCTCCTATAGGAAGTCTTCTGGATTTCAGGCTGGTACTGCCTGTCTCCAAGACCACCAATATAAAGCCCCTTAAAGCATACCCATTTGGTTCCTCTTTTATGGAGCTAGAGAGAGCTGGCTGCCTGGAGACTAAAGGTTCTATCATGACCCTATTCCAGTGGTTCTCAACTAAGGCAATTTTGTCTCCCTATTTCTCTCCAGAAAACATTTGGCATTGTCTGAAGACACTTTTTATTTTTTATTTTTATTTTTTGAGACGGAGTCTCACTGTGTTGCCCAGGCTGGAGTGCAGTGGCGCAATGTCGGCTCACTGCAGCCTCCGCCTCTCAGGTTCAAATGATTCCCCCGCCTCAGCTTCCTGAGTAGCTGGGACTACAGGTGCATGCCACCACATCTAGCTGATTTTTTTTGTGTGTATATATATATATGTATACACGTACATATATATATGTATATACGTATATACATATATATGTGTATATATACATATATACATGTATATATATACGTGTGTGTATACATATATATGTGTGTGTGTGTGTGTGTATATATATATATATATATATACACACACACACACACACACACATTTTTTTTTTAGTAGAGATGGAGTTTCACCATGTTGGCCAGGCTGGTCTTGAACTCCTGACCTCAAGTGATCCGCCTGCCTTGGCCTCCCAAAGTGCTGGGATTACAGCACTCCAGGCATGAGCCACCGTGCCCAGTCTGGAGACATTTTTGATTGTCACAATTTGAGGAGGGTGCTATTGGCATCTTGTGGGTAGAGGCCAGGGATGCTGCTCAACATCCTACAATGCACAGGACAGGCCCCACAATGAAGAACGATACAGCCCAAAATGTTAACTGTGCTAAGGTTGAGAAACCTAGCCCTAGACATAAACCCCCATGAGATCCAAGATTTGGTTGTTTGCTGTTGGATCCCAGAGCTTGGCCTGGTTTTAGGCACATAGAAGGTGCTTGAATGAATAAAAACAATCGGGGCGTACTATATCTTTTCTGTCTGCCTGCCTCATATCTATAAACTCTTCTGAGAATCATGAGAAGATAATAGAGACTTCCTCTCTGAGATCAAAAGTCCTCTTCCCAGGGAGAATTTTTAAGGACGCCAGTGATATTAATGGGCTAGTTCTGTCACATTCCAACCTATAGAGAGAGAGCTGATGGGAAATTTGGGATTTAAAAAAACCCACTTTGGGATGCCGAGGTGGGTGGATCACCTGAAGTCCGGAGTTCGAGACCAGCCTGGCCAAAATGGTGAAATCTCATGTCTACTGAAAATACAAAAGATAGCTGAGTGTGGTGGCAGGTGCCTGTAATCCCAGCTTCTCAGGAGGCTGAGGCTGAAGAATCATTTGAACCCGGAAGGCAGAGGCTGCAGTGAGTCAAGATCGTGCTACTGCACTCTAGTCTAGGCGACAGAGTGAGACTCGGTCTCAAAACAACAACAACAACAACACCAACAACAACAAACAACAACCCACACCCTTATATTCTGATGGCCCCTAAATCTTCAACTCAAGTCTTCTGACCTCTAGACCTGAACTCCAACTTGCGTCTCAACATAGCCATCTATTCCCCACCTGTACACTCATAAGCACCTCAAACTCAAAAGAATTCTGACTCTTTACCTTTCCTCCCCACAAACTCTGACCCCTTGAGCAGTGCATGGCACATCCAGGTATCTACCCCATTGCCCACCACTGAAACCTTGGAGGCATTCTTAATTGTTCCCCTCCTCTCCTACCTTCTCTTGTCTCTTCTATCTAATTCCAACCAAGTTCTGCCTAATTTTCCTCTTAACTGCAAGAACTCCTATCTGTCCTTCTTCCTAAATATCTTGGAATCTGTGCTCTACTTCCACCCCTACTGCCACCACATTAACCCCAGCCACCCTCATCTTTGGTCCAGATGCTTGTCGAAACCTCCTAACTGGTCTCCCTGCCTCCAGTCTTGTACCATCATCCATGTCTCACATTCTGGACACTGCTGGAAACACTTCAATAGCTTTCCATTGACCCATGGGTAAAGTCTGAAGTCCTTAATTGGGCTTGCTGACTTCATATGAACTGACTCTTACCACATCAGCCTATCTCAATATCACTTTAGGCTTTGGTTAGACTTAAGCCACTCGGCCTTTCCTTTTCACTTTTCTCACCTCCCTAACTTCAATACATCCTTCAAATCCCCACTCAGAAGTCACCTCCTCCTGGAAGCTTTTCCAAAGCTCCCAAGCTCATGCCAGCAGCACCAGTCATGGCATCTTTATCCTTTCCTTTATGTGGTACTACCCGCCCCGCTGTATCACAATTGGCTGGTACCTCCTTGATGCTCGCTAGGCCATGTAGCAGCTCTTCCTTAAGACATTTTACTGTCACCTGCTGGAAAAGTGTCATAATAAATGTGCCCGTTGTCATTACCTACACTTTGAATGGTGCCCCTACTGTGAACCGAACGGCTGCCCCAGGCGTTCCTGCTATGGTGTAAAACTGTCAGGGAGGGACCATGTCTAGTTTGTTTACTCTTGGATTGCCAGTATTCAATAAGTAGTTGGGGGAAATGATGAACGAATAACTCTGGCTGAATCCGATGCCTTTGGCAGAGTGGAAATGAGAGAGTTTCCAAGGTTCTACACATAAAATTCCAACCACTAGAAAAAAAAAAGTCTGTCCACACAGTTACCAGCTAGGCAGGCTTTTTGCCTTAACAAAAATTAGGCATGAACAAAGTAATGTCTACAGCACGGTAAAAAGGGAAAAATAAATGCACTTGAAGAAAGCTATAATTACCATAAAAGGCTTTTCTAAAAAAGCATCAAGAAATGTTCTGCCATGTGCAGCAATTTAAAGGTAGAAATAAGTGGCTAATAATGCATGAGGGGTACGAAGAGAGAAATAGGATTTTAATATTCAACATCAAGCATGCCTAAGAAAAGCATAAAGGGCAATACCCTATCCAGATGGAAATGCAAGTAAAAACATAAAACAGGCTGCATGGAAATGCAGACAGATGACAGTGAAAGCCAGAGAAGCCAGATGTCCCTGCTTGCTTCAAGAGACCATCAGGAGAGAACTTACATCCTAAGTTAAACTGAGGTGAAAAAAAAAAAGTGTTTTTTTTTTTTTTTTTTTAACTATGGGGAAAACCTTAACCTGGTTTGGAGTCAGAGTTCTGGGAATGGAATCTGGATGTCTCTCTTACTGTCTGTGTGAGCTTGGGCTGGTAGATCCACCTCTCTGAGCCTCAGCCTGTTTGTAAAATGGTATATTTTACTTGTTAATCTTATTTATTTTCTCTTCCAATAGCATACAGCTTCCAGAAAGGCAGAAAGTTTTGCCTCTTTTGTTCATTGAGATATTCTCAGGGTCTAGAAGAACGGTTGGCACGTAACAGACATTCAAGAAATATGTGCTGATCAAATAATTTAGGGATGGTCACAAGACCGTACTTACAATTTTTTTTTTTTTTTTTTTTTTTTTTTTTTTTACAGATGCCAGAGGTATTAAATGGAATGATAAAGCTAAATATTTCAACAGAGCTTGGCACATTGTAAGTGCTCAGTAGATAGTGGCACTAATTGTTGTCAGTGTCTATATAGTTGTTATGACAGCTATCATAGTTAGTGGTAAGCTTTCCCTTTAGCACATAGGCTGAAGTGTAGGTCATTTCTCTTTGCCTCACTCTGAGATCAGGGAAAAAAACAAGAACCCATCCTTTTTCAAGTTAAAAAATGAAGGTTCATCAAGTGTCCTCCGTGTGTGATTGTGTCACAGCCTAAGAAATTCTCATTCTCCCAATGACCACCAGCCAAAACTCCAGCAATACCACATTGGACGGGCTGAGTGAGAAGAAAACCCACTGGAGCTAAGGGCAATTATGAGGTGCAGGAGACACGAAGGTAGACTACATGGGGGCCCTTTCTCTTGGGAAGAATTGTGCTTTTGAATATTAACTTAATTATGGACCCCCCCCCCCTTTCACCAACTGTTTTAAATATCACTGTTTTTTTTTTGTTTGTTTTTTGTTTTTGTTTTCCCTGGAGCTGTGCATTGTTGGAATTAAAGAGCACACATACACTGGACATTATTTAATAATAGAGTCTGCCATTACATTCCAGAGCTCTTTGTAGTTGAAAATAGCTGAGGTGTTGGAGATCGGGGATCACCAGGGGTTCAGGTAGCCATTTATACTGAACAGCAGTGGCAAATGCTCAGAAAATTAATCTGATGCTTCGAGGTGCTCTGGGGAAAATCTCCAACTAGTTTTGGAAGACCGGCTGCCAAAGAATCACCCTGGTCTCTGGTCTCTGGAAAACGGCAGGGATTGTCCCTCTTGCTTGCCCGTGTGTGCGGGAGGGAGCTGTGCGGGGACTCTGTTTCTAGGCACAAATGGCGTGGACACGCAGCCATGAACCTGCACGTCCACAGCTGACTCTGCTTTGTTAGAAAAGACGTGGCAAATTGAGAGAGGCAGATGTTCCTCTTTGTTTCAGTGGTGTCTGTATGTCTTTAAGGGTTTGTGTAGATGCAAGTATGGGGGATGCTGGGTTGGGGTGTTAGGAGGCCAGTGATCCTTTCCATGGTCTATTGGCTGGCTTTTGCTCCTAAGGCAGAAATCACTCCCCACAACCCCAACAGCAATAGAAACAGCAGAGCTTCCATGAGGTCATATAAATTTGCCTCCAGCTGTCTAGGCTGCATGTTTTCTGGATGCACCTGGATTCTCACTGATCAGCACCATGTCTGTCTGCATGGGACAAGGAAGGCAGTAGGCTCAGCCTTGGCTGCAGAAAAATGATGAACTTGTAAAAACAGTAAAAACAATCCTTTCACATTTGAATAAAGAGGAGAAAGGGGCCAGGCGCGGTAGCTCACACCTGTAATCCTAGCACTTTGGGAGGTTGAGGCGGGTGGATCACCTGGGGTCAGGAGTTCGAGACCAACCTGGCCAACGTGGTGAAACCCCGTTGTTTAGTCTCTACTAAATATACAAAAAGTAGCAGAGCATGGTGGCAGGCACCTATAATCCCAGCTACTTGAGAGGCTGAGGCAGGAGAATTGCTTGAAGCTGGGTGGGTGGAGGTTGCAGCAGTGAGCCAAGATCGCACCACTTCACTCCAGCCTGGGCAAAAGAACGAGACTTTGTCTCAAAAAAAAGGAGAAAGGAAGATGTATCTTACTTTTTGGTGTTTTGATGTTTCAAGCTCTTACTGTTTTTTTTTTTTTTTTTTTAAAGTAGGTGATCATGTGAGGAAATGGAGAATTTAGGCAACAGTAACCAAAATAGCTCTTCTTGGGAGGGAAATCCCACGTCAGTTACTCAGTGAATTCTGACTGAATTGTTATCACCCGGTTGCACTGGAGTCCAGCCTGGCCTGTGCTTTCCTGGGGGTGCCTGCTTTATCTCCCTGGAACATTACCTTTGAGAGTTATGGGGGTGAATAGCACCGTGTTGCTAAAACGCACCCCAACTCATGCCATGCCCCTGCTGAACATCCTCCGGGAGTTTCTCCCATTGCTTTAGATTGGAGCAGTGCTTCTCAAAGTGTGGTCCTGGGACCAGCAGCAGCATCTCCTGGGAACTTGTTAGACATACACATTCTTGAGCTACTGAATCAGAACCTCTGGGGATGGGGCCCAGCCGTCTGCATTTATAACAAGCCCCCGGGATCCAGACGCCTGCTCAATGTGAAAGCCTCTGCTTTCGGATTAAGTCCCAAACCCCTAAAAGGGCCTCAAAGGCCCTGCATTATCTGGCCCTGCCCATTTCTCTCTTCTCATGTCACATTTGTCTCTGTTCTCTGTAGCCTGGATTCTTCTTGTGGGCTTTTCCAGATGTGTCTCTCTGAACTACGCTCCCTGCACCCACTTTGGCTAAAGCCATTCACCTTGTGCTCAGCTGGCCCTTGTTTAGGAATGGCTTTCCTGGCTTCCAGCTCAGGGTTCCTGCTCCATTGCATGCTTTTATAGCACCACCTTCCCCTTCTCTGTAGCACTCCTCATAATTCTAATGAACCCTTTGTTTAAAGCAACGGGTCTTAACTGGGCCGCACTTTCAAATCACCTGGGAGCCTTGAAAAATTCCCATGTTAAACTGCATCCCAATTAAATCACAATCTCTGAGGAAGCGACCCAGACATCAGTTTCTTTCCTTTTTTTTTAAGCTACCCAGGTGATTCCTATGTGCAATGGATGATGAGAGCAAGCGGTTCAATGTCCATCTTCCTGGGAGCCTCCAAACCCCTCAAGTGTAAAGGCTTTGGCTCAGTTGTTCATGGCTGTTTTCCTAATTCCCACCCTAGAGCATTAAAGATATCTGTTGAATGAATACATTAAAAACAAACAAACTGTGCTTTGTTTCATTGCTGCTTCACTGTGTTCTTGATTCAACAGCCAGGTAAAAGGAAAAGCTTCCCACAGGCCACACCCCAAGCCTCTGGAAGGATGACACTTCTCTAAGCAAATGAAGCAGCTGGTTGCAGCCCAGCGTTCAAAACCAAGCTGATGACAGGGGCTGTGTATGAATGCGGATGTGGGTTTGTGCCTTTCAACTTGTAAGAAGCAGATACCTCTGGACTGAAAGAGGCAGACTAGGGTACCCAGCGAGTAGAAGAGAAGGCATGTTGGTAGCTTAGGAGGGTGACAAGTGTTACACAAAGGTAGGGATGACAATAATAAGAGAGTCCAGTGGTTTAATTTGGTTTTTGGAGGTGAATCAAGTTGTTGTACCTTGTGCAGCTTATTCCCACAGCTGTCCAGCAAATAATGAATGTGGTACCTACCAGTATGGAAATAGGGACAAAGCACGACTTTGATTTCTTATTTGTTATTTTTAACCATCCAATTTCTACACCCACTGAGCATCCTTATAGCCACAGGAGGGTCATAAAAATACAAATAACACCGAGGAGGCCTGTGGGCACGGACTTGTTACTTCTGCAGGGTTGACGGCTCTCTTTTAACTAGTGTAAAATCAGGTCAACCATAAATTGCCATTTTGTTGTTGTTGTTGTTGCTCCTAGTGTAACTTCAGGAAATGTAAGGAAATCACTAAATGTTTCTAATAGATCTCAAAAGAGCTAGGCAAAGAATCTGCCCCAGGATGAAATTCTGGATTTTAGAAAGCTTTTTATAGAATAGCCACAAAAATAGCAAACCCCTCACAGGGACATTTCTCTGTGCCTGGCACTTTTAGATCCCCTACATGCATTAGCTCATTTAATTGTCGCAACAACCCTACGGTGTAGGTACAACGATTATTCCTGTTTTATAGGTGAGGAAATGGAGGCATGGAAAAGTTAAGTAATTTGGCCAAAGTAGCAGGGTGGGTTCATGGTGGAGCCAGGATTTGACACCAGCCAATGGCTCTATAGTTCCTGTTCTCAACTGGGGTGACCAACCCTTCCAATTTGCCCTGGATGATCCAAGTTTTTGCACTGAAAATCTTGTGCCCCAAGAGGCAGCCTGGAATCATTGGTCATCATTGAAAACAGGGAGTGAGGACTAGGCTCTTTTCATTGGCTGTCCCAGAGGCAGAGGTGGGGACAGAGATGAAGGCCCCCAAGGGCAAGAAAGAGGGTGCAGACTTTTATACCAAGTCACTTGTTTTGGTATGTTAGGGCTTCCAACAGATTCTGCTGCTGCCCGGGGCCACTGCATCAGGTCACCTCAGTCACCATGTGGCAGTACTTGGAATAGTGAAGGTAGTGGCTCTGAATCTGGGCAGCCTGGGTTCAAACCTTGGCTTCACCCTTTGGCTGCATGATCTTGGGTAAAAATCATAAGCTCTTCAATTCCTTAGTTTCTCCATTTGCAAAACCAGAGCAATAGAACCCCAGAGGGTCGCTGACATTTAAATGAGAGAATCCATGATGCATGGCACATAATAAATATTCTACAACAGATACCTGTTATTATTGTTGTTGTTTTTATTAAAAGTGTCCTCCAATGATGGCAGAAAGGTCTGTGCGTGGTTTAGGAAAGCCTTTGATTTGCACTTGAATTGGTTATGAGGAGGGACTGAATGCTATTATTTAAAATAGGATCAGTGTAGTCAATACAGCAAAGCCCCAGAAAGGTGCCCTCCAAAGACGTAAATGAAAATGAGAAAAATGAGGTAATTTCCTGAGAGTTACGTGAGTAAGATCTGCACATAATGCATGCGACAAGTTGTCAATAGAACTCCCCTTAAAACGCAAGAGTTGTGTGAGGTGACATTATCAAGGATCGCAGGGCATAGAAATCTCAACCAGGCTCAGAAAAGCATGCCCACAGAAAGGGGTAGTCTGCCTGGGATGTGGAGAGGGAGGTGGTGGAGCAAGAGAGAGCCAGGGTCAGTTCACGGGTGAGAGTGTCCGGCTTGACAGAGGGGAGGCAAGCAACAGCACCTGCCATTTGTCCATGCTCAGCAATTCACATCCTTGTTACTTCACTGAGCCACTTCAAGGATGGTATGAAATACATATTATTATCATCATTTGTGGCTGAAAAAGCTGAAGCTCAGAGAAGTTAATTAACTTTCCCAGGGTCATAATCACTGCAAGTGGTAAAGGGAGGGTGTGAATCCAGGCCTGTGCAACTCTCAGCCCATGCACTTTGCGCCCCCCTAGCCAGGTAGGACTGTACAGGGAGAAGGCAGACTCAGAATATCATATTACTTGCTTTGATTTCTTGTTCCCCAAGAAATCTTCTGCTTTTAACTTCATTTCCCATATAGATTTCCCTTTAGGGAGAGAATACACTGAGCAGGAGATGTAGAATTTCCTCACTGTGAATTACTGAATGGCCATTTCAGGTTTGGATGGGAATTTGGGTAGTGTGACGGAGTCAGTCTAGAGCTTGATCCACTCTGTTAACAGAAACAAAATGGGATTTCTAAAGCTGAGAATAGGATCCATGAGGATCCTACTTGGGGAAGCCCCCGCATGGCGTCCTGCCTGAGTGGTGGGGTGGTCTCCCTGTCAAGAGTGTTGGCTTCTGTCTCCTGCCCTGTCCCTAATCCTTGAGTTCAGTGTGTGCGAATCAGGGGACAAATGGACCTCCAAGGGAGAAATACCAATCCCACATCAAACATTTACTGAATGATTAGAAAATGCTGATTTCTGCTGTAGACTCATGAGTTTATTCTTTCATTCATTCAATAATTATTTATCGAGCACCTATTATGCACCGGGTAGTTTCTAGACAAGGGGCATACAGTAGTCAATGAAAGAGACAAAGTCTTGTTCTTAAAGATCTCACATTCTACAGTGAGGAGACCTACAATAAACAATAAAAATTAATATGGTATGTCAGATGGTAATCACTGCTTTAGGGAAATGTAGGGGGAGGGGACCACAAGGGGGTTGTGTGTGATGGAGGTGACTGTCTTATATAGGATGGTCAGGGAAGCCCCTGATGATAAGTTGTTTGAGCAAAAAACCTAAAGGAGGGGAGGAAACAAATCATACCAATATTTGGGAGATAGTAGCACAGGCAGAGGAAACTGCAGGTACAAAGCCCCTAGGCATGAGAGTGCTTGGGGTGTTGGAAGGACAGAGAGGAGGCCCGTGTGGCTGTAGCAGAGTGAGTGAGGGGTAGGACCTCATAGTCCACTGTACGGATATTGCTTTTATTCTGAGTGAAAAGAAGTCATTGGAAGCTTTTGAGCAGAGGAGTGGCCTGATCTGACATGAGTTTTTAAAGGCTCCCTTTGTGCTGGGTGAGGAACAGAGAGAGGATGGGGCCAGGACAGAATCTAGAAGGCTGGCCAGCAGGGACCCATCAGGACCATCTGGGTAAGCCAGGGTGGAGGCTTGGGCAGGGCACAAATTTGTCCTGCTCTGTGACTCTATGTGGCACCGCTAATGCTAGATGTGTTTCTGTTTTCCTAACATGCCTCGGAAAGGGAAGGCTTTAGAGACACAAAAGCAGACAATTAGACATACAGTCTATAAACAGCACTCCCCACCAACTACCCCTGTTGATGCAGCAAACCAGACTCCTCGGTTGGAACTAGCAGGCAGATGAGGTTGCTGAAGCTGGATTTTGTGAGGATTCTGCCCTCCTCTCCAAGTTGCTTTTTCATACTAAAAATAACATGTGGAGATGAAGGGAAAGGGTGACAGGGGAGCATCGTGCCGCATCAGGACAGACATGGCTGAGAGTGGAGACGCGGAGAGAACCATTGAGTCACAGCAGCTCTATCTGCAAGGTCAGGGCAGACAACCTCATATGAACAGCTCCAGCAAATGAATGCCTCGCCTTTCTTAACACAGCGACTCCAGACCTTAAGGCTGCATTCATCCGGCCAGCTTCATCTAATTCTTGGCAATAGGGTCTCTTTGAACCACCCAAGCATGCTCCCAGGTTATTACTCCTGGTCTTTTAGTTCCTTTGCGTTCTCTTTAACCCTATAGGCCAGCTTGACCCACCCGAATGGGACACTCAGACATGCTTAAAAAGCTTGTGCTATCTATCAATCTATCTATCTATCTATCTATCTATCTATCTATCTATCTATCTATCATATATATTTATATTTATTTATTAATCTGTCAAACATTCCTTACCAAAAATCTGTCTAAATCCTGTGAAGATGCGGTCACAAAACAGTAAGTGTCAAACGACCTCATAGAGGAGCCCGTATTTTATATTGTTTTATGGCACTTTTTACCTTGTACAGAAGCAATAAAACATTCCAGTTTCTCCCCTGCTTCTTCACTCTTTTTTCTTTGCTCTGACTGGCATGGTATTTCCCCTGCCCACCTTTATCATGAATCTAAAGCCATCTATCACTTACCCATCCCATCCACGTGGCCCAGGGAACCCTGAATTATCGTGAACATATCCTGCTCTCTGAAACTTTCTTTTAAACAGTTTTTAGCTAATCAAGGACTTGGTGGGGAGGCCACTGATCATTACAGGGTCTTTATCTACAAATTTTGCAGTAGTTCTGATCAGGAGGTACATTCATGTGTGGCACAGTATGAGAAATAAGAGACTTCTGTTTCTTGAAAGCTTGTACAATGGTATTCAGAATTCCAACAATCTGGCCTATGCTTTTGTTAGGTGCCACTCTTCAATTTTGCATAATGAGTGTGCCCTTAGGAAGGCAAGAGCTTCTCCTTGGAAATCCTCTCATTTACAGAGAAACAAAAATCCCTCCTTTCAAATACATCTTACACATGCAAAACAGCAGTCTGTTTCTGCTAAGTCACATTCTAGCTAAATGGATAATTGAACAGTGAATGGGAGCTGGTACTCAGCTGCTAACCTGCAGTTTCCACACGTACACACTCCCAAATTGCAGCAGAGCAATTCCCAGGAGGCAGAAAGCATGACTGATTTTTCCAATAAAGCTACAAAAATCGATAATCCTCGTGGATGGAATGCTCGCATCTCTAACCATCTCAGAGTTTCATCTTCCTCTGCTATTCCTTCCAAACAAGCCTCTGTCTTTACTTGGTACATGTTCCCAATTCCATACCACCAGCATTTAGCCTGAGTTCTATTCCGGTTCTGCTGAACGTACCTTTTAGAGGCCCTGCAATGTGTCTTGATTTAGGGATGCTCGGGTTTTATGTGGCTCTGGGAAATGTTGCTTAGCTTTTCCGGAGCTCCAATAAGTTCTGATGTATGGCTGTGCATGCCTGCTTGATTAATGGCACATGCAAGGACTTGGAGCTTTCAGAGGTCACCCCATGTGTACTGAATAATACAGCGCAGAACCAAAAATATCCTTGGATGAGAATCCTGGCTGCACACAAAAGCAATGGCATTGCCTGCTTTAGTTGACATTGCCGGAGACTCAGTTCTTCTAAGGAAATTCACTTCCCCCAAACAGATAATTTCAAGATAAAATTGGAATCATTTTGGTTTCTTGGCTGTTTCTATGTATAGTGTCATAGGTATAGGATAAGTAGAAGGCTGGGAAAGCTAGAAAGCTGCAATGTTTATTTCTGACAGGCCTTCCAAGTTCAGGATAGCCAGGCCGTGGTGTGAAGCAAATTAAACGTCCGTGCAAAATATGCTACTGTGTGCAACGCTGTGGTTGAGAATTTAAATGCACCAAAGTCAAGAGATTCGAAATGATGGTTCCCACAGCAACTATAACTCAGTTCTCTGGTGAATATAAAATTAACTTTATTGCAAAACATGCTGTTCAATTTACGCCTTAATCTAGTCATGGCAGAGTTACAGTTGCTGCGAGAACGCTAACTCTGAATTGTTTTGAATAATTAATTTAATGAAAAGTTGGTGGAAATGTGAACTCTGATAGAAAGTCAACTTAAATTTAGGGAAGTTGGCCAACTACGCCTATGCGGAGTAGCAGTGAGTCATTTTTGGAATCGGAGATTATTTAGTGTACTCTTTGGCCAGGGGGCACTGGTAAAGTGAAAAGGGGAATTGTCCTCCATCACCAAGGACACACTCCTGCAGAGGATGACTTTCCCGACAGGTGAAGGGGGGGTCCCCTGATGCCCATATTCTCTGATTTCATTGCTGGACTCCCCAGAACCCCATTGCAACTACCTGGGGGCAAAGTGCAATGATTAAGCCTGGTTTCTGTCAAGTAAACCTGGATTTAGCACTCACCGGCCCCTCTCATTGACAGATAAGCCTTTCACACATTGCTTAACCTCTCTGAGTCAGTTTTGTCACCTGTGAAATGATGATGCTAACAGTATTCACCTCACAAAACTGACATGAGGATTAGAAGAGAGGAGCCATGCTGAGAACTTAGCAATGGGACCGGCCGTTTCTGTCATTAGTACTCAATAATGTTAGCTGGTATTTTCTGAAAAGGGAATTCAGTAAATCAGTAAATTAAAAACATGCACCAAATCAATTATTTGGCCTGCCTGGTTATTTCAGTCCAAACTGATTTGGTATAAGATGAGCCAGCAGGCAGGGGCGATAAAGACAGAAGCATGAGTTGGCAGAGTCTTCTAAGAAACAGTGTCTTCCCTGAGGATGCTTGAGGCCACTTCTGTTGAGGCTCTAGAAATGGATCAATCTATCATCTCTTCTACCAGGTTAATATTTCTCAACTTTTTTTTTTCATTATCTCCCATCCTAGAAACCTTTTTAGACCTTTTCCCCTCTAATTCCTCTCCCTTAATGCCAAAGATATGCTACATAGCTGTTTATGTCATATGTGCACGTTTTATATAAAAAAGAGTTGGAAGTTGGAAGTTCTGGCCAGGGCAATTAGGCAGGAGAAGGAAATAAAGGGTATTCAATTAGGAAAAGAGGAAGTCAAATTGTCCCTGTTTGCAGACGACATGATTGTATACCTAGAAAACCCCATTGTCTCAGCCCAAAATCTCCTTAAGCTGATAAGCAACTTCAGCAAAGTCTCAGGATACAAAATCAATGTACAAAAATCACAAGCATTCTTATACACCAACAACAGACAAACAGAGAGCCAAATCATGAGTGAACTCCCATTCACAATTGCTTCAAAGAGAATAAAATACCTAGGAATCCAACTTACAAGGGATGTGAAGGACCTCTTCAAGGAGAACTACAAACCACTGCTCAAGGAAATAAAAGAGGATACAAACAAATGGAAGAACCTTCCATGCTCATGGGTAGGAAGAATCAATATCGTGAAAATGGCCATACTGCCCAAGGTAATTTACAGATTCAATGCCATCCCCATCAAGCTACCAGTGACTTTCTTCACAGAATTGGAAAAAACTACTTTAAAGTTCATATGGAACCAAAAAAGAGCTCGCATCACCAAGTCAATCCTAAGCAAAAGAACAAAGCTGGAGGCATCACACTACCTGACTTCAAACTATACTACAAGGCTACAGTAACCAAAACAGCATGGTACTGGTACCAAAACAGAGATATAGATCAATGGAACAGAACAGAGCCCTCAGAAATAACGCCACATATCTACAACTATCTGATCTTTGACAAACCTGAGAAAAACAAGCAATGGGGAAAGGATTCCCTATTTAATAAATGGTGCTGGGAAAACTGGCTAGCCATATGTAGAAAGCTGAAACTGGATCCCTTCCTTACACCTTATACAAAAATCAATTCAAGATGGATTAAAGACTTAAACGTTAGATCTAAAACCATAAAAACCCTAGAAGAAAACCTAGGCATTACCATTCAGGACATAGGCATGGGCAAGGACTTCATGTCTAAAACACCAAAAGCAATGGCAACAAAAGCCAAAATTGACAAATGGGATCTAATTAAACTAAAGAGCTTCTGCACAGCAAAAGAAACTACCATCAGAGTGAACAGGCAACCTACAAAATGGGAGAAAATTTTCGCAACCTACTCATCTGACAAAGGGCTAATATCCAGAATCTACAGTGAACTCAAACAAATTTACAAGAAAGAAACAAACAACCCCATCAAAAAGTGGGCAAAGGACATGAACAGACACTTCTCAAAAGAAGACATTTATGCAGCCAAAAAACACATGAAAAAATGCTCGTCATCACTGGCCATCAGAGAAATGCAAATCAAAACCACAATGAGATACCATCTCACACCAGTTAGAATGGCAATCATTAAAAAGTCAGGAAACAACAGGTGCTGGAGAGGATGTGGAGAAATAGGAACACTTTTACACTGTTGGTGGGAGTGTAAACTAGTTCAACCATGTGGAAGTCAGTGTGGCGATTCCTCAGGGATCTAGAACTAGAAATACCATTTGACCCAGCCATCCCATTACTGGGTATATACCCAAAGGACTATAAATCATGCTGCTATAAAGACACATGCACATGTATGTTTATTGCGGCATTATTCACAATAGCAAAGACTTGGAACCAACTCAAATGTCCAACAATGATAGACTGGATTAAGAAAATGTGGCACATATACACCATGGAATACTATGCAGCCATAAAAAATGATGAGTTCATGTCCTTTGTAGGGACATGGATGAAATTGGAAATCATCATTCTCAGTAAACTATTGCAAGAACAAAAAACCAAACACCACATATTCTCACTTACAGGTGGGAATTGAACAATGAGATCACATGCACACAGGAAGGGGAATATCACACTTTGGGGACTGTTGTGGGGTGGGGGTAGGGGGGAGGGATAGCATCGGGAGAGATACCTAATGCTAGATGACAAGTTAGTGGGTGCAGCGCACCAGCATGCCACATGTATACATATGTAACTAACCTGCACAATGTGCACATGTACCCTAAAACTTAAAGTATAATAATAAAAAAAAAAAGACTTAAAAGAAGTATAGTAGGCTGGGCGCAGTGGCTCGCGCCTGTAATCCCAGGACTTTGGGAGGCCGAGGCAGGCGGATTACCTGAGGTTGGAAGTTCAATACCAGCCAGACCAACATGGCGAAACTCTGTCCCTACTAAAAATACAAAAAAAAAAAAAATTAGCTGGGCATGGTGGTGCATGCCTGTAATCCCAGCTACTCGGGAGGCTGAGGCAGGAGAATCTCTTGAACCCGGGAAACGGAGGTTGCAGTGAGCCGAGATCGCGCCACTGCTCTCCAGCCTGGGAAATAAGAGAGAAACTCTGTCTCAAAAAAAAAAAAAAAAAAAAAAAGAAGTGTAGTAGACAAATTTCTAGTTAATATTAGCTCAGACACGTACAGTTTATACTGGTATCATTGAAAGAAACTCTCATGCCCTTGCCCCACCTTCTCCTTTCAGCCTTTCTACACTTCCGGTATGTGAAACTTGCAAACTCCTTTGAGGAAACCAGACAATTATTGTGCTTTAGGCTGTGATTCCTGAGCTTAAACCCCACCCTCCTTCTGCTATAGGGCAAATATATGACACAGGATTTATTTTCATCTTACCACTGGAATACCCTTTCAACAAAGTTCTGCGCCCAGGCACTGGGGCCAGTATCTAACGTTTTAGGTTATTTTAATGCAATCTAATGTTTTATTGCCACAAAGATTGCAGGGTTTTTTCCCCCCACTTCTGCCTGCTTATGCCTTTTTTCTTCCACTTTCTATTATTAGCAGCAGTATATTTCTTAGGAAAGAAAGTACAAATATAAAATGTAACAAACAGAATAGATATAGCATACTAAGTAATTTTTATAAAGTATTGTTTGAGAGTATAATATTCTCTATGAACCCCCCAAAATAAATGTGGTTTCTGAAAAAAAAAAAAAGAGTAAGACTTTCATCTACCCCTAGAACAATTTTTCACTGTGTTGGGGGTGATATTACCCCCACTGCAAATTATGCACTAGGTCACAGGCCAAAAAATCCCTTGTTCAAGCCTGAATGCTCCAAAACTCAAGAGAAACCCTTTATTTACTTGGTGAGCCCCTTGGCTACTCCTTCTCTGAATCCAGCTCTTGACTCCCTAAAAATGGGCTATTCTAGCACCTAGGAAGCACAGTATTTTTGAAGCTAACTTACAGTGGATTCATGTAATTCCCTCCCCAACTATTTTTAGATGCAGTGTGGTTCTCCATTTTCTCTATCTTAAATGACTTGGGCAGTGAAAGGTGGGTGGAGAGGGCTCACACACAGGGGAGTCTCAAGCCAGCCAGCACTTACTGAGCATCTACTATATTCCAGGCTTCAAGGCAGGGGATCATTTAGGACTTTTCTGAATAGTATGTTTTGCTGCTAGGTGCCACGTTTGGCCCATCCAAAGGAGTTGCCTCTGTCAGAGACCACATTTCTTGGGAAGTATTGTCAGGATTTTAAGAGAAAGGGGTAAAGCCACAGCCTGGGAGGAAAAACAAAGTAAAAGGCAATGCCCCCAGCCATGTGTGCCTCTAGGTTCTGAAGCTATTCTCAGCTTGGCTTCAACTACCTTCTTTATCTATCAGCCTCATGCTGCTTTCAGGGCCTCTGCCCTATCACCTCAAAGCCTTGGCTTGCAGCTTTTTACCTCACTGTCATCAGTATCAGCAACATTTTAATGTCTCCTAAAAGACATAACTTTATAACGCTGAAATTGTTTGTTTTAATGGTTGCCTTACTGTTCAGAAAATATTTTAAAGTTGTATTACTTAGCATAACCCCATCTCACTGGTGATGGAAGCCGAAATTTAAATGTCAAGGTAAAGCCATTCCAGGAGCACTGAGATCAGTTAGACATGACTTAAAGTGACCTGTTGGTCCAGCCGGCTACACTTAGCTAAACTAGACTTTCACCTCTGCATCTTCTGAAGCCTGAGCAGGGCCGAAAGTAGAAACTCTAGTGGCCAAACTCCCTAATGATCAGCACCTCTGTCTACTTGGGCCTCCCTGAGTTTCACCTTTTAATTTAGTTTAGTCAGGAGTTAATTTCACCTGATGGCTAGTTCAGCCTGGTGGGCTTGAATGGACATTCTTTCTCTGGGATGTCCGTAAACCATGCAACCTGAACTCTTTCGGTTTTACTGGATTTGGCAGCACTGGGGATATGTGTCTTCTCTGACTTTTTAGAATTTCTGGAATGTATGCACCTGAGGCTACTAAGACAGAGATGGCTCCAGTATAGCGCTCCAATCGCTCCAAAATAGAAATGTTTGTGTATGTGTGTGAAAAACACAAATTATGACTGATCCGTCTGACGCTTTGAGAGGCATGATGAATGAAGATACAGAGAAGCCTCAGCTGGCCTTTGAAAGCCTGTACGGTTTTCATTCTGCATAGCCAAGTGGAAAGCACAAGTTGGTTTCTCCCAAGGCAACAAAAATAAAAGTTGATTTCTCCCTATACACTTAGGTATATAAAGAAATGGCTTTTTAAATCTATATACCTTTTAAATATTCAATATTGATTTTGATCTACTGGGAAGAGCTGAAACATCATTCTTGATTCTGGATGCTTAATCAATTCCTTGTTCCAATTAGATCAAGAGACACTTCCCAAACTTTTCTGCTGGATCTTTAAGGTTTCATCCCTGGGAAAGGCAGTTTCCTCTGGCTCTAAAGAAGCATGTTCTGATTTGTGGGATCAGATGGGAAGCTGGTAGATATGTCAGCCTTTGTAGTTCCAATGCCAGTAAGTCTAGTTATCTCTCCAACACATGCATTTAAAATGGCCAGGTGTTTCCCTGGTTTTGCATCTGCCTCTGAAGGATGTTTATGGCATGCCTGCATGCAGAGAATGTGAATGATTATAGTAGAATATCATGCTGGGAACTGTTCCCAGAAATCAGTAGCCTGATCTGAGACAATTTAGAAGGAAGAGCAAGGCAATCTAGAAAATGCAGAATACTTGTGTTGTGCTGTCCTGTCCTGGGAAAAAGATCAACAGGTTTACACTGCTGAACTGGAATCTTCTCTCTGGGTCATGCCTGCAAAGCCCAAGGAATTCTCTGAGTAGAGCAGGACATAGAGCACATATGTCCATCAAGCAGAGGGGAAGGCATAGCCCAGCGGGACTATGTAGCAAAGCTCTTGAACCCAGTCATACAGGGGAAAATGATGACTCTGGAGGAGCCCCAGTCACTGCTGCTCAGTCCAACTTTCTCGGGTGTTCTATCCAAGGCAACTCAGAGAAGATTCTTGTCCCTGGCCTCCACTGCACGGCTCTGGCCCTTATCTCTATTTTACATGGCCACTCCTATGAACCTGCAGTAGCCTGAGAGAGGGCCGTATTCTAGCTCTGTCAGGGAAAGACTTCACAGTTGTAATTTTATCAGCATAAGGAAGAGAAAGGGACACAGGGTTCCCAAGCAGCACAAATTATTAGGCACCGTTAGCAAAATACAGGTATCCAGAATCCTGAAGGTACCATTTGAAGTTTTTAGGTCTTAAACACTTGCAAAAGTAGCATTTCAGAGCATGGCATTAGACCAATGACCAATGCAGAGACACGTTGTAATGGATGCAGATGTACCGGGCTGGGTATGCTAAGAAGTCAGGTGGGCGCACACACACGCATGCACACAGACGTGTATACACTCATACACACAACAGGGATTAGTCACTGGCTTGGTTTGCTGGTATTTGTTGTTGAGATTTGGGGCTTAGCTGCCATTTGGAGCAGATGGAAGGAAGATAAGCTGAAAAGGGTGGCAGGGGAGGCATTAGTGGGAAATCCTGCCCACGCTTCTTGAATGCTGTATTTGCCAATAGTGTAGATGCTGGATTTAAGCCAATGAGTCCACCTAGCTGCTTTGTGTAAAATACTTTCTGTTGTTGCTCATTGTGTTTGGGGGCAATGGCTACCTGCCTGCTTCACAGGCTTGCTGTGAGGTTGACTGAGGCAACACAAAGTCTTTTGAGCTCCTTGGAGAAAATTCACCATGCAAGTGCAAAGTATCACCATTGTATCATGGTAATGAGACTCCCACCAGCTTAAACCAGTTACCAAGGAGAGATGGGGCATCAAACAAGAGAAGCCAAAGCTGTCCCAGTCTCAATCCAGGCAAATGATGCTTCCTCACTCAATACTAATCCTGCCCTGGAGGTAGGTGTCAGTAGTCACAGATGGGTGGTCCATTTGGCCCCCAGTCTTGTTTGAATGGCCTGCACAACATTTTAATACATTTTTAGTTGCTTGCCAGCATTTGAAAATTGGGAGACCATACATAACAATCCAAATATCTGGCCTCTACTGAAAAATTGGAAATTTGGGGAAGACTAGGCTTGCATTTCTACATGGCCATGTTCAGCTGGAGCTGGGTCATGTCTGCCCTCCATAGGTGGGACATTCACTTTCCAGTTTGTCACCCCTCCCTGGCCTCTTACACCCTGTTGAATGCACCCACTTTACGTCATTCTCGCCTACCCCATGTATGGGAATTTGAGTTTACAACTCTTTCTAGAGGCTCTTCCCTCCCTCCCCTTCCCTGAATCAACACAGATACTTAATTCATAGTGCCCTCATTAACCAAATGGAGGCCCAGTCCCCTCACAGAGGAAAGGCCTGCCCAACCACCTCCTACCAAGGGGAAATGGGAAGAGAACTGGTTTCTCTCACTTCTAGCCTTTGCCAGTAATTCCACCTTAAAAGCTCAAAGTTTTCCTACTTAGAGATGTCCAAGCAGTAATCTAACTAAATTAGATTATAAGCATCTGAAGGTTTTCAAAATAAATAAAATAGATATAGCTAAGAGAAGATGAGATTTCATTAATGAGTGTTATTTAACAGAACAAGTTGTGCCATATACAGAGGATTAAAAGATAAAAAAGGATAGGAGGGAAAATCAAATTTTAATGAGTTGCCACCTTCATTTGATTTAACTAAGTTTCCTCCATTGTGGAAGATATTAACACTTATGAGGGAGTCATTTGTGTGTATCCATACAGTTTGATATTTGACTACTTTCTTTTATGCAATTACATTGTGTTGCAAATGAATTTAAACTACTATTTGAAGTTAAAGGCCTCCATCCTTATATTGACCTCCTTGGGAAGCTTGAGCAAGGACAATGTTGAAAAATTAACCAAACATTATTGATAGAAACAGTGAGAAGGGTGTCTTGGGTTAGAAAACATCAAAGTCTCAAGTGGGCAAAAAGGCAGCTGAGGTCTAAAGTTCCCATGATTACCACCCTCTGCAAACCACTTCTTTCTTGTCCTTGCTGCCTCGGTGATATTCACACAGAGGTGGCTCATGTGTCACACCCAGTACTGTGCTGGCACATGTTAGGCACTCAATGAATGCTTCCCAAATGATTGAATACAGTTATCACTGCCCATCTGGAAACAGATGGAGGGGGTGTAGACCCCAGACATGTTACCATGGATGATGTGTGTGGCTTTCTTATTGATGTTTAGAACACCATGTTCTTAAAACCAGCAAATGGATCCTAAGTGGGCCATTTCCATGTCCCTTCCTGCTTTCCTCTCTCTCCCTGTGCTCCCTGCTGAATGGAATAGAAACCAGCTGTTCCAAGGAACTTGTCTTGGAACAGTGAAATAGCAGGAGGGCCACGAGCACCTGTGTGGACACATGAGGTGTGGCACCCTTGGCTTCTCTTTCTGGAATTTTGGACCCTTTGGGAAATTTTGGGTTGTTTGCTATCTCTACAATTTTCTTAGCCATTCACTCTGTGAAGACACATTTGGGAAACTACAGTAAAGATATGAAAGTGTGGTGTTAATAATTTTTAAGCTAACACTTACAGAGTAGCAAGCATATGTTAAGTGCTCTCCATCAGTGAAATCCTCAATACAGTAGGTCGTAGGTATTATTTATTATTCCCAATTTACAGACGGGAAAAACTGAGGCTTATTGAAGACACATAGCTTGTTAAAGGTCACCCAACTTGCAAGTGATGGAAGGTGGATTTGAAGGCAGTCCTGTTTGATCCCAAATCTCAGGCATTTAATTCTTTTGCTACATAATTCCCCAAACTGCCTCAAACTTGGAATGCATAAAACCAGCCATAGTCAAGCATTGACAAAGAATGTTAATAGCAAAGAGAAAAGATGTTACATTCTATAAACATAACGTGGGAGATGATTGAGAGTTTGGAGTGGGTTTTGTTGTGTATTATGCATTTTAAACTGCTTAATCCTGGGTAGACTGTTGTCTGTGCTAGGCTTCTCTCTAGGATACGATAACACTTCCTGTATCAGACCTCCAGGGAGTAGGTCTGTAAGTGAATAGATACTGATCTTTCTTGGCCCCATTAAATGGAAGCAAAAAGTTAAATCAGTTCATATTCAACATATAGCAAGAAGTTGACAGTAACATGCTTAAGGGACCCAACTTGACTTGCCTGCTTTGCTGGGATTAATAGGAAAAAGCTAGTTTCTCACACTGCCTCCGGTATCTTCCATCTCTTTTCTTATTCACAGGGATTGCAATCATCAGTGACATTTAGGCTTTCTGGGCTCACACACACCTAATATAGGGAAACAATCTCCTTGCCCTGTTGCCAGGATGCTATCTGCAAAGCAGAAGCCACCGTTTTGAGTTTTGTGTCATTAGACAGGATGTGTTTCAGATGCAATAGCATGACCGGTGATTGACAGCTGGCTAACTTGTTGGAATAAAATCAGGTACAAACATTTCCTCTGTGCTTGTGAGGTGGTTATTTTGTAATCTTGGGGACTCCCCCACTCCCTGGCATTGTTTCTAGACACCTAGACAGGGCTGTCTGGCAATCCCTCTTGAAGTTAAAGCATACTTTTTGAAATAATGACATGCAATTCACACTTATCAGAGCTTCTCCCTCTGCTTACAGCTTTGGAAAGATGACCCTTCTGGGCCAACCTCTAACCAACTTCATTGCTAATTTGACCAGGTGCTGTGGTGGCTAAACTTGGAATGTATAGCCCAGGATTCTCAGCTCTTTTAATTCCTCCTGGGCAGCAATTATGTGGGGCTTTCCGTCTCTAGACCATTGGTTAACCCTTTCTTTCTCTGGGAACTGGCAGGACGTACTTTTTGTGATGTTCAGTTTGCACTGCATGGTGCTGGGTCTCATGCATGATTAAATGGAGTGGCCTCAAAGAGCTGTGCTGAAACTGTTTGGAACCTGGAGTCTAGGGGATATGTAAGCAGTCCCCTCTCCATTCCAACTGGGATGCGATTATTATGAAGGAGGGAGATCACAGGGGCTCTTGCATTTGCAGTTGAGCTGGCTCAAAATGAAGGCAACCCTTAACCTAAATGAAGAGAAAAGGATTTTCTTTAAGAGCCGCTTATCTAAATGGTAGGGGTCCTGACTGAGTATAAACTGGGATTCAGAGACTGGCTGAGCTTAAAGAACTTGTAAGCATCCTCCACTACCCTGGGTTGAGAGCCTGTCTAAGGGTGAGGAGAGGTGAGGATACAAAAAGGACTCTGTGGTGTCTGTTCGACAGCTCAGCGCTGGGACAAAACCTTGATGTATGGGAGAGCCACTATTGGCAAAAAGTGAAGGTTTGTCTTCTCAAAGGAACTTTGGACCCGTTGATAAAGCTGGGGAGTGTGGTGTTCTCTCCTTTACTGTGTAAACACAGCAGGACTTCAGTAGCGTGAGCACCAATGGTGCTGCTGGCACGGGGGAACACAACCTTGGCATGGATCCTGGCAGTAGGGGCAGTGCTGTAGGAGTCCCTGTAAGTGTATTTCTCAGGCAGCAGGTTTCAATGAAGGGACTAAGCTTGTAAAATCAGATTGGGTTAAATATGAGCATGCAAGACACTCTTGGAAACTTCTAGAGGCCCTTGGGATGAAAGTGTGGAGTGAGCTTTGCAGTTGGGATGAGCCAAGAAATTGGTGAGGTGATGTGAATGATTCCTTATTTGTGGGACACACTCGTAGGGCTTAGGGTGATTTCAGTCCTATCTGTCTTGGAATAGCATCATGAAGGGCTGGAGTACGTGTCCGTTCTATCTTGAAAACTTCTCACGTCACCTACCAGTTTCATTTTGACTCTTACCCCAGCTCGGTCAGAATATATAAACATCTGCTGAGTTAATCTTCTCACTTGACACATGTTGGTCAAGGGGAGTCAACCACATCATCAGCGATCTCAGAACAGAAAGGAATGCCACCATGGACTATGGAATGAGGCTATTTGTAGAGAATCCCTTGGTAACAGCAATGGGAAAAGACCAGACTCATTCTTTAAGGACCTTAATAATAAAACCCCTGCCCAAAACCCAAAACCAAAAAAACACTGGCTGGTAGCTATTCAGATGTTTCCGGATGCAACTTTGCAGATGTTTCGTCCTATCACTGGGGACCAAACAGGCCTCTCCTTTACTGATTACAATGAAAATATGTTTTTAAAAACGAACACTTTACTTAAAACTAGGGATTTTTTTTTTAATTAGAGGGAAGATTAACTAAATGCATTTTCTCTTGTAATTTAATCCATTCTAATTATCCTGAGACTGTTTATGATGAAATACTTAAATTTCGTGTAGCTGCTATTTTGTGTGGGTTCTTTATTACCCATTAATGGAAAAGTTCAATAATAGCCAACGATGTGGTTACCTTTTGTGGGTCTGATTATAACAATGCATATAAGTGCATGGTGAAAAGGATAAAGAAGCAAGCAATAAACCCCATTTTTGACTGGCAGGTTTTCAAGATGATGGCATTCTATTTTCCAAAGGCAATAACAGCAAGCTTTTAAAGAAGAGCTCGTGAAATAGAATGCTATGAAAAAAGAGGGTTGGTAAAGATTGAACCCAATTAGGCAGGAAACTTGCGAGGAAAAATAAAGTCTGCTGCTTACATGAACATCTGGGATATCTGTGTGGCTGCAGATAACCCAGGAGATGAACCAAAAAATTGCAACGAATCCCCAGATGTTACACATGGGTCATGCTCCAAAGGAGCCAAGAAATTGCAGCGTGGGAGGAATGAGGGTAACTGTGAAGTTTATCAGGCTGAATGGGGACAGAATCAATGAGAGTCTTGATTTTCCAGAAGGCATGCGTGGTACTTGATTGAGTCAAATTTGGGTCTCCTAAATGATTTCTTGATGCTCAGAGCCCATGGAATAGAGAGTCATGAGGAATGAAAAGAAGTAAGAAAAGGAGAGACAGGATGCTGTGTTCTAAGACGCTGGCTAGGCAGCATCCTCAAACTTGAGAAATGCCAGCTTCCTTCTTCTACATACAGTCAATGAGGCCATCTGGTAAAATAAGCAGGTTCCATTCCGGGTAAGAGAGGCAGTTTATGTTTGTCTGTAAGAACCAGAAGCCAGCAGGTTGCTGAACAACCTTTGTTTGGAAAAGTGGGTGGGTGTGATTTTGACATGCTACTAACTTCTTGAGGGATTGGAAGCAAATTTGTGAAAGGGAGGTTGGAAGTGGAAGAAATGTCTAATGAGAATTTTTTTTTCTTTTGAGACAGAGTTTCACTCTTGTTGCCCAGGCTGGAGTGCAATGGCGCAATCTCGGCTCACTGCAACCTCTGCCTCCCGAGTTCAAGTGATTCTCCTGCCTCAGCCTCCTGAGTAGCTAGGATTACAGGTGCTCGCCACCACACCCAGCTAATTTTTTGTATTTTTAGTAGAGATGGGGTTTCACTATGTTGTCCAGGCTGGTCTCGAACTCCTGACCTCAGGCGATCCACCCGCCTCGGCCTCCCAAAGTGCTGGGATTACAGGCATGAGCCACCACACCTGGCAATTTGTCCTGCATTGGTGCTAGACAATGATGGTGATGATGATAACAGCTTACATGTATCTGGCTCTTACTTTATGGTAGGCACTGTGCCAAGTACTTTACATATGTCCCAGTGAGATAGGTGCTATTTGGTATCCCCCATTTTACAGACAAAGAAACTGAGACACATAAAGGTTAGAAAAGCTACCAGGATTTAATCTCAGGTAGAATGACACAAGAGCCTATTTTTTTGTTTTGTTTTGTTTTTTTTTGAGACAGAGTCTCACTCTGTCGCCTAGGCTAGAGTGCAGTGGCATGATCTCAGCTCACTGCAACCTCCACCTCCTGGGTTCGAGGGATTCTCATGGCTCAGCCTCCTGAGTAGCTGGGATTACAGGTGTGCACCACCATACCTGGCTAATTTTTGTATGTTTAGTAGAGGCGGGGTTTCACCATATTGGCCAGGCTGGTCTCAAACTCCTGACCTCAAGTGATCTGCCTGCCCCAGCTTCCCAAAGTGCTGGGATTACAGGCATGAGCCACCACGTCTTGCCACAAAATCCTGTGTTCTTAAAAACTCTGTTATCATGCTTGCATTTCTCTGGATTCAAGTGAAGCAGACGTGGATGGATGAGCCATGTCTTTTCTTTTTATTAAAAAATATAAATGGACGAAGTGGGGCCTGATGATTCAACTTATGCAAGGAAGTTTTTCAATGTACAAAAGATTCCCTAGGTAAACCAGATATAAATTGGAGCTGAGGTGAGCAGACAATCAAACAAACAACAAAAGCTCCATTCACTATCCTCAATAATTCAACAATGCCTCATCAGCTGGGCAGCACTCTGCTGTATCTGTCCCTTGAATGTAAAGTCTTTAGTGTATATTATGGGAGCCTACATTGAAAACCTGCCTTACAGAAGAGAGAAAGGCTTGATTGCATTAGAATAACCCATTCATATGTTTCTGCATCAAAAGTAATGAAATCCTAGAAATGGACAGGTCCTTAGAGATCAGCTCATTCAAATGTGTTCTAAATTCAGTCAATCACACGCTGCATTTATGACATTTGCAATATCTGTACTATTTACTTAATATTTTTCTTTAAATTTACTCAGGCCTAATATCACTACCTACTTTTGCCCCCTCCCTAAGCAATAATAGCTGTATAATCATCAGTTTGATGTGCTAGTTATATTTTTTCCTAATACTGTATCTATTTTAAAAAGCCCTACATGACTATTCAATAAGGTATATTTGTACACCAATGAAAAGCATCTCAAGTTTGTGTATCATGCCCTGGAAGGCAATGATGTGATCCAACCCTTTCATTTGCCACATGGAGAAATTGAGGTCGGGAAGGCTTGGTGACTTGCTCCAGGATATACAAAATGTATATGGTAGAGTCAAAGCTAGAACACAGATGTCCTCCTTCATCAGCCAGTCTACTGTTCATGATACCACAATGAATTGGCTACCAAGTGATAAGAAAGATGTCCATCACAAATATCTAAGGGAGCTCAGCTCTCCAGGAACCACTTTGTTTTCCCTTCTCCTTTGATGGAAAATCTTTAGTGCGTATTGTGAAAGCCCAGAGTCACAGACTTGGAAGGCACGTGGATTCTCTATAAAAGCTCAAGTGCAGAACACTCACTATACATTAGGACAATGCATCCCATGTTTTTCAACAGCTCTTATTACATGGTCCCCTTTCTTTGAGCCTGGAATCTTACTTGTGTTAACTCTCATCCATGAGTTTATGTTGCAAGAGTTCCAAACTGTTCAATTCTTTGCTCTGGTGAAGTCAGGAAGGAATACCTTATATCAAGCTATTGACTCAGCAAGCTTGGCCCCATCACTGTGAGCCACAAGCTAGTCCATCAAACCAGTTCCCCTGAAACAGTAAGGGAACAGCGCAGAGTACGACACAAATCACTGTCTCCCCACAGAGCTAAAACACCAAGAATTCTTCTCCTCTTTTCTTTTTTGATGGGAGCTCATAACATGAGCAGACATTACTAAATCACATAAAAATACAAAAAAATGCTTCCATCTAAACTACAGAATGATGAGTCATAAAGTTAGAATGTAGTTTGTGTCTATCTTGTCTATGTTTCTACTGATGCTGAAAGCCCTTCAACGTCTAGGACAAGAAAGCAAATGCTTCCAGTGATGAGACTCTTGCTGCTTGTAAAGCCGTTATTTTCTTTCCTTTTATGTTTTTGCAGTGATGTGAAAACATGTTTCTGTAAGTCTGTCTCCCAGTCCTTGTTCTGGGATTAGATAGGAAACCTCTGGCAGACTGTCTGACCCAGACTCAAAAAGAACTTCTGGGCATGTGGTGACTCCTGATCTGCAGTAAGGAAGCTCATGTTTTGGCCAAATTATAGGGGGGTGGTGGGGGAGAATCAGCAATGGAACAGCTTTTGCATTCTGTTAAAAGTTTATCCATAATCTTTATCAGTAAAAGGCCATCGCTTTAGGTTTTCACTTAAAATAAAAAAAGGAACTCCAAGGATAGTTCTAATAAGAGCCCCTGGAGGAATAGGTTAATTAACCAATCAGAGAATTAGCTGATTCCACAGGCCTGGTGGTAAGGATGGCTCCACAGTGGCTAATTTCATCTCAACTTGATCTCACTGTAGAGTCATGAAAGCTCAAGTGTTCAAGGACAATAGCCACAAGAAAAAAAAAGTTTTCATAACTTAGAATGAGACTGGAATGAGATTCAGAAGCAGCTGTCCTCAGTCTGAAGTTGGTTAATTCTGACAATCACTTTCTTCTCAACCTGTTCCCTATTGTTCTGAAGCACTCTCCCTCTTGGACTGTGACCCTGTCTACTTCTGATGACAATCACTTAATCAGCACATCGGATCATCGCACGGCTGGTTTTACCTTGGGTAAAGATTCATTTTCCTTATTAACATCACAAGCACCGATTTCTTTCCCCAACCAATTAAAGAGGAAAAATAGAAGGGCCCAGTGCGATACAGGGAAAAGAAAACTGTACTGACTTGTGGCACCTGGGCAGGTCACTCAGCCTCACAAGGTCCTAGGAATCAAGCCCTTATGATTCTGAGATGAAATCGGAGGTTAGGACCACATAGATAAAATACACAAGTTGAAATAACCATTGCAGCCTTTACTCACTACCCAGATATCAAACAGTTCACTCAGGGTTGGGAAGTGCCCAGAGTGGGCAGATTTAGTCTGCGGGTTAGTTTGTATTATTCGGAGCAGATGTCTGGGTAGCCCATGTTCAGGAGATAATTGCAAGAGTCCACAGTTAGCATGTAGCATCCCTCCTTGATTCCCCGGCAATGCAAATGTTGGCTTCTTCTTGCATTTTGCCCAATTGTTCTGCTCATTAACACACGCTAACATCTACTTTACCTCTTCATGAGACGCTGATCTACATTTACTATATATAGTTCTTAGTGATTTTGATCTATTATTACACACATTCTATAGTTCCTCCATGTCCTGGTGTTACAGGCTTTGCATGGCCTTTTGATGTTAGGTACCAGTATTTTTTTTGAGACAGGATCTCGCTCTGTCACTCAGGCTGGAGTGCCATGGTGTGATCTTGGCTCACTGCAATCTCTGCCTCCCTGGGCTCAAGCGATTCTCCCACATCGGCCTCCCAAGTAGCTGGGACTACAGGCACGTACCACCATGCCCAGCTAATTTTTGTAGTGACAGGGTTTCACCATGTTGGTCAGGCTGGTCTCAAACTCCTGATCTCAAGTGGTCCGTCTACCTCAGCCTCCCAAAGTGCTGGGATTACAGGCATGAGCCACTGCACCTGGCCTAGGTCCCAGTATTAACAAGGGGTGATGGTGGTGGTGGTGGCAGATGACAGGAACAACAACCCATTTTAAAATTATGTTTAAAGAATAAACCTCTTCTAGCCACACAATGTGCCGTCTGCGCTAGTCATAAGAGTAAACTGCACGCTATACAAAAAATGCTAATATATTCCAAAGATACACATGAATTGTGGCTGATATGTATTCAAAGTATATTTTTTATCTACACAATTCTGTAGATTTTAGCCATGCCATATATTTAACTTTTAAGGAAAAGGTTATATAACAGTCATTGCTTGGTAGAATCCAGTCTGTCAATAAGTTAGCTCTAACAGTTAACATTGAAGTCTTATACCTTATATTTAAATGTTTAGCAATCTCTACTACATTTTCAAATATAAATAATTTGGTTGCAAATTCCAGAAAGGCATTAACCAAACATGGACTGATCCTGGGGCTTCCACCTGACTAAGTTTTAGAAGTCTGTCCTTGTGTCCTCATCTTTTTTCCCCATTTCTCTTTTTGATCCTTTTAGTACAGTAAATGTAATCCACAAGGACTGATGTGAATTGTTCAGTTGACTATTTGCAATGACCCCAAGAAAACCACCTATGACCTTTTGTAAACAGGTCGCAGACAACCCAAGTGTCCAACACTAACTCCCACAATTCTGCCTTACCCAAAATTTCCCTATGCATTGTTTGCTGACTTGGTACCATGTCATTTTTCTGTATTTTCTATTTTCAAAATATAGCATTTGAGGCTGTGCTTGGAAAGGACCAAAGAGCCCCCATTTCCTCTCTGTCAGTATCCCCAAGGAGGAGAACTGATGCTGGGCTTGTAAATTGTGGCATTTACTTTAAATGAAATGACAGAAGTGTCTGCTCAAACTAGAAGAATAAAACTCCCCAAAGCAGCTCTGGGGGCCGGAGATAGAAAAGCTAAAGATGCAATTATGCATGTATGAACATCTCTCTGGTTTTTGAATGGCAAATCTCACTGATCAAGGTATGCTTGGCTTTGTTTTTGAGAAAACCACAGTGAACATAACTATGAGGAGATGGCACATGTCCTACTAATAAAGACACAGAGCCCTAATTTCTCACAAGAAAAGGCTTTGGTAGTAAAGATCTTTATAACATACAGAGCACAAACTCTAAAGTCACAGGAGATCATCGTTCTGAACAAGAGACTATACTGGACCAGCACTCTCTTCATTTTGGGAGCTTTAGCTGGCATATCAATTTACACTTTCTGAATGTCTCTCAAGAACTCATGTATGTCATCTCACAAAGATGTGAAACCTGTACCAAACACTTCAAGTGGCAGAAACACCTTTTTTTCCAACTTATCTCACCCAAAGGACTAGCTTGACCGAAACATCTATGTTCTCTTGTTGGCCAATTCCTTGCTGTTCTCTGCTGAGACCAAAGTTGTCATCTTCCCATCTCTTTTTCAAGGGCCCCGGAAGCATTTCAGCACATCTACTGTTTTTTCTCCACTCCCACTCTGCGATATCTGGAGTAGACCCCTCAGATCCTTCAAGCTACAGTTGGTGTCCTTTTCTTAATGGGGGTGTGGACCTGCCTTGCTTTTCTCCCCTCTATCCATCAAGATTTGTGCAATTCAGGAGTTAGCCTTTTTTTTTTTTTTTCCCATAACGGGCCACACAAGCAGCTTTGTGGGCCATGCGGTCTCCTAATTACTCAGTGCTGACAGGTGGCATGGAAGCTGGCGAGGCATCAGTGAATGGGTGTGGGTGTCCTGTAATAATACTTTGTTTATGGTCACTGAAATGTGAATTTCGTATCATTGTCACGTGCCAGGAAATAGTTTTCTTTGGATTTGTTTTCAACCCTTAGAAAATGTAAAAACTATTCTTAGCTGGCAAGCCATGGAAAAACAGGCAGCAGGCCAGATTTGGCCCTCTGGCCGTAGTTTGGCGACTCCTGCTCGAATCCATCTGGACTGCCCTCTTGTGAGCTATTTCCAAAGTAAAGACAGATTGTAGGTAGGAGAGAGCCAGCAGGCATCATTGTGGAAACACTAACCCTGCCCCTCTGTCCCCCAGATGTGGGAAGGGGGAGCAAAGGGGAGGTGAGGTTGGATTGTGTGAATTAAAAGAAAGTAGGATTATCCACCTCAACGCTGATGATTGGCAAGAGCTTTTGAGGGGAGGATTTGGGGCAATGGAGATATGGGGAGGGGAATCTTCATGTAAATAACACCAGGCATGCAATAGTACAGCAAAAGGAATGCCCCTGATGAATGGAAGCTATTGTAAGAACTGTCTCAGTATAGGGCTGTGCACAGCCGTCCCCTGAAAGTCTTTTGAATTATTCCTCAGACTCTGCAGGGAACTGAGGATAAAAGCGGCTGCAGGGGAGCAAGACCTGGAGCGTCATCGAGAGATTGCAAAAACAATTCACTGCCAACAGACTGTCCCAGCAGGGTCCCAGTGCTATGGTCGTGGCCCTGATTGGCATGCTGCCCCTCGGATGCCCAATCAGATGGAACCGGAAGAAATCGAATACAGAGTCAGTCCACTTTATCTCTGTATAACCACCCAAATGAACAGCATGGGAAATTGAGTCTGATCTCATGAATCAGCCCTGCGCAAGCTCCTAGCCCTGTCTCTCACTCCAGGTGGCCCATCTGTGACTGGGGTTGTTAGGCAGGGACAGAGGGGAGGGTCTCAAACTTGATGGCTGGGATCAAAGGTAACTTCAAGGGGCCAAACTGTAGTTTGGCTGGAAACGTCTTTGAGAATTTCCATGCAGGCAAGTAGATTAACCAGCTTAGTATAAAAATGGATCCTAGGCTTGATCTAATTAAATAACAAAAGTAAAAACCGGAGGTAAAATGATGCTCAAGTTGACAACTTTGTCATCCCAACTGTCTGAGAGATGTGCAAAGCCAAACAGCATTGGCTCCCAGCTTCTCTACCAAAGGGATGATTAGGTACGTTTAATCCAGTATAGTCCTACCCTAAACCACAACTGTGCCGAAAAAGAGAGAAAAATAAAAATGAAGAAACTCCAAAACTATTTCTTCTTAACAAAGAAAATGACCTTTAAATTATCCTTGGTCCAGAAGCTTTTATAGAGAGGTGGCTGAGTGAGAATAAAATGGGACCAGAGGAGGAGACATGTAATGACGGTGGTGGTGATGGGGAATCTCAGGACCTTACCGTGGTACCTGCTACGGAGGGAACCTGAGAGTCCTGCCTGCGTCTAACCTGACCTAAAATTAGTGAGTTCACCTTGTTGCCAGCAAGCAGGGATCCAGTGATCCAGCCAGCTGAGAGAGGATTTAAAAAGGGGAGAGTTGCAGACCACAGTGATTTGAGGTGCTTGCAACCCCCAGACACCGACAGTTTCCCATGCATGTGCATTTCTCCCTCCCTGAGATTGCAAGTTTGGAGGGGTTTTCTTATCTGCTCTGGTCCCTTTCCTTTCAACTCGGAATCCTGGAAAGAAGGAAAAGCCCTTCCCAATTAGGGACCTCATTTTTCTCCTTCCCTATCCCCTGGGAGATTTGGAGGGGCAGCAGGAAATGTGGGAGAGCACTTGTGTCCCTGAAGGAACAGCCAGTTGCCATGCGCGACCATCACTATAGATCTACAATTTATGAAAATAAAGCAATATGTGCCTGTTTCGGTGCCTGCCGTTTGCCTACCAATGGTGCAGTGTTCACCATTCCAGCCCTCTCGGCATTCACATTTGCCATCTTTACAGGTCCCGTGCTCAATGCAGCGGGGGTGGCACACGCGCTGGTCACACGCTGCGCCTGTCCAGCCCTCTTCACAGCGGCAGGCTCCCCCGATGCAGACGCCGTGAGTGCCACAGTCTACTGAGCACACTTCTGGAAGAAAAACAATGATTACAGCTCAACACCACAGCTGGTGAAACCTTCCATGGAGTCCAGACCACGCACATGGCCCAGACCCCTGGAGCAGGCCCCGAGGCCCAGCAGCTCTGTCATCTTTGGAGGCTTGTCTCTCCTTGGCTGGGTATCAATTCATTGTTAGATCTTTTTTTCTAGAGAAGTGACTCTCAAAGTGTGGCCCCTGGACCAACAGCATCAGTATCACCTGGGAACTCGTTAGAAATGTAGACTCTTGTGCCCTCGTTGGACCAAGTGAATTAGAAGATCTGGGAATGGGACTCAGAGATTTTGTTGGAACAAGTCCTCCAGGTGGTTTTGATACTCGCTAGAATGTGAGAACCACTCTTCTAGAGATTGAGACCACTCCAACCAGTTTGGCAAAGCTAACCGGGAAGTACCCACCTGAAAAGATCCATGTACGGATCCTGACTCTCTAGTCAGCTGGGATTCCTCCCCCACTGACAGCCTGAACTGACCAAGCACAAGAGGTCAGTTGGGGACCCCGCTGCTCCATTCCCATGATGACTGCAGATACCCCGTTACCCAGATTGGTACCTTGGCGGTGATAATGACCGCTGTAATTGTGCTGCATTTACACAGCTTCTTTCTCAAAGGAGCTCAAAGTCTTTTGTGCTTGGGGAGGAGGCAGACAGACAGATATGCACTCTCTGGTATTCCAGACCTCTCACGCGAGGACAAGCACGTGCCAGACATTCATCCTTTCATCAGTCTATTGAGGGAGGCGTGGCTTGGCATGCCAGGTGAAGGAAGACCAGGCCGGGGAGTGGGGCCAGTGACTCACTCAAAGTCACACAGCATATCTGTAGCATAACTGGGTTTTGGATCTAGGACCCCTGCCTCCTCCCATCATCTGCACGGCCTTGCCAGGACCACCAGCAACAGAGTTGAAGCCAGAGTCAAGTGGGCTGAGAAGACATTCCAAAATAGCCCATTTTAACTGACTCTTCTTTTTTTTTTTCTTTTTGGAATGAAATATTCATTTCTTTCCCATTGTAGGCAAAGCTTCACGTCTATTCCCTTCCTGATTGCCATGGCAATCTGACAGCTGTCTCACTACCCAGAGGAAGGGGGCGGAATGATCGCTTGCTTGGATAGGGACTTGTCAGTGTGAACAGAACCTTTCTCAGGAAGGTTGGGACTGGCTTGAACTGTTGAACTGTTCCATTTTTAAGGTCACTCTGGAGGGAAGACACATACTCTAAATTTTAGGAAAATGAAGTGTACAGCGCGACTTCATTATTTTCCTGTCACTGGAGTATTACAGAGCTGTAGAACATGTTCACGCAGCACCCCGAGGGAGCCCCTTTTCTGTTTTATGGGATGTTCCATTTAGTTTGTCTGGGGCTGAAATGTTCTGTTTTGTTTTCTGGTACCTTTAGGGAATGTACATAAGAAAACCTATAATGCAAATGGAAGCATCCCTCCTGGGCTCCTCATGCA
This sequence comes from Homo sapiens, assembly GCF_000001405.40. NCBI lineage: Eukaryota > Metazoa > Chordata > Mammalia > Primates > Hominidae > Homo > Homo sapiens. The sequence continues at coordinate 168,125,268 of NC_000005.10, read as the reverse complement.
TTTGCGGTGATGGTACCAACCCAGTGCTTTTTTGTTTGTTTCTCAAAGATCACAGACTCCACGATTGAGGAGAAGAGAATGAGAAAGACACAATGTGATTCATCAAAGTCCCCTTATCCCCAGCTAAGTATTAAGAGTAGATTCCCATCCATCTGAGAATGGGATGGAACACAGGGCAGGAGTGTTGGAGAGAGGAAGGAGAAAACCTTGTGGCTTACCAACAGAGCAGTCGGGACCCATCCAGTTGGGATCGCAGCTGCAGAGGCCCGTGTCAGGCAGGTACGTGCCATGCCCACTGCACTGGTCTGGGCACTGGACCCTCGCCAGCTCACAGTTCAGACCACCCCAGCCAGGGCTGCACAGGCATTCTCCATTCACACAGACTCCGTGGCTGGAGCAGGTGGGATCCAAGCAATCAACTGAAAAAAACAAAAACAAAAACCAAAGAATAAAAGTATTAATCACCCATGGAGGATGGACCATGAGACATGGGCTTGCTGCTGAATGGACCAGTGGGTCACCAGTTCCCATCCACTTGCTAGCAAATGGAGTAGCCCAAGAAATACTTATGTGGTCACCTGAAGACACCCATAAAAAGTAAAAGCCTTCTTATTTGTCAAACACCAAATCTCAAACTTGAAGAAGATACAAGAGAAACGAAAAGGGGATTTCTCAAGCAGCATTAGAAGTCAGATATAGAAGGATGCCACTCCACCTTTAGTATCTTGTGCTTATAAAGATTAGGACCTTGACTGAATCATATCAGAGCATCTGCGATAGGAATGTGAATATATGCCATGTTTCTACATGTGTCGTCAAACTGGATTGCCCCTCACTATAAGAGAGAAAAGTAGAGAGGCTCATTGTAACTTCACTAATACTTGACTTCAAAAGGTAACAAAAGATGAAAAGGAAAACCAATGAAACTTATGAGTCACTTTCCTAATGAGGTTTCACTTAGGCTAAGTCTAAAATTAGTATCCATTCTCTGAGCACACACCCACTGAAGGAGTTAGTAAATGTGCAGTATAGAAGAGGCGAAGTTGGGTGTGAAAATGATCCAAAAGGGATCACCTTCCTACAGGTAATCACCAGGGGACTGGATGGCTATCTCTGGCTGAGGCACTGACCTTCTACCAGTCAATCAGATGAGCTGATAGCCAGAGTCCAGTCATTGTGGTTCTTGCCTGTTTCACTGTCTGATTGTTTGGCCATCTTAATAGAGTGGATATACATCCAGTACGTAACTTGAATAAACTCAGAGTGAGGAGAGGAGCGAGCTGCAAAGGCCAGTTCTTGAGGACAGGACTTTTTGCATGAGAATATGATATCAAACCTGGGACCTCCATTCAATCTAAGGGTTGAATAAATAGGGCCTTTTAGAGGAAGCCCAGCTTTCTTATGTATTCCTATGTATTCTCAGGAAATGATGCAATGTCATTTGGAGAAGAGGGTTCTTTGTGTAATATACGGTTTGAATGAGAAATGGTGGTCTAGCACAGGGCTCAGATATGGCTTTGTGGATCAGACAAATGTGGATGTATCATCACCTTACTTGATTAAGACATATTTCTCCCGTTTTCACGGCTTCCAAATCAGGCCTGTTGGCCCAGATTAAAGGATTGCTTCTTCTATCACCTGGGGGCACAGCTAGCTTGAGACCACTTTGAATTCTATTCTTGAAGTTTTTATGGACCACGCTGACAGTGTTATTAAATCCTTCCTGTGTATGCGTACCGTCTTATGGTTTAAATTCTCAGAAAATTTTGTTTTCTCTCCTTCCACAATGCCAAGATTGAAATATGTAAGACTTCTGGTCTCTAAATAATTCACTGTTATATTCAGATGATAATTCCTCAGGGTCTCAGCTTTCTGTAGGATCTCCTAAGACATTTTTTATGCTGAGTGTCTTTTTTTCTTTCCCTATGGGGCACAAAATAATGCCTTTTTTGTTTGTTTGTTTGTTTTCTGAGACAGGGTCTTGCTCTGTCACCCAGGCTAGAATGCAGTGGTATGATCATAGCTCATTGTAGTCTCGAACACCTGAGCTCAAGTGATCCTACTGCCTTAGTCTGCCAACTAGTTAGGACCACGGACACACATTGCCATGTCCAGCTATGTTTTTTTTTTTTTCTCTAGAAATGGGGTCTTGCTATGTTGCCCAGGCTAGTTGTGAACTCCTGGGCTCAAGCAATCCTCCTATCTCAGCCTCCCAAAGTGCTGGGATTACTGGTGTGAGCCACCATGCCCAGCCATTGGTGTATTTTAATACTGATGACGTATTGGCTCTAAATATGACATTATTTAGAGTATCCATGCCACAAATTAACTAGTCCTGAGGGACAACAGACTTGAGAAATTTGGACTTACTGGAAATCACAATATTCCATGAAGTTTCCAAAGGGCAGCCCTCCCTTGAGGCAAAAATAATAATTTTCAGTGGTAAGAGATATTTCTCACGATCCCATTTGGATATTCTCAGGAAGGTATTATATATGGAAGTCATTTCAAAACCGTTTCAGGCATGGGGAAAAAACAGTGATTAAAAAAAAATCAGGGGTACACTCCCCCAAAGGTGAATTTTGGTTGCTTATTATTAGTTGGAGATATTTATGATGATGTTACATAATCTTGTTATTATCACTTTACAGTTGAATTCATTGTCTCGGGGAGTATAACTCCTGATGACATAAGCCCATTTGATACCTTCAGATTTGCTCCATTTAGGGTGGTGGAGCACATCTGAACGTAAACTTGAGCTGAAAGCATCGAACACATAGAAGGCAAAGGGCGGGCCAGGCGTGGTGACTCACACTTGTAATCCCAGCACTTTGGGAGGCCGAGGTGGGTGGATCACGAGGTCAGGAGACCGAGACCATCCTGGCTAACACGGTGAAACTCTGTCTCTACTAAAAATACAAAAAATTAGCCAGGCGTGGTGGCCGGTGCCTGTAGTCCCAGCTACTTGGGAGGCTGAGGCAGGAGTATGGTGTGAACCCGGGAGGCGGAGCTTGCAGTGAGCCGAGATTGCGCCACTGCACCCCAGCCTGGGTGACAGAGCGAGACTCCGTCTCAAAAAACAAAACAAAACAAAAAAGACAAAGGTCTGTGCAGGGCCTTTGGTGTCTCATGCCTAGCACAGGTAAGGGAATATACCAGGTGTTCAATACACAGTTGCTGCAAGAATGAAGGACAGACTGTGCTATAAGCATTTGTCATTGATGGGACACACTTCCTGTGTAGAGAAAGGACCGATAGGAAGCAGAAATTGTGCTAACAACTTCTTTCTTGCTTTTGAAAAAAAATCGTATTTGGGGATCTGTAAATTATGAACAAATTCATTCAGAACCCATCATGTTTATATTGTTCCAATAAAGGAAATTCTGAAATTCTAATTTTTCACTCTGCCCCCATTTCTAGTAAGGAAAAATCAAAATATACACAAAAATATCTTGTGGCTTATTGCTTCAAAAATTGTTCTTAACCTATAATTAGCCATTTAAAATGTTTGGTGAGGTGCCAGCAGCTAGGAGCTTTCAAAAAAAAAAAATCACAATCTTTTTCTTAGAAGGATGAAATAATAAAAAGTAATACACTAAAAAAATGAAAATGGCATTTTTCTTCCAGATAAATTAGCTCTCTCTTCTCTATCCTGAATTATAGTATAAAGGAAGGAGGAAAATCCACAGAGATTTATTAGCGCCGGTACTAGAATGCCATCAAAAAAACCATTTATTGTATCTAAAAATATGAGCTAACCCTTTCTCTGGTCAGTGATACCAGTAAATATGCCCTTTGTGCTATATAATTACAGCAGTGGATGGAATAACTAAATTCAAACTTCAAGAGGAGCAGTTTTACTATGAATTTTAAATTTGGTTCCGATTTCCTAAGATGCTCTTGTGGCCACGTCCTTAGAGCCTTTAGCAGGCAGGAGGGACTATGGCATTTTACGAAGCTTTATAAATAGAAACAGTGTTACACTTAAAAGGGGACAGTGGCCTTTACCAGCTAAGTACCATGTGCCTCGAAACATCAGCCCCCTGGCAGCTGAAATCATTAGAACTCATTTAGTCTTGGGCCCTCTGTAGGTTTGACAAAAAAGGGTTGTGAATGCAATTTCTATCCCTAAGGATAAAAAAGGAGGTCAAGGAGTTTTACAAACAATATGTACTATAAGCCCCTGAAGAACCATGAATTACATTTATGAAGTTAAATGTCATTGAAAAATGACTCAACCATGAAACTGACATGAAAACATGGCTGACTTAAACTAATATGTCAACTCCTCTCTCATCACCTTCCCACTCCCCTACACATCATTGAATGAAACCTCACGAATACATCCTTTCATTTTCTTGGGCAAATTTGTTAATAGTACAACCATGTTTATGCAGGAAAAACGAAGGGATGGCAACTATTGATTTCATTGCCATGGCCATTTCAGGTAAATTGTTTGAACGTTATGACTATGACGAATATCAGAAATAAAAAAGCTAAATGGAAGAAAAAGTGCTGATCCAGACTTTCTGATTCCATTTCCTATTTTGAAAACAGCATATGAATCACCTCGGTTCATTCTTTTTGGGTAGCAGAAATCAACGGAGGAGATTTCATCCTTTCATAATGATTCACGTGGCTTGTTTGGTTGGATGGTTAATTCACTCTGAACATTTAAATAAGACTGGGTGGGATAGTGAGAAAGTTGAGAAATCACTTGAGATTCCATGCATACAGCTGTGTATAATCTTACTGGAGAGAAAAAATTCGAAGACTGGCAATGTTGTTGCCCTAGCACTTTCCTTTCTCCAAATGATGCATGCAAAAGGTCGTTTTAACCTTTCTTGTCGTATTATTGGCCTCTCTTATGTTTTCAGCGAATGCAGCTTTGCCTCCTGCAATCCATTTATCTTTAAGAACTTTAACCTTTCAAGCAGGGTTATTAAATCAGTATTTCCTCCATCCAAACTCCCAATTCTTTATGATGCAGACATAGGGAGGCTACCTTTTATAATAGAGGAAAAATTATATAGAGAACTGAGCAAGTGAAGATCTGGGGGTCAGACTTCTGGTCCCCATTAAGGGCATTACTGCTGATATATTGAAAAATCTTAGAGGAATAATGTTATGGAAGCTGACTTTTGGTAGCCATAGTTCTAAAAACGATGAAATGCGGGGTTTCACAAGGGAACCCTATGTGGGTGTATCTAAGTACAAAGCACTGTCATTACTTTGTGGTGAGAGCTGTGATGATTGGTTATTTTGTATAGAACTCTGGAGATCCATTGGTTGTTGGGATGAAAGAATGAATCCATTAGCATCTGAGAACCTCATAAAACCTGAGATCCCTTGTTAGCCTGGCCATGAGGAACACAGAATGCATATGGCATCCAACAGGATCTTTTCTATGGGGATATCTTGGGTGGTTACATCAAGTTCATGCAGAATAGGCAGGGGCTTCACTTTTTCCCCTTAGTTTGTTGGGCAAGTTGACACTTCTATTTCTGTTGGGGACATGGGAGGGAAAAGGGCTGTTTGAGTTGTGTGAGGGCATTTCACTGGGAGATGGACTTAGAGAAAAGGAGCCTCAGCTGGAAGACAATGATGAAGCCAATTCAGAGATTGGGGAATGGGCAAGGGGCTGAGAGGGTCTATGGTCTTACCTTCCTACCAGCTGTGGCCAATTCTTTATATGGTGACAAGTAATCAAATGGCAACCAGAGACCATATTCTGCAAGGCCAAATACAGAGCAGGAAGGCTGACAGGCAGCATAGCTTTCTCTTGCCTTATAGCTACTGCAAGTCAGTCCCAACATATTGGCACAAAATAATTTATCTGAAATAACTGATCAAGGTAACTAGGAGTAGTTACAGCTGCTTTTGGATCCCCTCCAGAGAGGTGCTCTTTCTCCCTGTTCCTGTATCCCCTCTTCTATGTCCCCCTCTCCTGATCTCCAAGCCTGATCTCTGACCATATTGTCAGATTAGATTCAGTTTATTATATCCCTGATTTTCACCCATGTGTGTGAAAGGCCCTTACGTGTCTGCCAGGATGAGATTTTCAGGATCCATCAAATCCCGTCCCTCTTGCTGCATCCTCACTCTCCTCTAGTTTTGTGCAATTGTAAGTAACCAAGCTAATTTGCCCTACATGGTGTTTCTAAATGACATAAAAAACCTACAGTCTTTCAAGCCTGACTGCTGTCTATTGATATTAATTTTTGCTGAAATATTTACACAGACATACACGGGCCTTAGATTACCAGGAAGAGTTAGTAACAACAACAATAACAACAAACAGCTTTTTGTTTGGAAGGGAGGCAAGGGGCTTAGGAATTCTTGTTTCTTTTCTCTGAATAGCTTTAGTAATTCCCAATTACTAAATAAAGCAGGAGAAAAGAGGAAGAAAGATAGGGCGAGGGAAAGGAACAAAAGAGGAAAAGAAAGAGAAGGAAGGGGAGGAGGAGTAGAAGGAAAGAGAAGACAGAAAGACAAAGGCAGAGAGAGCAATTTAAAGAGAAAAACAAAGGTGAAAGAGAAAAGGAATCAATTTCTACAAAGGAGAGTAAAACAAAACGTTTCTTCCAGAACCATCTCCATAGGCTTTTCTTGTTCTACAACCAAAGAAATTTATCAAAGCAAAGGAGTTTGAAGTTGTTTTGTGCAAAATGTTGAAACTTCTCTTGCAAAACACGCAGCCCAGGACTGGGCTCATTAGCAAAGGTCAGGCCCTGCAAACGCCTCCCTCCACTGCTGCCTAGCCCCGGGGCCGGCGGGCTTACCTTCCTCACAGTGCTCGCCTTTGTAGCCAGCAGAGCAGACACAGTTCCCATCAATGCAGGAGCCGTGGCCCCCGCAGGAAGGATCGATGCACTGATTCATGGGCACGTCGCACTCTGCACCTTTCCAGCCGCTGTAGCACTGGCACGTCCCTTTAGAATATTGTCCATTCCCACTGCACAGGACAGGGCAGGCAGCTGCACAAACCAAAGACAGAGCACTAGGTCACGAAGGGCCAGCATCCGAGGGGCTATGGCAGTCTAAGGAGGTAGAGCTGTCTGGCCTTGGGGCTTGGCTTACAGTGTTCTAGGCTGGGGACTCTGGCTGTGCAGGTGCAGAACCATTGCCAGATAAACAACACAAGTGCTACTGATAACAGCAGCTACCACCAATTAAATGCTTGTTATGTGCTGGGCACGGTATAGAAAGAAGGCTTTATGTGCAATTCATGACTTCATCATCGTAATCACCCTATGAGGTGGAGGCTACAGTCATGGTCCCCATTTTTGCAGGTGAGGCTCAGACAGGGGAAGTGACGTGTCCAGTCACACAGCCCACAAGCAGGGGAGCCCGGCTGGGAACCAGGTTGGCCCAACTTTGAAGTGGTACCCTTCACTAAGCGACACTGACGTCCTTATGGTTGTTCTGTTGTTGGTATTGGAGATCAGAATCCATTTTGCTGATTATTTTACCCTCAGATCAGTCGACTCTTATTCCTAATAAGTTTATGCCTATTAAAAAGGAAGTGGGGATGAGACACAGCTGAGCCACTGAAAGTCTCACTGCCTCAGTTTTATCTATACCATGAAGAAATGAAGTAGTCCCCCTGTATCCGCGGTTTCACTTTCAGTTTCAGTTACCCATGGTCAACTGCTGTCTGAAAATAGGTGAATATGGTACAATAAGGAATTTAGAGAAATTACATCCACATAATTTATGTTACAGCTACTGCTTTAATTGTTCTATTTTATTATTATTGTTAATCTCTTACTGGGCCTAACTGATAAATTAACCTTTGTCCTAGATATGCATGTGTAGGGAAAACATGGTATGTGTAGGGTTTGTACCATTTGTGGTTTCAGGTACACACAGGGGGTCTTGGAATGTATCCCCTGAGGATAAGGAGGGACTACTGTCATTGTGCCTCCTTCAAAGTGTAACATGTGTAATAAAGCATAACGATTAAATATGCTTGACTTATTAGAAAAAAAAGAAAAGGGAGCAGGCAGGCTGAAGGCATGAAATTTCTAGTAGTTCGCCCATCAGCTGTACCCTCTTCCATCTGTTGGTGAGAAGAAGGTTGGAAAATCAGTGGGGATTGTCTGGGAGGAGATTACCTACAGCTTTAATCAGTTTGGCCTCAAATGTGCCAATTCCCACCTTTCAGAGTTCATCAAGAATGGGATTTCAGTGGTCGGTCTCCTTCAGGTCTTGGACTTCTCATTTCCGCATCAGTTTGTAAAGAGCCTAACTTTCCAACCTGCCTTCAAATTTGGGCCTAAAATCCTCCGGCTATGGAAGTGGCATTAGAGGCCTTCAGAAATGACGGATGCAGGTGTTTCAGTGACTCCTGGTGTTATCCATGGTTTGGAATGCACAGGTTCCGAGAATTCTGCATGTGTGTGTACACACATCTACAACCCGGGTGAGCGCCCTGTGCCACTCAGCGATGGCATACCTAATCATGTCACTTCCTAGTCACCTGCCCCACCCAGCCTCATGAATCCCCTTTTGTTGTCATGTTTCTATGTAGTTTTTATGGTAATTAACTTTCCTCTGTGCGTGTCTAATTTCCCAAAGATATATAGTCAGCTATTCAAGACAGGGACTATGTTTATCATTGTTGATTTCCTTCCATTGCTACGTTTATCAATGGTGGCTTGATTAAGTAAACATTTCTCCTGTGTTCCTGATATTCAGAGATTTCCCAGTGGTGGGGGGTTGCGGGCAAGCACTAAATGGCCATTTATGAAAGACGTGGGAAGAACAGTCCCTGGAGTGAATCTCATGCTGTAAACACAATGCCTTTTTCTGGGGAAGTGCATGTTTTACCTTAATTGCAAACTGATTTGAAATGTAAGTATCTCAATAGTTGACATACGATTGAGGGGTCATTTCCCCTCAAAATGCTTTATAATAGGACAGTTGCCATAACTACTGGGGGCGCTATTTTCAGTAGAATTCTTATGCTTATGAATTTACCAGAGGAGAAGAATGAGTTCAAAAGTGAGAACTTCAAAGCCGCATATTGAATTTAGACGAACTGTCTAAATGTAGGGATCATACTCTCTATCTACAGGATGCTTAAACAGAGGAGTTTGTACAGAGTTGCTACAGAGGCTGATTGTCTAACAGAGGGTAGAAAAAGAGCTTTGAACCCAGGGTGCCCAATTAAGAATTAGGGAACATGCAAATATGAAGTAGCACAAGAAACTCTGAACTTTCTTAAAGTTTTGAGAGGGATTTAAGACAGAGTTAAGTTTGTTCCATGCCAGTTCCTCCTGAGACTCATGCTAAGCTCTAGGTCTGGGATGGCAGGCGTGTGCACATGATCTATAGTACTACCTTCCCACACCTCTACAGACATCACTAATTGATCACGGCATCTTGTTCCCCTGAGCCCAGATAGAGCCTCGAAACCGTCAATGCAGTGTGCAGGCTGAGACCGGCAAGCAGGCAGAGTTGGTATTCCAGAGAAAACCTACTTGTCATTTCTGATCTAGGTAACAGTGAAGGTATTTCCTGGTGGGAAGACTAGAATCAACATCACTTCTCAGCCCCCTTCCAGCCCTGCACTGAAATAAAAAACAGCGAGAAGTATGGTTGCACAACGTGTATTTAAATGAGCTTCCAAGGGCTGTTTCTGACTCTCTGACCTAAGGGTTATAGATTGGATGGGCTGTCACGGATGGCAGAGAAAGTTACATCAAATCACCAACACTGGTCTCCTATTACATCCTCCTTCCTCCCAAAAGGTGGAGGATGGTAGAAAGTAAGGTGCAAAATTTTTGTCTTTTTTAATCAATAAAAAATATAGATAAAATTTTTTTCTTTTTTTTTCTTTCCTTCCTTTCCTTTCCCTTCCTTCCTTCCTTCCTTCCTTCCTTCCTTCCTTCCTTCCTTCCTTCCCTTCCTTCCCTCCTTTCCTTCCTTCCCTTCCTTCCCTTCCTTCCCTTCCTTCCTTCTTTCTTTTTTTGAGACAGAGCCTTGCTCTGTCACTCAGGCTGGAGTGCAGTGGCATGATCTTGGCTCACTGCAACCTCTGCCTCCCGGGTTCAAGCGATTCTCCTGCCTCAGCCTCCTGAGTAGCGGGACTACAGGTGCCTGCTACCATGCCCGGCTAATTTTTGTATTTTTAGTAGAGATGGGATTTCACCATGTTGGCTAGGCTGGTCTCGAACTCCTGACCTCAGGTGATCCACCCGCCTTGGCCTCCCAAAGTGCTGGGATTACAGGTGTGAGCCACCGTGCCTGACCGAATTATTTTCTTTATTCATAGTGACACTGTTCCTCTTCTGCATAAACTTCAAGTAGAAAAAAACAGGATTGTCTAGAAGGTAAGAATGGGTTTTATTTAAAACCAGGTGCTTGGGAAATCAAATTTAAAATTTGACCTACTTAAATTACTCAGTGAAAAATATAAAAAATAGGTCACAGAGTTCTCCACCTTCCAAACGCAGCCTTCCTTCAGGGTTTGCCGCGTGCTCACTGGGAGTGTGGTAAAAAATGCAAAAACACTGTGATGTTCACTGGAAAGCAGGACACTCAATGGGCTTTGCTTATGCCATACAAAGAAGTGGAAGGCGGCTCATCACAGGAGCGAGACTTTATAGTAATCCAGTTGCCATGGGGCAGAGTGCAGAAACACCAGATGAGCTCCCTCCAGTGGTGGCTGGGGTGTCCTGCATTGGAGAGCACCTTCCCTCTGGGGCAACTGATTCATTCTCAGACATAACTCAACCCAGAGCATCCCAGTATCTGAGGTCAGGCTGATGTTTTGTTCAAGAGGCTGGATGTGAAATGGGGAACCTCCTGTATTAATAAGTCTTATATTTTTACTATCATGCAAGCTGCATTATTTTTTATGACAGGTTATAGAAAAATGACACTGACTGCCTACTCTGTGCCAAGAAGTATTACGGAGCAGAAGTGGAAGTAGCAAGGGTTTTGATGCCAGAAAGACCTGGATTCGAAACCAAACCTGTACCTTACCAGCTGTGGATTTTGGCAAGATTACTGCACCTCTCAAAGACCCAATTTCCCCTTCAAAAAATGGCCTTTCAGCATTGATGGAAGGGTTCAGTGAGGTAACATGTATGGCTCACAGGAGTGGCTGACACTTGGTAGGCAAATTAAGAGATGCTCCCTTACAAAATTTCAAACTGAATCTCTAATCTGACTTCAAGGGCTAATAAAATAAAGAAATGCCATAGGTCTCAAACACGCACACACAAACACTAGCAATCACCAGACGTATGTCAAATCATACTAATGGAAAGATTTCATTTTTTCTTCTTCCAGTCTTTTCTGGTGTGGGAGGGAGTTGGTTGTGATTGGTCAGGTATGAAAGTGGAGCGTTTTCTGTCTCCGCATGTCTCTCTTCTTCCTAAGGCTTACGGGAGCAGAACATTGTGCATTCAAGCTTCTATGTAAAATTAATTAAAATGTTTGTACAAATTGACTATTCCTGTTTTACTAAATCTAGTAAATGGAAGCTCTAAGACTCCCACAGAAGAAAAATAAATTACCACAACCACTAATAACTGACAAGTTAACAGGCTGATGACAAAAAAATGACAGAATTTAGATTCACCTAAATGGTATAAAGCTCATTTTAATGATCCAGCTGAAGCTCCCCCGCCCTCCCAGCCCCCACAAAGTTCTCTGTAAGGGATGAGATGAATTATCAGTGTTATTTACTCAGTGGGAAGTAACAGGATAAGCCACCTGTCCACTTGGAGCTTGCAGTAAAGAGAATACGTGGAGAAAAGTTAAGGATATTGGAGAGGCTCAGTCATAAAAGCAGAGGGAAAATGCCTACATCTGCACAAATAATTTGTGGGCTGGACTAGATGTGTAGAGGGAATTTCAAATAATGTATTTAAAAAATTATTTGAAGTCTGTTTTATACTTATTTCATTTTATTACTATTATTATTATTATTATTTGGAGACATGGTCTTGCTCTGTCACCCAGGCTGGAGTGCAGTGGCAGGATCACCATTCACTGCAGACTCTACCTCCCTGACTCAAGCAATTCTCCTGCCTCAGCCTCCAGAGCATCTGGGACCACAGGTGTGCACCACCATGCCCAGCTAATTTAAAAAAAAAATTCGGTAGAGACGGGGTCTCTTTATGTTGCCCTGTCTGGACTCGAAGTCCTCAACTCAGGTGATCCTCCTGCCTCAGCCTCCCAAAGTGCTGGGATTATAGGCATGAGCCACTACACCCAGCTGAAGTCTGTTTGAAAATTTCTTTGGAAAAGAGAGGTGAAAATACTTGAAGCTAGTACTCCAGGCAAATCGTCAAAATAGCACTAATAGTTGGTTGCCTTATATCCCAGTTAGTCAGCAATAGTGATGAGTAACTCACATGGGTTAGTAGCTTGGTTAGGTGGTAGAGGATAAGTGATGGAGAAAAGAAGATGCATTGATCCTCCTGAAGCAATTGAGGATGTAATATTTAGGTCATGGAGGCCAGGCAAACAAAGCTCGGTGACCCCTCAAACCAAAACTCAAAAGGCAACCCCACTGGCTTTTGAGGTTGTGGACTTAGCTTGGTGCTGAGCAAACCAGTGTCAGAAAGGTGAGTTTCCCTTCTAGCAAGATCCCTGCAATTGGCAATCCATCTGGTAGAAAAGTAATAAAGTTTGACCCCCCCCCCGCCCACTGCACACTGTATTCAAAAATAAATTCCATACTATGCAGCAATAAAAAGGAATGGGATCATGTCCTTTGCAGGGACATGGATGGAGCTGGAGGCCATTATCCTTAGCAAACTAACGAACAGAAAACCAAATATTGTATATTCTCATAAGTAGGAGCTAAATGATGAGAACACATGGACACATACAGGGAAAAAACACATACTGGGACCTTCTGGAGGGTAGAGGGTGGGAGGAGAGAGAGGATCAGGAAAAATAACTAGTGGGCGCTAGGCTTAATACCTGAGTGATGGAATAATCTGTACAACAACCCCCCATGACACAAGTTTACCTATGTAACGAACCCACACTTGCACCCCTGAACTTAAAGTTAAAAAAAATTCCATACAGATTAATGACCTAAACAGAAAAACAAAAACTACCAAAGTATTTGAAAAAATACTGGAGACTAATTTTATTTTCCTGGGAGGGAGATATGTAAGACATAAATTCTAGAAACCATGAAGGAACAGAGGATCAGATTTGATTATAAAGAATTAATATCTTCTCTGTGACAAAGGATACCCTAAGCAAAATTAAGGGACAAGCAACTCTGGGAAGAAATATTTTTTTCTCATGTTTTACAGCATAACGTTTGATATCTGAAATACGCAAAGAACTCTAGCAAATTAATAAACAGATGAATGAAAACCTAGGCAAAGCACATATCAGAAATAATATAAGTTGCCAATAAAGGTAAGACAAGATACTCAGCTTCCTTCAAAATTAAGTAAGTACAGATAAAAATGATAATGAGAAATATTTTTGGCTTATCTGATCGGGGAAAAAAATAAGGCTGCTTACACCCAATGCTGCCATGGCTGAGGGGATGGGCTCTCTCCATCCCAGTGGATGGCAGCAAATCAAATCTAGTTTTCAGGGAGATGATTTGTCACTCTGTGGACAGCTCCCTGGCTCACCGTGCCCAAGCAGGAAGTCTGTTGACCTTGGCATCTCAGTTTTCCTGACCTATTAAATGGGCAGAGCAATAAAGGACTGTGTATGTAGGGAAGGAGAGAGAGAGAGGAAGTTGGAAAGAGAGCTAGGAGTGATTATGAAATACAAATGCAAAGATCACCAGCCATCCTGACTGTGATGCTCATCTCTGACCTGAACAGCCCTCCCCCAACCCCTGCCACCGTCCTGCCCAGAGTACTCAGACGCTTTAGTTGGTTTCAGTGGGGGCAAGAGCCGGCAGGACCCCCGTGAAGAGAGGAAACCAGATGGTGCATTCTGACAGATGGGGTCAGAGTCCCCGGCTCAGAGGGCCAAAGTTCAGCTGCACCAACTTCCTCATTCCCATTCTGTCAAATGGCACATTAATAAGCAAGAAAGTGATTCAGGGAAGAATTTCCAGAAGGACAAAAAACTCATCAGGTGTGTCAAATCTCTGACATTCAGGAGCCATGTGGGGAAAGAAGCACACGCTGACTTAAGCACGAAAGTATGGATGCTTTAATTAATCCGGGGTGAATTTAATTGCTTTAGTTAAGTGGAAATCGGGTTAAAAATGATGCAGAGCATGCTGGGGTGTGTTAAAAACATGACATATGAGTTGGATGAATCGATAAATTAAAAGTGCACAGATGTTTTAATTAAACCCAGGGAAGTTAACGAAGATCGCAAGAGACTTTTAAGCCTATGATTAATTCAATTCATTTAAAATACCTGTAGAGATATGGGGATGCCTCCATTTTGAGAGTTATAAAAGTTCTCAATCGATAAGTACTTAAGCTGTTCTTTAAAAAAGTCTCAGTTTTTGTGTGTGTATGTGTGTGTGAGACTGAACAGCATTAATTACATAATGAATATTTAAATTCTTCGGAGTACACAGTAAGCTTTTCTGCAGCTCAAGTCCAGACTGAAGGAGGTTTACGCTTTTGTTGTAATTGGAGCATCAAGATGAATTTGCAAGTTGTTGGTGTCCTATTACCCGCAAGCATGGAAGCTTCTTGAAGGCATGGGGGGTCTGTTTCATCCAATGCTGTCTCTCAGCAGGCAGAATGGTTCTGGGCATGGTGTAGGCTTACGGGAGTTAGACAGCCTGAATTTCCTTTCTTCCTTCCCTTGTTTTTGCCAGCTGTGTGACTATGGACACTTTGCTTTCAGCCTCGATTGCTTTATCTTTGAAGTGGGATAAGAATTCTGCAGGACTTACCCCATAGTGTTTCCAAAGGGAGGAAATGAGATAATGATGTAAAGTGCTGTGCACAGAGCCTGGCACATAGTCATCACTAGATAGGATTTTATTATCACTGTTTTCACTGGGAGAAAACTATTCCAACTGGTCACTTTGTAGAGAGACAAGACAGGGTAAAGCACCCTTTCCCTGTCCCCCATCCCAGCTGACCTCTTTCTAAAGACTGGTTTATTTCCCAGCACGAAAGTTTTTCCCATAAACCACAGGATTCCCCTAGCTCTGTGTGCATCACATGTACAAGTTTCCCTAGGGTTAGACATTCTGCCTTCCAGGGCTGCTCTGCTACTTATCTAGTAGTTTAAAAAGGAAAAAAAAAAAAAAAAAAAAGAAGGGTTCTTAATCTCAGAAGCAATTTAACTTGGGGGAGGGCTGACGGACTGAAGCCCCGCGAAGTGATTTCTGTTTGGTAACGCAACTGCCATGAGAAACATCAGGAGCTGCCGCGTTTTGGAGCTTGCAGGCATGGACTTGCACGTGGCCACCAAATAATGTGCACTGCAACTTCCAAACTGGGGAGGAAAGGGCTCCTCCATGCCTGCCTGGCAAGCTAGGGGGATGAGAGGTCAAAAGTGATGCGACTGCCTCGATCTCTGTTCTCTTTGGGCAGTCCAAGCAAAGTTCAAGGGCAATTTATCTAGACTCAAACTTGAATGTGCATGGGAGTCATCTGGGGACCCTGTTAGAATGCAGCTTCTGACTCAGAACGTCTGGCGTGAGGCCTGAGCATTTGGATATTTAACAAAATCCTGATGCTAGTACCCCAGACCTACTGAATCAGAAATTCCGGGTGGAGCCCAGCAATCTGTGTGTTAACAGATGATTCCAACAAGGGCTCCAGTGTGGGTATCACTAATCCAGTGGGTAAGAACATAGTTCAAAAACCATACCTGGGCAAGGGTCTTGAATCTCTCTGAGATTCAGTTTCTTTAGCTGTGAAACGGAGACGATCATGACGTATGACACAAGGATGAAATGAGAGGATTCACTTAAAACCCTTTGCACAGTGCCCAGCATGTAGTTGATCTTCAATAGGCGGTGGCGATTCTTCTTACGCTATTTTATCAAAAGTGACTTTGCCAAGGGTGTCTGCTCAGTTGCTGTCTGCAAAGCATATACCAAGTGCACCTGCTTCAAGCTCCTGCTTCTGGGCCTTTGCTGCCAAAGAATCCCTGTATGTTTCTTTAGGTCAGGGGTGGGAGGAAAGAGAGGTGGGATCTGGCCATCCAGCTGCAGTGTGCTGAGGGACGTTCTTTTGGGCAGCAGTCATGGTCCATGGCCTGTCTGCATTAATGAGGATTTCAGGGCAAGATGGGGTGGTAGAAGGAGATGGGTATGAATGATGGAAGGTTTGAAGGAGCTAGGATGCAGCCCTGGCTGTCTCAGGAAGGACAGCTGAGACCCGAGCCTCCTTCATGGAGAGAGAAGGAAGCTCTGAGGGAAGTATTCCTGGTGACGGGGAGGACCAGCTACCCTCAGGGAGGGGACTAAGAGCTTTGTCATTGTTCTCCGCGGTGCAGAGGAAGATGTCTATTAAAGGGAGACAGGAGAGCATATTGTGAGACAGAGCCAGAGGGGGCTCAGAGAGCCCCAGCTGCTGGCAGTACTTATTGTTGGGGACTTCAGGAGTGGTCACACTGCCCTGGATTTGGGGGGTCTTCCTGCCACATCTCTCTTTTGGATGGCTATCAGGGCCACAAGCTTCAGAACCAGGCAGACGTGGCCCTGCTATGTAACCTTGGGGAAGTAGCTTACTTTCTCTAAGTCTTTGTTTCTTTTACTGTAAAATAGGAATAATAACAATGAATGATTGCAAAGGCTTGTTGTGAAGGTGGATACTAGCTAACATTTAATACGTGCCAAGCATGGTTCTACAAAGTTTCCATGTATTTACTTTTTGGACCTCACAGCAATGTAATAGGTAATATGGCTGTTGTCTCCATTTTACAGATGAGAAAACCGAGGCTCAGAGGGGTTAAGTAATTTTCTAAAATGGGTTCAGTTAACTAGAGCAGCAATAATTCAAACCTAGCAAATTCAAACTCTACAGCTTTCCTTCTTAATCACTTGGCTATTATGACATAATGCACGTAAATTGTGGAATAAATGGCATTTCTTTTCTGTAAACTTTTCTTTCATTCTTTTTTCATTCCTCCTTCTTTCCTTCCTTTGCTCATGCCCTCCCTCCATGCCTCAAAGGTGGCTGATTTATTGCTGCATGATTGATCCGACAAATTAGAACCTTGTTCTTTAGCACTTGCTTTGGTTCTTGTGACATTTTCAAGCCATATTTCATCTTTATAAGCCTTGCTTCCTCTATTCAAGTAACCAGACATTTAGCAGGCACATATTTTGTCCTAGGTACCAAACTAAATACAGGGAGGTACAAAGGGGACTGCTGGAAGCTTGTCATCAGCAGGAGAACCACCTGGATAGGAGATGGCCGGCATGTGGCAGGGGCCACTGCTGCGATGTTGCCAAGCCCAGGTGACTGCAGGGTCATATCTGAGGGTGCTTCAGGGAGGTGGTGACCTGTGAGCATGGCTTTCCATGATGAGCAGCAGTTTGATAGGAAAGGCTGGGATTGATGAGAACATTCCAGCTGAAAAATCAGCCTGAGCAAAGAGGAAGAAGCAGGGCCTCACACTTTATGAGGGGTGACTACTGGGAACTTAGAGTGAGTGTTCAGGCCTCAGTGGGAGGTGACAGTGCGAGAGCAGTTTAGATCGTGGATGACCTTGGACATCATTCTAAGAAATGTGATCTTCATTCTCGGAATGTGGCCCCTGACCACCTGCATCAGACCCCCCCCCCAGGAGGCTTGCTAAAAAGGGGTCTTCCTGAGCTGCACACCAGTCCTACAAGTCAGATTGGCTGGCATGGGGGAGAAACCTGGAAATACACATTGGTAACAATCTCTTCAGATCCATGTCTTTAAACCAAAGCTTTTATAACCATTGTGGGAGGTGACTGGGAGCCACTGAAGGTGTTTGAGGACAGTAGTGACATGCCCCTAAGAGCTTTGGGAGAACTCTGGAGAACTCTGGAGGTGGGGAGGAGAAATACCATCATGGAGAGGTTGGTAGCCGAGTGAGCAGGGCAGTGGCTCCCACAACTTAATATTTATATAGAAAAATCCAGCTGTAAGGATAGAGAGGAAAAATGGAGCAGAAATTGTTGGAGGTCATCGGAACAGGAGTTGGCAGGTGGTGGGAAGAGGAAGGTGATGGAACGTGCCTGGCGGCTGGGAAGAGAGAGGGTAACAGCATCAGGCTCTGAGGTCAGAAGATTTCTCTCTCTCTTTCTCTCTCTGTCTCTTTCTCTCACCACTGCACAGGCTGGAGTGCAGTGGCAAAATCTCTGCTCATTGCAACCTCCACCTCCTTGGTTCAAGCAATTCTCCAAACTCACCCACCTCAGTAGCTGGGATTACAGTCTTCACTACCATGCCCAGCTAATTTTCATAGTTTTTGTAAAGATGTGATTGCACCACGTTGCCCAGGCTGGTCATGAACTGCTGGGCTCAAGTGATCTGCCTGTCTTGGCCTCCCAGAGTGCTGGGATTACAGGCGTGAGCCACTGCACCTGGCCAGGGGCTTTTGTTTCAAACTCTGGCTCTCCCACTTTCTACCTGGGAAACTCCTGTTTCCTCTCCTGAAAAGTTTACTTGGGTTCAAACTCAGAATTCTAGTGTGTAACCATCGCACAAGCTGCCTGCAAAGACAAAATTCCTTTATGCCTCACCTCTGAGGTCAGTCTCATGGCTAGTCTAGTGTTGAAAGTCCAGGCCAGACTGCCTGGTTGGAATCCCAACAATTCCACTTACTTGCTCAGTGATTTTGAGCAAGTTACTTAAACTCTGTGTGCCTCATTTTCCACATCTATAAAAGGGGATGATAATCGTCTATAAATGAGGGCTACTGATGATTCAATGACATAATTATGTAGTTGTTCAGCACGGTGGTTGGCGTATATAGTAAGAACTCAATAAATGCCAGCTCTGATGATGATGATGATGATGATGATTTGTTTTTAGTGCTGGCATGTAGCCATGAGGAATTTGGTGGTGGGAACATTTGCCAGTTAACGGGAGAAAAATGGCAAGATTCCTGTTTTTTTCTTTTTTAAAGCTCCACAGAAGCTGGGTAGGAGCTGAAACCAACCCCCAGAGAGAAGACTTTATGTTCCCGTGGTTGTGGCATTTCTGGGCCTCCAGTGACAGCTGTTCAGCAGCAGGAGTTGTCATTTCTAATAGCTATTAAATACGCATTACCTAACAACTACGGCTCTGGTGTGTTTTCTGCTGCAGGTTGAGGCCTCAAGCTCAGCCCAAATAAGCCATCTGAGAAGCCAGTGTCAAAACAGAAAAAAACCCAGACACCTCAGCGCTCTTCTGAAATGCAAGGCTGCTTTACAAACAATCCGAGGAAGCACCTGAAGTTAAAGCCTTCACATAAAAGCAAATACAAGGGAAAGGAATAATAATTAAAAAACCTCTAGCCCACAACAAATAGCATTAAAGTAATGAGAAAACCATGCAAGGGAAATAGTAATAACAAAAAACCGTAGAATAAACAATAACTTGAATAGTAAACACAATTATTGCTGGACAGGAGAGGTGCCTGATGGAAAATGTTACAAATTGCCAGGAAAGAAATGCCATTTTTCCTGAGGCCCTGGATCTGAACAGCTTGCCTATTAAGTTGCTCAATTAATGCAATTCTATACTATTCAGTCTTCTTGGTGGAATTTTCTCCGTATTCCCTGATGCTAATTGGCTATGTTCATTGATTCACAACACTGTGAATTTTTTAAAAACTTTGAAAACTTCAAATGTTCATGATGCCTTACAGGCATCCTCATGACCCGGTCTCTCACGGCCCAGGAGACCAGGTGCACCTGTGTGATAAGGCCGGCCTCTGCCCCAGGTTCCCCTTCCTGCCTTCCCTGACTGTGATCTACTGACATTCAAATGCACCAGTAAAATACCCCCATGCCTTTTGCTCCACCCTGACTCAGCAATAAAGGCACTTGGCCACCAGCTCTCACTTTCTCTCAGCTCCCACCTGCCTGGCTGAACCCAATCCCTTGGAGCTGGTCCTACACAGCCCTCTGCATGTGTGCTGTGGCTCCCTCTCTAGAATCTGTGAGTATAATAAGTCCCTGAATTTCACATGCCTCTCCCAGCGTGAGTTCCACAGTTGGAGTGATCCTTAAAGACACCACCAGGGGAACTTACTCCCCCATTTATAACACGCACATTTTATTGCTTTATAAACTTCCTTATTTTCTCCTTTGGAATGTCTATGGCATTCAAAGTCCGTATCACAGTATTTTGGACTCCCATTTATGTTACCCCCTTGCTTTTAATACAAACTGGTCAGACCAGAAGCTCTCAGAAGGCAGAGCCTGTGGTTCCCTCGCTCCTCCCTCTAGTCTGGCTCTTAGTGCAGTACCTGTCTCACAGTGGGCAGATCACACACATTCACTGAATGTACGAATAAGTTCTGTCCCCTCGACTGACTCAGGACAATGTGTTAGATCCATTCCATGTTATTTCCATGGCAGGTCAGTTTCATTTTGCCATTGGATCCTCTCAGGGCCCCCGAGATTGTGAGGGCTGCGGAATAAACGCTCTTGCAAACGCATGCTGACTGATTCCTCCATTCACTGCAAGGATGTCTTCAGATGCCTGATGCAGACTGGCAGGTTTATAAGAAGACAAGGAGCTGCCATTTGCACTGCACATCTGAGGGCACGGGAGGCGCAGTGTGAGGTCAAGAGAGTAAATCCGCATTTCTGTCACTTGGACACATACCCGGTCGCTTGGATGTGATGGGAGTCTCTCTTGCTAACGTGGCAAATTCTCCCCCTGGCAGGAGGGCCTGAGTCTGCCGGCTGCCTGCAGTCACAGAAACTGGCAGAGCCAGGGAATTCCGGGCACAGCTGTCAGTGAAGGAACAAAGGTGAATGCGAATTTGTGATGAGGGAGGACCTTATGCTTGGGGCCTTTTAAGAGTTTTTATCAAGAAAGAAGGACAGGCCTGGCTTGGTGGCTCACACCTGTAATCCCAGCACTTTGGGAGGCCGAGGCAGGTGGATCACTTGAGATCAGGAGTTTGAGACCAGCCTGGCTGACATGGTGAAACCTCGTCTCTATGAAAAATCCAAAATTAGCTGGGTGTGGTGGTATGCACTGGTAATCCCAGCTACTCTGGAGGCTGAGGCAGTAGAATCGCTTAGAACCTGGGAGAAGGAGGTTGCAGTGAGCTGAGATTGCACCACTGTACTCCAGCCTGGGTGACAGAGCAAATCTCTGTCTCAAAAAACAAACAAACAAACAAACAAACAAACAAACAAACAAACCAGAAAAGAAAGAAGGACACCGATCATGGCCCACAGCCGGGAGATGGGGTGCCCTGTTCTGGGGAGCAGGAGACTCAGGTGCACCTGTCTCGGCACTTGCTAGCCAATTACCTCATTCTGTTGGCTCAGGGTTACTCCCTGCCAACAGTCAGCTGCTTCTTAAGCCCAAAAGTTGTTTGTGAGTGACAACTTGTCATAGCCACTGCTAAATTGTGCAGGACCAATGGGATCGAGGCTTCCCACGTCTCTGCCTTATGTGTGAGGGGGAACAAAGGCACACACACTCACACACACACATACTCACTTATACAACCACATTTTACTTTTTTTCTGATTAAAATCAGAAGTGCATCTCTGATGTAATGCACTGAGGAGGGCATAGCATCTTGCTAAAAATGCATAACGTCAATCCAATCACCGGAAAATATCAGACAGACCCATACCGAGAGACACTCCACAAAATACCTGACTAATGCTCTTCTAAAGGGTCAAGGTCATAAAAGACAAGGAGTAACGAGGAACTGTCACAGACTGGTCAGGTTAAAGGGATGAAGGGGGCGTGACGATTAAATGCAATGTGGGATCCTGGATGAGAAAGAAAGGGCAAAGTTAGGAAAAGTCTGTAAATTAGCTAATGGCTTTGTATGGATGTTAATGTCTTGGTTTTGATCTTTGAGTTACGGAAATTTAAAATGTGGACATAGGGGAAGCTGGGTGCGCTCTGTATGGAAACTCTGTGTTCTATCTGTGCAGCTTGTCTGCAAGTCCCAAATGATTTCAATACAAAATGTTTACAAAATTGTAGTGGGGAGGATTGGTTAAAGCTGGAAACTGTCATTCTCAGCAAACTATCGCAAGGACAAAAAACCAAACACCGCATGTTCTCGCTCATAGGTGGGAATTGAACAATGAGAACACATGGACACAGGAAGGGGAACAGCACACACTGGGGCCTGTTGTGGGGTGGGGGGAGGCGGGGAGGGATAGCATTAGGAGACATACCTAATGTTAAATGATGAGTTAATGGGTGCAGCACACCAACATGGCACATGTATACATATGTAACAAACATGCACGTTGTGCACATGTACCCTAAAACTTGAAGTATAATTAAAAAAAATAGAATTTACCTCATATCATTGATATGAAGACAAATAAGAGTATCTATTAAGTACTTTGCACAATATCTGATGCATATTGAGTACTTAAAAGCTATTGTTATTTAAAAACAACTGGAAGTATAGGCTTAACATTTCAGAAATAAATTCAGTGCTAATCATTGGATTTTTGCACTTGAACCTGGTACAGTTAAACCTGTGTGCTTGTGTTTACTTGTTTCTCATTTCATCCCACAGGTGTGGTCAAGGAATTTTGTTATTTTAGGAGCCAATAGTTATGAGTTGAGGTGTTCAAGGCTTGAGTCTCTCCAGACGCCAGGCTTATGTGTGCTCAAGTCCCCTTTTGGCATTCTTGATGTGAAATAAGTGTGTAAGAAGCTGACTTGGCTTGGATGCTAATCAAAGTGAAAATATTACTCTCTAGATAGGGTTAATGGGGGCGCTAACATTTCCTATAGTTTTTCCTTTTTCAATTTTCTGGTTTTGACATTGTTCTTTTTAAAATAAATTTATCGCTGGGCGAGGTGGCTCACGCCTGTAATCCCAGCACTTTGGGAGGCTGAGGCGGGTGGATCACCTGAGGTCGGGAGTTCAAGACCAGCCTGACCAACATGGAGAAACCCCGTCTTTACTAAACATACAAAATTAGCCATTCATGGTGGCACATGCCTGTAATCCCAGCTACTCAGGAGGCTGAGGCAGGTGAATCACTTGAACCCAGGAGGCGGAGGTTGCGGTGAGCCGAGATTGCACCATTACACTCCAGCCTGGGCAACAAAAGCAAAATTCTATCTCAAAAAAAACAACAACAAAACGCACACACACACACACAAAAACAAAAAAACTATGGAACTATAATGAATTGACTTGAAGAAACATGTTAAGTAATTAATAATACTTCTGTCCCATGAAATTGCCAGAAATAATAAAGGTGGTACATGAAAGATCAAAGACTGGGAAAGAAGGCTTTAGAATGAGGGGAAATTTCACTCTGTTAACAATGAAGTAGCTTAAACTGTGGCCATTTAAAAAAATACTAAGGGAAAAACATCTATAGGGCTAAAAGGTAGAATCCTACTCCTAACACTCTTCAACCAACTTCACCCAGAATAAATGGAGAAATCGGGGAAAAGCAATTTTATTCTTTAAACACTTCAATTTTGTCCACTGTGTGCAACAGCTAAATTAAAGTATACAAGTTCAAAGCCCGATTTCAGGAGCAGCGACTGAGTATGGAGGAATAACTACTCTTAACATCCACTCAATATTTGTTTCACAAGGATCAATTATATACCATGGCTAATGCACACTTGCAGTGTGCGCCCTGCCACACTGCAGGTGGTGAATGCAAAACACACACCGAGAGTCCTTTTAAGCAGCTAAATGGACACCCCATTACAGATCCATAATGTAGAATGGACGTTCATCTGCAAATGGATTTAGAGCAAAGGGTTCTTAAACGGCCGGGGTACTTAGGTTTAAAAGGCCAGTCACTGGATGTGCAGTCGGAGCACACATGGTTTTTAGGATTAATAATACATCGATGTGTGTCAGTGTTAATATACATTTACAGCTCACGGGCCGTGCGGCTGAGGGTTCAGCCCATTTGCAGCCACATATAAAAGGCCGACTCTGTCCTTCTTCTCATTAATGTCTTCACTCCCAGGAAAATTAGATTATGCAAGGAAAGCCATTCAAATGACACTGAGATTTTCCTTCCTTTAAAGCCTCCGCTAGGAAAAGCTGTTCTCTGTTCTCCTTGCTCCATCAGTGACCCTCAGAGCCTGAGGGAGGCGCTAGGAGGAGGTCCAGTCTCCACAGTTCACTTTGCTGATGTGCCCCCTGCCATTGACAGAGTGCACTAAGCCTGGCACAGCCCAGAGAGCTGTCGGGTGGCTTCTGGCCTGACACAGAGCCCTGAGAGCTGTCGGGCAGCATCTTGTCTTTTTTTTTTTTTTTTTAATTATACTTGAAGTTTTGGAATACATGTGCAGAATGTGCAGGTTTGTTACATAGGTATACATATGGTTTGCTGCACCCATCAACCTGTCATCTGGTTTGCTGCACCCATAATAGTTTGCTGCACCCATCAACCCATCATCTACATTAGGTATTTCTTCTAATGCTATCTCTCCCCTAGCCCCCAACCCCCTGACAGGCCTCACTGTGTGATGTTCCCCTCCCTGTGTCCATGTGTTCTCATTGTTCAACTCTCACTTATGAGTGAGAACATGCAGTGTTTGGTTTTCTGTTCCTGTGTTAGTTTGTTGAGAATAATGGTTTCCAGCTTCATCCATGTCCCTGCAAAGGATATGAACTCATCCTTTTTTATGGCTGCATAGTATTTCGTGGTGTATATGTGCCACATTTACTTTATCCAGTCTATTATTGATGGGCATTTGGGTTGGTTCCAAGTCTTTGCTATTGTGAATAGTGCTGCAATAAAACATACGTGTGCATATGTCTTTATAGTAGAATGATTTATAATCCTTTGGGTATATACCCAGTAATGGGATTGCTGGGGCAAATGGTATTTCTGGTTCTAGATCCTTGAGGAATCGCCACACTATCTTCCACAATGGTTGAACTAATTTATACTCCCACCAACAGTGTAAAGGCATTCCTATTTCTCCAGATCCTCTCCAGCATCTGTTGTTTCCTGACTTTTTAATGATCACCATTCTAACTGGCATGAGACGGTATCTCATTGTGGTTTGCAGATGACGTGATTGTATATTTGGAAAACCCCATCGTCTCAGCCCAAAATCTCCTTAACCTGATAAGCAACTTCAGCAAAGTCTCAGGATACAAAATCAATGTGCAAAAATCACAAGCATTCCTATATACCAACAATAGACAAACAGAGAGCCAAATCATGAGTGAACTCCCATTCACAATTGCTACGAAGAGAATAAAATACCTAGGAATCCAACTTACAAGGGATGTGAAGGACCTCTTCAAGGAGAACTACAAACCTTGCCTTCTTTTTAAGTTTATCGAAGCTTTCACCATACTGTGTGACAGAAGAGATGCCTGTAAGCGGTGTCATTTAGGAATTAAGTCTCACGCACGTGCCATCAGACCCAGAACTTTAAGTACAGAAAGCCCCCTTCACTTATCAGCATTCGTAAGCCTGGAACCCTCACATCTTTGAAATATTGAGACTATTTGAAATAGTATTTTTCAGAGCAATTGCGGTGAGGGTGGGAAAGGAGAGGCACTATTTAGTATTTACAGAGCAGCTTTATTAATGATTGTCTTGCAGAAAGTCAAGGCAGGAAGGTCTTTTAATAAAGCACACATGAAAATAACGGGAAGATTAGTTAAACATATAAATAAATAAAATCGTATGCATAATTAAATAAGAAAGTCAAGCCCTTTGAGGCCTTATTGTGCCCTGCTAAGAGCTTTGTGTGTGTTATCTTACACTATCCTCACAATAAACCTAGGAAGTAACTCCCCACTTTTCCAGATGAGGAAACCAAGGTTCAGAAATGTTAAATCAGTCACTTAATGTCAGATACCCAATGGCAGAGCTGGGATTGGAACTCAGGATTGCCTGACTCTGCAGCAAGTGCACTCAACTGCCCCTTCACTATTTTTCAAACTGTGATATGGCCTATTGGTGGGTGGAAAATCAGTGTAATGGGTAATAACTGGTATTAAAAAAAAACGAGGCCGGGCACAGTGGCTCATGCCTGTAATCCTAGCACTTTGGGAGGATAAGGTGGGCGGATGACTTGAGGTCAGGAGTTCGAGACCAGCCTGGCCAACATAGTGAAACCCTGTCTTTACTAAAAATACAAAAATTAGCCGGGTGTGGTGGCACATGCCTGTAATTCCAGCTACTTGGGAGGCTGAGGTAGGATAATTGCTTGAAACCAGGACAGGGAGATTGCAGTGAGCCAAGATCGTGCCGCTGCATTCCAGTTTGGGCGACAGTGAGACTCTATCTCAAAAAAATAAAATAAAATAAAAAATGAAATAGAAAAGAAACATGGAGTAAAATATCATTTTGTGAGTTTTGTTTCAATTTCCTACTTGTATTTAGACATATACCCTTGTGTGTCTATGTGTCTGTGTATCTGTGTCTGTGTCTGTGTGTGTGCCTGTGGGTAAAAGTGTGAGACGCTCTGCTCTTCACTATACCTGCCTCTGATAGAGCCATTTGAAGGTCACACTGAAGGTGTTTTGCAAGCAAGGTGTGCAGCCTCTAAATTCTCTGTTCTTGTGAGAAGCATTTTCTTTCTTATATTACCTTTCCCCCAAGAATCTCAGGGCTCCAGCTATTCTGTGCACAGCAGTGTAGATAAATTAATAATACAATTTAAAACCGATTCCACCAAGATAAATAGCGCTTCCTAGATTAAGAGTGTAGCTGGCCAGAATGAATGAAATTTACTAACCCTGAGATGCTTAATCTTCCATTACATAGAAGTTAATGATTATAAGAAAGGAGTGATGGTAATTCACTTCTGCTTTTACAGGAAATCCGACCATCTCATTTTTAGCACATCTTTCTTCTCAGCACACCTCAGTGCCAAGGATAACTGCCCTGCTCCTATAGGTACGTTGGCCAATGGTCATAAATCAAAGCCTACTCTTTACGAAGGCTTATGCCTTCTGGCATGCATGGGCTTGCAAGATGTCTCGGGGGATTTGATGGGAAGGCTACTTGGATGTCCCTTCTGTTACCCGCTCAGAGAAGCCTAGGGAGGGTCTGTTTTCCAACCATAGCAGGGAAGTGGCGGCACATACCTTTAGCACAGTCTGCTCCTAGAAATCCTGGGAAACAGTGACACACCCCGGACACACATTCACCATTCCCATGGCAGTTACGTGGACAGTCCTGCACTGAATCTGAAAAAGAGATAAATGTAGTGTTTACCTTTTCCTCTGTCTACTGGTGCAGTAATTTAACCGTCAGTAACTTGCCACTTTTAAAGACCAGTGGTAGTAATCTCAGATGCCTGTCATAGGGGATCGGTCAGCAATATGAATGAGTGAAGGAAGAGAATAGGGAGTGGTGGGGACTGGGACAGCTTGAACAGTGCTCTCCAGGTGATGGCCCCAGGCAGGAATGCAGGGCTAGTAGTGCTGTAACTTTCACTTTTTAAGAATAAACTACCAGTCTCATCAATCACAGTGGCTCACAGCTGTAATCTCAGCACTTTGGGAGGCTGAGGCAAGTGGATCACATGAGGTCAGGAGTCTGAGACTAGCCTGGCCAACATGGTAAAAACCCATCACTACTAAAAATACACACACACACACACACACACGCACACACACAATTAGCTGGACGTGGTGATGCATGCCTGTAATCCCAGTTACTTGGGAGGCTGAGGCAGGAAAATAGCTTGAACCCAGGAGGCAGAGGTTGCAGTGAGCTGAGATTGCGCCATTGCACTCCAGCCTGGGTGACAGAGCGAGACTCAATTTCAAAAACAAAACAAACAAACAAAACAAAACAATAGAAAAAATAAACTATCAGTCTGGATTTAAAAACTATGAAAGCTCCCACGTTTAAATGTTGACAAGTTTTTAAACACTGTACCCACAACCACCCCCCAACCTTCATCATCCCACTCAGTTAAGATTTGGTCTGATGTGCAGGGTATCAGTTTTTAGCCTTAGGTATAGAGAGTGATTCTTCAAAATAGGAGTAGTTATTCCTAACCTCAGATTTGTAGAGTAAAAATATTCCTTGCTTTAAGGAATTCTAATAAAAGAAAAACCCAAATGCATAGACTGCTTAAATTAGGCAGGATTTTGGAATTCTTTAAATAGGAGGTTTGCGGTTATACAAATGTCCTTTTATGCTTAGCTTTTAAGGATGTTATTTTTCATGAAAATGAATTAGTTCACATTTGGCTCTAACCTGCATCACCGTCTTATCTTGTGATTTACCTTTCTATGTGTACTCTCAAGTAATACCTTCAAAGGAATGATTTTGGAACTATTTAATGTTGATTTGGGTCTGCACAGAAATAGTCATATTCTTTAAAAATTATTACCATAATCCTAATTTTTGTCTTAAAACAAAATACATTTAGACTTTCAGGTTCCAAATTACTAAGATGAAAAGGAAAGTATAAGCCACTATTCTCAAAATGTGATGTTATATCACCCTTGGAGAGTTGGGGACTTTGACCTGGTGACATGGTATGAAAGGCTGTGAAGTCTAATTGTTCCTAATGGAGGTACCTGAGAGTGATAAAGGATGTGTTGCCTTTAAACCTGATTTCCCATTTACTCCCACTCTGGATTGAAACTTCGAATCACACAGTTTTGTTTTCTTTCTACAGTGTTTCCTTTCTCAGCTCTCATCTTCCAGAACCACACTGTAGTTGGTTTCTGGCACTCTGAGGAAAACTCAATGAGTATATTTGCTTTTTCAAAATCAGACAAAAGACCATAGGCCCCATCAAGCCAGTTTCCTTAATGTGTAACAACAATTAACATTTCAGACTGAAACTCCTTGAGGTTGGCTGTGTAAATGTCGGCTGAGAAGCATCCAGGTGGCTACCTGTTTGTTTCATTTATTCATTTATTTTTTGAATTCATCACTCATTCAAAAAGCGTTAGGTGCTTTTGTAGATCAGCAAATCAGCAATTTCACACGGTGCTGGGAGATCATTCTCCCTGGGTCTGTCATGTTTCTGAATGTCTTGAGAGCACAGGCATTGACTGCCTTAGTTCTGAACTATCTTTTCAAGGCTGTCTGTATTGGGAACAGCCTTGGGAGACAGCGATAGTGTCTCTCTCCTGAGTAAAGGGCAGGTTTACTTATTACCCAGTATAGTAAAGACAATATCTCCCTCTGGAACAAAGAATAAGCAAGCTTACTTCCCATTCTAAGAGGCTCGGGTTCAGTAAGCTCAGGATTTTTCTCCTGCAGTGCAACCCATGACATATGCACTGGCATCACCCGACCTGAGGGAGGCCCTGAGGTGTTACTCTGAGGGAACTGGGGCTTGGGGAACAGAACATGTGCTGACACTCTGGATATTGCATTGCTCTGAGTAATAAAGTCCCTTGTCTCTGACCCATGAGTCTCATGTCTTCTGATGGCATCCATGAAACTGTGTCAGGCTAACATGCTAGCTTGCAATTAGGGTAAGATCTCAGATCTGTCACATTCTTACATATGATTCAGTCTACTAACTGAGCACTTATTATATGCAAAACACTATATAACAAGGCATTGGAGATACCATGGTGACAAAGACAGATATAGTCCCCTCATATGCAAAGCCCTCATAAAGCTTTGCACAATAATAGAGAATACAAGCTAAAAAAACAAACAAATTAAATAAGCAAAAATTACAATAAGTGCTTTGAACAGAATAAGATACTGAGATGGAGTAACGAAAGGAAGCTACTTAAAGAGAATGTTCAGGGAGGGCCTCTCTACTCTATGCAGGTGACTCTGAAGGATAAGCTGAAACCAGCAAGCAAAGAGCTGAGGGAAGGGTATTCCAGGTCAGAGGAATAGCTTATGCAAAGGCTCTGGGGTGGGAAAGAGAGGAACTGAATCCAATGTGGATGCAGGGTAGCAAACAAGGGAGGGTGTGACATTAGTTGAGTTTGGAGAGATCCAGGCAGAGAGATGGATCATCCAGGGACATGTAGACCAGCGGTCCCCAACCTTTTTGCCACCAGGGACTGGTTCCATGGAAGACAATTGTTCTACAGACTGGGGCTTGGGGATGGTTTCGGAATGATTCAAGCACACACATTTACTGTGCATTTTATTTCTATTATTATTACATTGTAACATATAATGAAATAACTATACAACTCACCATAATGTCAAATCAGTGGGCGCCCTGAGCTTGTTTTTCTGCAACTAGATGGTCCCATCTAGGGGTGATGGGAGACAGTGACAGATCATCAGGCGTTAGATTCTCACAAGGAGCATACAACCTAGATCCCTCGCATGCACAGTTCACAATAGGGTTTGCCCTCCTATGATAATCTAATGCTGCTGCTGATCTGACAGGGGGCGGAGCTCAGTCAGTAATGCAAGCAATGAAGAGCAACTGTAAATAAAGATAAAGCTTCACTTGCTCACCTACTGCTCATCTCTTGCTCTGCGGCCCAGTTCCTAATGGGCCACAGACCTCATTGTGATCTGCACATGGAGGGATCTGGGTTGCATGCTCCTTATGAGAATCTAATGCCTGATGATCTATTACTGTCCCCCATGACCCCCAGATGGGATCATCTAGTTGCAGGAAAACAAGCTGAGGGCTTCCACTGATTTGACATTATGGTGAATACTGATCTGCGGCCCTAGGGTTGAGGACCCCTGCTGTAGAACATGTGGATGACTTGGGTTCTATTCTGGAACTTCTGGGTACAAATGAAACATTTAAACAGAGGAACATCATTCTCCAGCTTGCATTTTTTGAAGTCATTCCTACAGCTAGGTAGAGATTGCTTCTCACTGAGCATCTGGGTCTGGGGATGGTTTGGTGGAAATTGACATTCTTGAGGTCAAGGCTCCCTGTTCTCAAAACTTACATCTTTGGCGATCAAGCAGCAAAGGTCCAGGAAGCTCTTTGCCACCACAGTCCCATGGAAAAGGCCCGAGATCTTTGCACAGTCTCTTTGCTTGGCTGGAGGGCTTCACTTGAGGTATTTACCATTGTGTCTCAGCTCCTGGGTGTTTTCCTCACTTTCCTCAATCTGGGCTTTGTACCACTTCCTCTTTGCTCCTGTAATTCTTATATACATCTATCTTCTCTCACCAAGCTCTCGATCTGAACTGTTCATCGAGGTATTCTCAATGCTTGGTATACAATAGGTCCTTGGTAAATAGTTGCTGAAGTGTGCTTATGTGTGTGTGTGCCTGTGTGTATGTGTATGTCTATGTGTATGTGTGTCTGTGTGTGTGCATGTGTGGGAGGGTAGGAGAATCCAAAATAAACAAAAATTATAATAAAGAGTATTTTTCATTTAACTTTCCCAACAACTCATATTTAAAGTATTTTCACAGTTTCTGAGGGAAAAACAATGACGTGGCAAAGCTAAAATATAAAGGAGCTCACATTTCAATCCCCTTTCTCCAGCACTCAGTTAAATATTATTTTTAAGATATTATCAGTTTTCCTTTTTGTTTACATTTTCTTGAGGAAGAAGTGGCCTCCAGATGTGAGATCAAGCCCAGGAAATGGGATTTTATCCAAGTGGAGGCTGGCATCGTGCTTCCAGAAAGCTGCTCTGTTGTCTCGAGAAGAAACTTGTTTCTGAAAGCAGGCTGCTTCTCTCCAAAACACATCAAAAGACTTCCCTGAGTCAAAGATATATTTAGTGTGATCGCTGGTAGGCACCTGTCTAACATTTTCCTTCTGTTTCACATCACGGGGGTTTACAGCACTCCTGGCTGCTCTTGATGGAGAATGTTCTGATGATAGGAATGTGTGGGAGAACCTCTGAACCAAATAAAACACTGTTCTTTTCCCTGCATTTCAGGCCAATTACTATCATTGCTCCATCAAGATGTCTGCCCAACTATTAGGCCAATTACCTTTGACTTGCTCTTTGAGCTACAGTCCAGACAAGAGAGATCCTCTTGGGAGAATTGCTATTCCCAGCTCCAACAGGCCAGGGTGAGTGATGGCCTGGGGGAAGGGAATTTCACTACCACAATGCCTGTGTCCATGTGGATAAAGGAAAAGGAGGACAGAAGTTGTTGGGAAATAATCCGAACCCCAGAAAAGGTGCTAAGTTTAGAGGGAAAAGGATTTAGTTGGCTAGAATCCAAAGAAATCCAGTGGTTAAAAGCACAGGCTCTGGAAAGTATGAATCCTGATTTCACCTTTTCCTGGCTGTGTGTGACCTTGGGCAAGTTTTTTAACTGCATTTAGTCTTGGCTTCCTCAGTTGGAAAATGCAGAGAATTGTGATAGTGCTACCTCATGTGGCTACTCCATGGGTTGAGGAAGCAACAGACACGAAGGCATAATACTGGGGCTAGCATACCGTTGATGCTCTATAAATGCATAGCTGTTCTTGTTGTTATGAACCACTTCTCTGAATTCTTGTAGACCCCAGCTGAGCCAGCTGCTGTGCAGGGTGTGTGCTGTCACGTACGTGTCAAGCCTCTTGAGTTCAAACACAGAGTGACACAAAGGAAGTCGTTTCTCATCATGTTCTTAAACTAAAGATTTTTAAAAATCTCAACATCTCAAGCTGGTTCCAAATTTGTTTCTAGTTTTTTCCTTTTGTGAGCTAGTCTCTACCCTATTACTTTTCTTCCCCGTTGGTACCTAACCTAATTCTGGGTATTTTCCCTCTGTGGAACGCTTCTCCACTGACTTTCATTATACAAAGTTTATGACATGACTTTAGAGTAGGGGTTGGCAAACTTTGTCTGTAAAGGGACAGAGAGTAAGGATTTAGGCTTTGTGGGCCATATGGTCTCTGCTGCAATGACTCAACTCTGCCATGACAGTGGGAAAGCTGCCATAGACAATATGTAAACAGATGTATGGGGCTGCTCCAATAAAACTTTATTCATAAAAACAGGCAGTGGGCCAGATTAGGCCCATGGGCTACAGTGGAGCCAACTCCTGCTTTGGACCATTTGGCCAGCTTTGATAGGGTCAGTCTTTGCTTAGCAGAAGGAATAAGGATTGACTTGAATCCCATGGTCAGTACCAAAACTCTATATGATTTTACACCTTTCTGAAGTTGTGGCCACTGATGAAGAATTGCCACCTGAATTTCAGGTTGGATTACATAGCTCTTTGAAGAGTCAGGGAGCCCCTCAGGAAAATCCATGGGACCAATAGAAAAGTTCTTAAAATGTAATCAATAGAAAAAGAGCGATACTAGACATATTCCTAAGGAAAAAAAATAATCGGATGTCACTTAGTGACCACCAACACATGCCACACACGTTTTATTTGTCATGATACTCACATCACCCTCTACTTCCTGGACGTGGTCATTACCTTTTCACAGCTGATGAAACTGAGGCTCAGAGAGATAAGTGAATTGCCCAGTTAAGATGTGGGGAAGAAAATCTTGGATTTAATGCTGGAGCTACCAGGTCTTTCTTCAAGAAGCCACCCTGTGGGGGCTTCCCCAGTGAATCTTGAGATCTACAGCTAAAAGTTTTTGGGACACATGGTGTTGTACAAGGGCAGTGGACAAGACCCAGAAGCCCATGCCATTTCCACTGTTTCCACAACCTGGGTCTTCGAGAGATTCAGCTTTCTGAATCTCAATTTATTCTTCTGTGAAATGGGTCTAATAATCTTCCCTGATTCACAGAGGTTCTACCCAGGATCAATTATTATTGTCAGGAGAAGATTAAAAATCCCAATAACATAACTTTAATGAAAATATCTGCAGCTTCTTTGCTTGTTAACATACTTAAGGTTTGTGGTAGAAAAACTTTATGAAATCTTCCTCAAGTGAATGACCCTTTTAGAGCTTTGTATTGCATGTATAAGGACATTTTGGTTGAAACTTCGCTTTTCTCTTGATAGCTAATAGAAAGCAGGGCTACCCTATGCCAAAATGATAAGTACTTAATTAAAACACTTTGAGATTTACCTACTCAAGAATAAAAACATGATTTTTAAATGTCTATATAATTTCTCTGATTTAAAGTTTTTTTAAAAATCACTTTTTATTAGTATTTTGAGGTTCCCTTAATTTTTAAGAAAAATTCTGAGCTGATGTGAATCGCCAGTAGTTTCTCTACTATATGCTTAGAGATTTATATATTTGTTTTATTTAATCCCCACAATGGCCCTATGAGGTGGGCATTCACGTTAGTTCCTATTTTACTATGAGGAAACTGAGGCTTATCAAAGTCAAGTGATTTGCTTAGGTAGTGTGGTCAGGACTCAACCCAGGCAGTCTGACCCAAACTCTTAACCTCAATTTCATCCTTGGTGAATTTTTCATGGTTTAAGCAGCATTTCCATTTAATCAGAGCTAGTTTCAGGTGGGTGACACTATAAGGCCTAAACAAAGGATCCTGGTTGGTTGTCATCTGTAGTAGAAACTACCTTAGAAGATGTGTCTTCTGCAGAGAAGCCCAGAACATTTCCATCTTCCCTTCATGGCGTACCATCTCAGAGACCCCACACCTACCTAGGACAACAGTATTGAAGGAAACCATCTCTTTGTCTTTTCCATCATTGTAGAAGGCCAGATGCCACAGGCCCACATCCAGGTACTGCACAAACACGGCTTCATTCTGAACCAAGGTCTGTATGCTCCGGCGTTCCCTGGGAGACTCAACCACACTCCACTTCTCCTTCCCGTCCAGACGTTCCATGAAGTCATACTGGGAAAAGGAGAGAGAGTACCATGCATGAGACAAGGTGTGGATGTGGTCCCATACCTGGTACCTTCCCCCCGAACCCATTTGTTAATGGAGAAAGACCTTTTTTGTAGCACATTTTGCTATGAACTTATCCAGGAAAACAAGAGCCGCAAAATGTGTAACAATAATAACAGTCATTATTTATTATGCTTTATAATTATTGCTACTATTAATACTTTTATTACTCTAGGCCACAATCTCTTGTCTGTTATCCTGAAATCCAAAGAGCTTTAACCCAAAGTTTTTTTCTTTTTGTTTGTATGTGTGCATCGTGTGTGTGTGTGTGTGTGTGTGTGTGTGTGTGTGTGTGTGTGTGGTGGGGGGAGTGGTATATGCTGTTGCTCCAGTCCCCCTCTGCATTATGTAATACAGAGGATATGCAAAGTATAACTTTTCCATAATCCTCCAAATTCTGAATTCCAAAATGTAATTGGTTTCCTGAGAGTTTCAGATAAGGAATTATGAACCCATGTTACCAGCTACCATTTTATTGATCATTTACTAGGAGAAATGGCACAGCAGAAGGGCTATGATGAGGGCTATGGAGCCTGAGAAAATCCTGAATGAGGTGCTTACTAGCTTCTCCTGTCTGTGCCTTGGTTTTCCCATTGGCAAACTGAAAATAAGAGTATCTATGTTATGGGGTTGTTGTGAGGATTCAGATAATATTTAGACAGTGCCTGGCACCCAGCAAACACAAAATACATGTTAGCCGTCATGATCGTTATTATCATTTTATTCAATTCTTGAAGAAACCCTGATTTGGTACCTATCTTGGTGTTATTTACATTCATATTTTACAGATAAGAAAGCTGAGGCTCAGAGAAGTCAAGCAACTTTTCTAAAGTCACACAGCTCCTAAGTGGCCAAGCAAAAATTTAGACATAGATTGGCTTGGTGTTTATGTTCATGCCCTTATAGTGCCTAGCCTTGGATAAACCAGCAATTAAAGTTTAACTTTGTTTCAGTGGAAACCAGGTTCAGAAATGGAAGTGATTAATGAGAGACAGAGTGGTCAACTAAGCCTACCAGGATAAGGGGATGGGGAGGTCAAACGGGACCCAAGAGAGGCCTGTTCTAAATAATAGATGAAATGCTGTAGCAGGCAAGTGGGAGCTATTGAAGACTCTTGAGCAGTGACTGATGTGATGAAAGGGATGTTTTAAGGAATTAGTTTGTAGGAAGGATATGAGATATTCTAAAGGGAGAAAAAATGAAAGTAGGAGGACCAATTAGGAAGTGATTGCAGAAACCCAGGGGTGAGGTGAAAAGGGTTTGATCAGGACAGTGAATGAGAAGCGGGGGACAACTTTGGAGGAACATTTCTAAGGAAGAGGTGACAGGGCTTGACCATGGGCTGGACAGAGATGATGAAGGAGAAGGCAAAGAGGACACCAGTGTTTCTTACTTGTTGACAAGAAAATCGATAAAACCCCAGTAGAACTGGACTAATCTTGTGAACTCTTGCAAAATCACTGCATAGAAAAGTCACTTGCATGCTGACTTCCAGAGAACATTCAAAGTGTAGGTTTTAGCCGATGAAAACCACCACTGTAGGATTAAGCAATCTCTCCACTTTCCCTTCCATAAAAAGGTTTTTATGGGTTACAGACATCAACTATAACCCCTTTTACGAACTTCACAGAATGAAACTCCAGGAATCTCCTAATGTGCCTTTCCCGTCGTCAGAATCGCTAGTTTTTCCACCTGAAATGTGATCACTGAAAACAAAAGACTCTATAATCTTAAACACAAAGGCTTTGCCATCAGACAAACCTGGGTTTGAATTCTGACTCTGTCACTTACTGTTCTTTGATGTTGGGCAAATCTACTTTTACCTTCTTCTTGGTTTTCATACCAGGGAATAATCACACCTAACATTCAGGGAGGTTATAAGGATGACATGAGATAATGCTTAGGGCAGGGCCAGGAAGATAACAACCATTTTATTAAGTACCTAGGGACTATGAGTCACCTACTTGCAAATCATAATGATTACGGACGAGCAGTGCGTGGTTCTAGTTTCACACGTGGGGCGCTGGTGACGGCCGCTGCTTAGAAGTTGAAATTTTCTCCATTTCTCAAGGAAATGAGTGTTTAGCTTCTCTCTACCCCATATCCCATTGGTCACAGCTGTCTTTGTGGGATAAAATAAATGATTTAAAGTGATATGACAAACTGATGCTGCTTTTGGAGACCTTTCTAATCAAAGCATTTGTTCCTTAGCAACCTCGAAAATGTCCAACTGCAAAGACCCATGTCTACAAATTGCTGTCAGCCAGAGGAATGGCTGTAACTTCCTTGGTGCCGAGGTGAGAAGGATCTACTTCATTTCGGGTCCAAGTAATCATCCCCATGAGGAAGAGTTTGGGGAAGGTGATTACTTGTGTGGGGCCATTGCTCATTACTAATTTGGGCATCAGTCATCTCTTGCCGAACCGCCTGACCAGCCAAGGGAAACAGAAATGGCTTAGGACTAGTGGCAGTGCTCACCGTCCAGCCCAGTAAATTACTCTAAGAAGAGGCATTTTTCAGGGGAAAGAGAAGACATCTATTTTGGCTGGCTCCTCAGAGTCCCCCTGCACAGAAGCACAGAGGGCAGTTTTCATTTAAGGAAGAATCGGCTAGCCAGGGGCTCTGGGAGAAGATCTTGACTCTGATATGATATGGTGTCTGATGTGTCTCAATCCTGTAGCCCTTTATTGTGCTTTATTATCTTCAAAGCACTTATTACCCCCTAAAATGATATAATTTATTTTTATGTGTGTTGTCTTTCTACTAAGAACATAAACTCCAGGAAGACAGGGGTTTCATCTGCAGGGTAGGGTGGTGAAGAGTAAGGACTTCAGAACTACTGCCCTTCTTCCTTCCCAGGTCAGGCCAAATGGTCCTCAAGATCATTTCTTTCTTTCTTTTTTTTTTTTTTGAGATGGAGTCTCGCTCTGTCACCCAGGCTGGAATGCAATGGCTTGATCTTGGCTCACTGAAACCTCCACCTCTCGGGTTCAAGCAATTCTCCAGCCTCAGCCTCCCGAGTAGCTGGGATTACAGGCACCTGCTACCACACCCGGGTAATTTTTTGTATCTTTAGCAGAGATGGGATTTCACTATGTTGGCCAGACTGGTCTCGAACTCCTGACCTCGTGATCCGCCCGCCTTGGCCTCCTGAAGTGCTGGAACTATAGGCGTGAGCCACCGTGCCCGGTCAAGATAATTTCTTATAGGACAACAGGACAGGATCACCCAGGAAAAGATGGTAGCATCTTCTGTTGGTCAAATTCCACTCTATTATGTGTAGGGTGTTTGTTTATCACAATTACCCAGGAGTGTCCCAGTTTATACCTCTTGTTCCTCCTTTCTATCTCAAAGTGCTCTAGAGTGCACATAGGGTCACTATGCATAGATTAACACGTGTCAAGCAGCATCACACAGCATCATTCACTGCTGCTATAACTTGGGCAAGGGCTAGAGGCTAGAAATGCAGGGAGGATAAACTGAGCCAGCCATGGAGACTGCCTTCCAGGATAGGGAGACTGGGGGCCAGTGAGAAGCTGGCTTGCAAGGAGGCCATCTGGTGTAGGGGAGCCTCTGCTCTCTAGGGTTCCTAAGCTGTAGCCTGGCCAGCTTGCTTGGCAGACTGGCTGACACTAGAAGGAGAGCATTTTCCAAAAGCTCAGGCCCTGGCCAGAGTTTCCTTTTCATCCCTCAACACTGGGAATTGATAACTCAGGCTTAGTATTGGGGACATCTGGCTCCTCTGTTCTAGGACCTCACTGTGATCAATTCGGGACATGGGGATGCTTTGGGAGACCAAACTGTGCCTCGTTGACTAAAGAGGTTACTCTGTAGTGGTCCTACCCATTAGGTCTGCAGAAGCTCTGGAAGGGGTTTAGGAGGCACATGACCAAATCCCAATAGAAGGATGTGTCTGTGCACCGGCTGGCTGCGGGAGGAAGTTTGCCTCCCAAAGCCGCTTGTGTCTCTTGCAGCCACCCAGAGGATGATAGCACAATAACCCAAAGTAAACACCACCTCTCCCCGCCCAGTTCTCTCCTTTTCCCTGGCCTCTGAAAAATAACCCACGTTGGCATGCAATGTGAAGGCTGTGCCTTTGAGTCATCAGTCATACCCCAAAGTGGCATGAAAATGCAACTTTTACGAGAGCTCGAGAGGCAAAGAAATAAACCATAGCAAATATTTGACTGATCCAATTATAAATCTCCCCACTTCTTGGCAGAGACTGAGGAGGAATGGTAATTAAGATAACTTAGTGGGTTTCCAGAGGAGCGGGAGGAGAGCAGCAGAGCCTAGACCGTGGAGCGGGGGCTGTTACTTTCCCAGAAGGGAAGGTGGCCACAGGCAGGGACCGGGCAGCCCAGAGATGCTTCTAGAAACCACATTGATACACACCTGCCAGAGAGGGCAAGGTTAAAGACAGACTCATTGC
This sequence comes from Homo sapiens, assembly GCF_000001405.40. Lineage (NCBI taxonomy): Eukaryota > Metazoa > Chordata > Mammalia > Primates > Hominidae > Homo > Homo sapiens. The sequence continues at coordinate 168,086,087 of NC_000005.10, read as the reverse complement.
CCTTCGGGAAGATGTTATTACTGGGTCCAGGACCCCCCAAAAAGGGGGGATGACTTCATGCTATTTGGAACATTTTCTTGCTGAGGGTCAACACGAATGGGAAAAGCAATAAATGCTGACATTTCCCGGGGAAGCCTGCCACTCCCCTCACTCTGCACTGGCAGCATTGCTGGCCTCCTGACGATGTCTGATGTTGATTCTACCTCAGATGGCAGGGCACGCTCAGCAGTTGGTGGGATTGCAGGGAAGTGGCACATGTGAGCTAGGGCTGCTTGAAGCCACATGACCACAGGGTCTCTGGTCACATCCAGAGATGGTGGGAATGACTTAGCTGCAGTGGGTCGCTCACTCCTGGGGGCCTGTTCATTTCTTTCTGCCTCCAGCCAGGCCTGTGGCAAAGTGCGCCCAGCTGATTCCTCATTAAAGCTCAGCACAATTTCTTTGCTCTCCTTCAAAGGGGCTGAGTGCTCAGGGAAGGGGGAGGAATGACAGCTCCAGTGGGGGCTGGCTTCCCTGAGTGTGGCCTTGCCTGTCTTTTTCAGGACTCCCTGCTCAGTTCCTACTTACAGTATCTGAGTCACTTAACTAAATGCAATCGGCCCAGCTGCAGGCACCACTGCTCGGGCCACTATAAGAACCAGCCCCTGAGCTTCCGGACAGGAAACAGCATCTGCATTTCCAGACTGTAGCAGCTCATCATGCCAGGCTCCACAGGCAAGAATCAAGCAGATGGAAGCTACAGAGGAAACAAACAGGGTTCCCTGAAATCAGCAGCTGGGGAGAATTTATCTTACAAGGGTGGAATTCTTGATTCTTTCATTACATGTCCTCTTGCAGCAGCAGCAAAAGTAATAAAAAATAAGAGCCTATTTTTGCCTGGGCACTTGCTACATGCCAGGCATAATAGCAAATGCTGATGTGTGTTATCACATTTCATCCTCCCCAAAACCCTAGTCTCATCTCAGAAGAGAACAGTGGTTTCTAGAGAAGTTAAGGAATGGATCCAGTGCCATTGAGCTTGGTTGGTGGCCAAGCAAGGATTTGAAGTTGGATTTGCATGAGTTTTAACAATTTTGGGGGACACATCCATCTTTTCCAAGAACCTAGTTGTAGCTGCCAGCATATCTGGTGGCTGGCCTGGTTTGTTAAGGCCCCTCACAATGCCACTGAGCGGATAAGAAGGAGGAAGGAAGAACTTAGCAGTGCTAGGGTCAGACCTGGGCAGAGCAGGCTGGCCTGAGGACAGGGAGACATCACACTGGGGCAGAGAAAAAAGGGTGCCTGGAAAGGTCTGGATGGCTTTGCTGGGTGTTGGCTGTACTTGGTCTGTAAGTGGCTTTGGGAGCTGGCCCCTTCCCAATTCCCTAAACGCCACTCTACCTGTATGTTTTCCAGCCATACTGCTCTTCTCTCTGTTCCTGGAAGATGCCAAGCTCATCCCAGCCATAGGGCCTTTGCACCAGCCTTTCCCTCTGCCTGGCCTATTCTTTCTCCTGATCTCACAGCTGCTTGCTTCTTGTTAATCCTGCCTTTGCATAAATATCATGACCTAAGAGAGGGCTTCCCTGACTACCCAACTGAAATACCTCTATCAAAATGTAAATCAAAACCACAATGAGATACTATCTCACACAAGTCAAAATGTCTACCATTAAAAAGTCAAAAACAACATGCTGGCATGGCTGTGAAGAAAAGTGAACACTTACACACTGTTGATGGGAATGTGAATTAATTCAGCCACTGTGGAAAACAGTTTGGAAATTTCTCAAGTAACTTAAAACAGAACTACCATTCAACTCAGTAATCCTGTTACTGGATATATATCCAAAAGAAAACAAATCCTTCTACCAAAATGACACATGCACTCATATGTTCATTGCAGCACTATTCACAATAGTAAAGATGGGATCAACCTAGGTGCCTACCAAGAGTGGAAAAAGAAAATGTGGTACATATACACCACGGAATACTATGCAGTCATAAAGAATGAAATCATATTTTTTTCAGCAATATGGATGTAGCTGGAGGCCATCATTCTAAGGAAATAAATATAGGAACAGAAGACCAAACACTACATGTTCTCACTTATAAGTGGGAGCTAAGCATTGGGTATGCACGGAAATAAAGATGGAACAATAGACACTGGGGACTATTAGAGAGGGCGGAGAGGGAGGGGGCAAGGGTTAAAAAACTACTGGGATTTTTACTGTTGGTTAACCACTGGGTGCTAGGCTCACTACCTGAGAGATGGGGTCATTTGTAGACCAAACCTTAGCATCATGCAACATACCCAGGTAACAAACTTGCTCATGTACCTCTGAGTCTAAAAAAAAAGCTGAAATTATTTTTTTAAAAAACGTCTATTACTTCTTCTTGTTTCCAACCTCAGCAAAAACTCATGATTCTTTGAAAAAAAAACTTGCTACTGATTTACTAATTTAGAATTAATCTTCCCCCTTTTGGATATGAACTTTCTCCAACACTTAAGAGTGGGAGACTTGTCACTGGAGTTCCAAGATGGCCAAATAGGAAGAGCTCCAGTCTACAGCTCCCAGTGTGAGCATTGCAGAAGACGGGTGATTTCTGCATTTCCAACTGAGGTACCGGGTTCATCTCACTGGGGCTTGTCAGACAGTGGGTGCAGCCCACAGAGTGTACGCCAAAGCAGGGTGGGCATCACCTCATCTGGGAAGTGCAAGGGGTCAGGGAATTCCCTTTCCTAGCCAAGGGAAGCCATGACAGATGGTACCTGGAAAATCAGGACACTCCCACCCTAATACTGCGCTTTTCCAATGGTCTTAGCAAACGGCACACCAGGAGATTATATCCTGCACATGGCTCAGAGGGTCCCACACCAACGGATCCTCGGTTATTGCTGGCACAGCAGTCTGATATCCAACAGCAAGGTGGCAGCGAGGCTGGGGGAGGGGCATCCACCATTGCTGAGGCTTGAGCAGGTAAACAAAGTGGCCGGGAAGCTCGAACTGGGTGGAGCCCACTGCAGCTCAAGGAGGCCTTCCTGCCTCTGTAGACTCCACCTCGGGGGCAGGGCATAGCTGAACAAAAGGCAGTAGAAACTTCTGCAGACTTAAACATCCCTGTCTGACAGCTATGAAGAGAGTAGTGCTTCTCCCAGCATGGAGTTTGAGATCTGAGAACAGACAGACTGCCTCCTCAAGTGGGTCCCTGACCCCCTAGTAGACTAACTGGGAGACACCTCCCAGTAGGGGCCGACTGACACCTCATACAGCCAGATGCCCATCTGAGACGAAGCTTCCAGAGGAAGGATCAGGCAGCAACATTTGTTGTTCTTCAATATTTGCTGTTCTGCAGCCTCCGCTGGTGATACCCAGGCAAACAGGGTCTGGAGTGGATCTCCAGCAAACTCCAACAGACCTGCAGCTGAGGGTCCTGACTGTTAGAGGGAAAACTAACAAACAGAAAGAAGGAAAACTAACAAACAGAAAGGACATCCACACCAAAACCCCATCTGCATGTCACCATCATCAAAGACCAAAAACCACAAAGATGGGGAGAAACCAGAACAGAAAAGCTGAAAATTCTAAAAATCAGAGTGCCACTTCTTCTCCAAAGGAACGCAGCTCCTTGCCAGCAACGCAACAAAGCTGGACGGAGAATGGCTTTGACGGGTTGAGAGAAGAAGGCTTCAGATGATCGGTAATAACAAACTTCTCAGACCTAAAGGAGGATGTTCGAACCCATCGCAAAGAAGCTAAAAACCTTGAAAAAAGATTAGACGAATGGCTAACTAGAATAAACAGCATAGAGAAGACCTTAAATAACCTGATGGAGCTGAAACCATGGCACGAGAACTACGTGACGCATGCACAAGCTTCAGTAGCTGATTCGATCAAGTGGAAAAAAGAGTATCAGTGATTTAAGATCAAATGAATGAAATGAAGCGAGAAGAGAAGTTTAGAGAAAAAAGAGTAAAAAGAAACAAACAAAGCCTCCAAGAAATATGGGACTATGTGAAAAGACCAAATCTACGTCTGATTGGTGTGCCTGAAAGTGACAGGCAGAATGGAACCAAGTTGGAAAACACTCTGCAGGATATTATCCAGGAGAACTTTCCCAACCTAGCAAGGCAGGCCAACATTCAAATTCAGGAAATGAAGAGAATGCCACAAAGATACTCCTCCAGAAGAGCAACTCCAAGACACATAATTGTCAGATTCACCAAAGTTGAAATGAAAGAAAAAATATTAAGGGCAGCCAGAGAGAAAGGTCTGGTTACCCACAAAGAGAAGCCCATCAGACTAACAGTGGATCTCTCGGCAGAAACTCTACAAGCCAGAAGAGAGTGGGGGCCAATATTCAACATTCTTAAAGAAAAGAATTTTCAACCCAGAATTTCATATCCAGCCAAACTAAGCTTCATAAGTGAAGAAGAAATAAAATCCTTTACAGACAAGCAAATGCTGAGAGATTTTGTCACCACCAGGCCTGCCTTACAAGAGCTCCTGAAGGAAGCACTAAACATGGAAAGGAACAACCAGTACAAGCCACTGCAAAAACATGCCAAATTGTAAACACCATCGATGCTAGGAAGAAATCACATCAATTAATGAGCAAAATAACCACCTAACATCATAATGACAGGATCAAATTCACACATAACAATATTAAACTTAAATGTAAATGGGCTAAATGCTCCAATTAAAAGACACAGACTGGCTAATTGGATAGAGTCAAGACCCATCAGTGTGCTGTATTCAGGAGACCCATCCCACATGCAGAGACACACACAGGCTCAAAATAAAGGGAGGGAGGAAGATCTACCAAGAAAATGGAAAACAAAAAAATAGCAGGGGTTGCAATCCTAGTCTCTGATAAAACAGACTTTAAACCAACAAAGATCAAAAGAGACAAAGAAGGCCATTACATAATGGTAAAGGGATCAATTCAACAAGAAGAGCTAACTATCCTAAATATATATGCACCCAATACAGGAGCACCCAGATTCATAATGCAAGTGCTTAGGGACCTACAAAGAGACTTAGACTCCCACACAATAATAATGGGAGACTTTAACACCCCACTGTCAACATTAGACGGATCAACAAGACAGAAAGTTAACAAGGATATCCAGGAATTGAACTCAGCTCTGCACCAAGTAGACCTAATAGACATCTACAGAACTCTCCATCCCAAATCAACAAAATATACATTCTTCTCAGCATCACATCACACTTATTCCAAAATTGACCGCATAGTTGGAATTAAAGCACTCCTCAGCAAATGTAAAAGAACAGAAATGATAACAAACTATTTCTCAGACCACAGTGCAATCAAACTAGAATTCAGGATTAAGAAACTCACTCAGAATCGCTCAACTACATGGAAACTGAACAACCTGCTCCTGAATGACTACTGGGTACATAACGAAATGAAGGCAGAAATAAAGATGTTCTTTGAAACCAACGAGAACAAAGACACAACATACCAGAATCTCTGGGACACACTTAAAACCGTGTGTAGAGGGAAATTTATAGCACTAAATGCCCACAAGAGAAAGCAGGAAAAATCTAAAATTGACGCCCTAACATCACAATTAAAAGAACTAGAGAAGCAAGAGCAAACACATTCAAAAGCTAGCAGGAGGCAAGAAATAACTAAGATCAGAGCAGAACTGAAGGAGATAGACACACAAAAAATCCTTCAAAAAATCAGTGAATCCAGGAGCTGGTTTTTTGAAAAGATCAACAAAATTGATAGACCACTAGCAAGACTAATAAAGAAGAAAAGAGAGAAGAATCAAATAGATGCAATACAAAATGATAAAGGGGATATCACCATCGATCCCACAGAAATACAAACTACCATCAGAGAATACTATAAACACCTCTACGCAAATAAACTAGAAAATCTAGAAGAAATGGATAAATTCCTCGACACACACACCCTCCCAAGACTAAACCAGGAAGAAGTTGATTCCCTGAATAGAACAATAACAGGCTCTGAAATTGAGGCAATAATTAATAGCTTACCAACCAAAAAAAGTCTAGGACCAGATAGATTCACAGCCAAATTCTAACAGAGGTACAAAGAGGAGCTGGTGCCATTCCTTCTGAAACTATTCCAATTAATAGAAAAAGAGGGAATCCTCCCTAACTCATTTTATGGGGCCAGGATCATCCTGATACCAAAGCCTGGCAGAGACACAACAAAAAAAGAGAATTTTAGACCAACATCCCTGATGAACACTGATACAAAAATCCTCAATAAAATACTGGCAAACCGAATCCAGCAGCACATCAAAAAGCTTATCCACTATGATCAAGTGGGCTTCATCCCTGGGATGCAAGGCTGGTTCAACATATGCAAATCAATAAATGCAATCCATCACATAAACAGAACCAAAGACAAAAACCACATGATTATCTCAATAGATGCAGAAAAGGCCTTTGACAAAATTCAACAGCCCTTCATGCTAAAAACTCTCAATAAACTAGGTATTGATGGGATGTATCTCAAAATAATAAGAGCTATTTATGACAAACCCACAGCCAATATCATACTGAATGGGCAAAAACTGGAAGCATTCCTCTGAAAACTGGCACACGACAGGGATGCCCTCTCTCACCACTCCTATTCAACATAGTGTTGGAAGTTCTGGCCAGGGCAATCAGGCAGGAGAAGGAAATAAAGGGCATTCAATTAGGAAAAGAGGAAGTCAAATTGTCCCTGTTTGCAGATGACATGATTGTATATTTAGAAAACCCCATTGTCTCAGCCCAAAATCTCCTTAAGCTGATAAGCAACTTCAGCAAAGTCTCAGGATACAAAATCAATGTGCAAAAATCACAAGAATTCCTATACACCAATAACAGACAAACAGAGAGCCAAATCATGAGTGAACTCCCATTCACAATTGCTTCAAAGAGAATAAAATACCTAGGAATCCAACTTACAAGGGATGTGAAGGACCTCTTCAAGGAGAACTACAAACCACTGCTCAACAAAATAAAAGAGGACACAAACAAATGGAAGAACATTCCATGCTCATGGATAGGAAGAATCAATATTGTGAAAATGGCCATACTGCTGAAGGTAATTTATAGATTCAATGCCATTCCCATCAAGCTACCAATGACTTTCCTCATAGAATTGGAAAAAACTACTTTAAAGTTCATATGGAACCAAAAAAGAGCCCACATTGCCAAGACAATCCTAAACCAAAAGAACAAAACTGGAGGCATCATGCTACCTGACTTCAAACTATACTACAAGGCTACAGTAATCAAAACAGCATGGTACTGGTACCAAAACAGAGATATAGATCAATGGAACAGAATAGAGCCCTCAGAAATAATACCACACATCTACAACCATCTGATCTTTGACAAACCTGACAAAAACAAGAAATGGGGAAAGGATTCCCTATTTAATAAATGGTGCTGGGAAAACTGGCTAGCCATAAGTAGAAAGCTGAAACTGGATCCCTTCCTTACACCTTATAAAAAAATTAATTCAAAATGGATTAAAGACTTAAATATTAGACCTAAAACCATAAAAACCCTAGAAGAAAACCTAGGCAATACCATTCAGGCCATAGGCATGGGCAAGGGCTTCACGACTGAAACACCAAAAACAATGGCAACAAAAGCCAAAATTGACAAATGGGATCTAATTAAATTAAAGAGCTTCTGCACAGCAAAAGAAACTACCATCAGAGTGAACTGGCAACCTACAGAATGGGAGAAAATTTTTACAGTCTACCCATCTGAAAAAGGGCTAATATCCAGAATCTACAAGGAACTTAAACAAATGTACAAGAAAAAAATCAAACAACCCCATCAAAAAGTGGGCAAAGGATATGAACAGACACTTCTCAAAAGAAGACATTTATGCAGCCAACAGACACATGAAAAAATGCTCATCATCACTGGCCATCAGAGAAATGCAAATCAAAACCACAATGAGATACCATCTCATACCAGTTAGAATGGCGATCATTAAAAAATCAGGAAACAACGGGTGCTGGAGAGGCTGTGGAGAAATAGGAACATTTTTACGCTGTTTGTGGGAGCGTAAACTAGTTCAACCATTGTGGAAGACAGTGTGGCAATTCCTCAAGGATCTAGAACTAGAAATACCATTTGTGCCAGCCATCCTGTTACTGGGTATATACCCAAAGGATTATAAATCATGCTGCTATAAAGACACATGCACATGTATGACTACTGCAGCACTATTCACAATAGCAAAGACTTGCAACCAAGCCAAATGTCCATCAATGATAGACTGGTTTAAGAAAATATGGCACATATACACCATGGAATACTATGCAGCCATAAAAAATGATGAGTTCATGTCCTTTGTAGGGACATGGATGAAGCTGGAAACCATCATTCTGAGCAAACTATCGCAAGGACAGAAAACCAAACACCATATGTTCTCACTCATAGATGGGAATTGAACAATGAGAACACTTGGACACAGGGTGGGGAACATCACATACCGGGGCCTGTCATGGGGTGGGGGTAGCAGGGAGGGATAGCATTAGGAGAGATACCTAATGTAAATGACTAGTTAATGGGTGCAGCACACCAACATGGCACATGTATACTTATGTAACAAACCTGCACTTTGTGCACATGTACCCTAGAATTTAAAGTATAATTAAAAAAAAAAAGAGTGGGAGACTTGTCTGTTTCACTGAACTCAGCATCCCCCATGCCTAGAACAGTGCTTGGCCCATAGTGGGTACTCACTAAAGATCTTTATTGCATGAATGAAAAAGATTTAGGCCAAAAGGAAATAATATCTAGAGTGAGGGGTATACCTACAAGGTGACACAGCTACTTAAAGGACATAATCTCTTCAGGAAATGCCTTTTGGAAATTTTAGTGAACACTGTAGTTTTCTCTTATTTTTGCTTGCTAACTGCTCAGATGCTACTATGAGTTAACATTTAATGAGGCCAGGCACGCTCTAAGTGATTCATGCTCATAATAACCCTACTGAATACAAATTATTCCTGTTTTGCATATGAGGAAACTGAGACACAGAGAGGTTACATAGCTCACCCAACAGTTAGTAAGTGGTGGGGCTGAGATTCACACCCAAGCAGCCAGCTTCAAAGAGGACACTCTTAATCCAGTGTATTAGTCTTCTCAATAAGCCTAATGAACAGGCAGCCAGTAGGGGGTGCTGGCCCGCCTCTCTCATTTGCACGTGTGTGTGTATTCACAGGACCACAGGGTACAGTCAACCTCAGCCCAGTCTCTGATGGGCAGGGGAGCCCCAGCCAACATCTGGTTTCACTTAGAAGGCCTAAGGGTCCCTAAATTGGAGTTCATAGAAAAATCTGAAGCATGGCTCTCAAGCTTGTTATGTTGCAAGGGCAAATGAATGTAAAACTATTTGTTCCTTCAACAAATATTGAGCAACCACCATGTGCCTGGCACTGCTCTGTGTACTGGGGATACAGCAGTGAATGATACAGACAAGGTTCCTGTCCTCCTGGAGCTGACATTTTCAAGGGGGAATATAATGTCAGGGAGGGAGGAGAGCTGTGAGTAAAAAATAAAGCAAACCAGCCAGGTGTAGTGGCTCACGCCGGTAATCCCAGCACTTTGGGAAGCCGAGGTGGGTGGATTACGAGGTCAGGAGTTCGAGACCAGCCTGGCCAACATTGTGAAACCCCGTCTCTGCTAAAAATACCAAAATTAGTCGGGTGTGGTGGGGTGCACCTGTAGTCCCAGCTATGCAGGAGGCTGAGGCAGGAGAATTGCTTGAACCTGGGAGGCAGAGGTTGCAGTGAGCCGAGATCACACCACTGCATTCCAGCCTGGGTGACAGATTGAGACTCTGTCTCAAAAATAAAATAAAATAAAATAAAATAAAATAAAATAAAATAAAATAAAATAAAATAAAATAAAATAAAAATAAAGCAAACCAGACAACCCAAATGTCCATCAACAGGTGAATGGTCACACGCATTGTGGAATATACATACAATTGAAAATCTACTCACTAATAAAAGGAATAAGCCACAGAAACTGATATGGTTTGGCTGTGTCCTCACCCAAATCTCATCTTGAATTGTAGCTCCCATAATTCCCATGTGTCGTGGGAGGGAGACGGTGGGAGGTATTTGAATCATGGGGGTGGGTCTTTCCTGTGCTGTTCTCATGATAGTGAATAGGTCACCTGAGATCTGATGGTTTTATAAAGGGAAGTTCCCTTGCAAATGCTCTCTTGCCTGCCGCCACCATGTAGATGTGCCTTTACTTCTCCTTTGGCTTCTGCCATGATTGTGAGGCCTCCCCAGCCATGTGGAACTATGAGTCCATTAAACCTCCTTTCCTTTATAAATTACCCAGTCTCGAGTATGTCTTTATTAGCAGCATGAGAACAGACTAATACAGATACAAACAACACCATGGGTGAATCTCACTGACATTCTGCGAGTGAAAGAAGGCAGACACAAGAGCACGTGATTCCTTGCATATGAAACTCTAGTGGAGACAAATCTAATCTCCAGTGACAGAAAGCAGATCAGTGGTTGCTTGGGCCTGGAGGTGAGGTTGGTGTGGGGCACAGGGGATCTGTTGGGTGGTGGCATTGTCCTCTATTATGGCTGTGGTGGTGCTTACTGAGGTGGATACAGTTTTCAGATTTTAGGGATCCAAGTGGACACTTAGAAAATGTGTGCATTGGTGCATGTTTTAGCAGCACAATTAGCAATTGCAAAAATATGGAACCAGCCCAAATCCCCATCAATCAACAAGTGGATAAAGAAAATGTGGTATATATATACCATGGAATACTACTCAGACATTAAAAGGAATGAAATAACGACATTCACAGCAACCTGAATGGAAATGGAGACCATTATTCTAAGTGAAGTAACTCAGGAATGGAAAACCAAACATTGTATGTTCTCACTCATAAGTGGGAGCTGAGCTTTGAGGACACAAAGGCATAAGAATGATACAATGGACTTTGGGGCCTCAGGGGAAAGGGTGGAAGCGGGGTGAGGGATAAAAAAACTACACATTGGGTACAGTGTACACTGCTTGGGTGATGGGTGCACCAAAATCTCAGAAATCACCACTAAAGAACTTATTCACGGAACCAAACACCACCTGTTAGCCAAAATCTGTTGAAATAAATTTTTAAAAGTGTACATTGGGTAGTTTTAACATTATACCTAAATTAAGTTGATTTAAGAAAAATAAAGCATAAAGCATGAAGGAGGATTCTGTTGTAGATTCGCTTGTCAGGAAAGGGCTTATGGAGGCATGAGGAGTAAAAACGTCAGGGGGAGCCACCTGAAATATCTGGGGGATGATTCCAGGAAGAGAAGACATCCGGTGCAAAATGTTCGGAGGCAGAATGAGCTTGACAGGGCTGAGGGAGAGCAAGTGAGCTGATGTGGTGGAGTCCAGGGAGTGAGGAGGAGACTGGTGGTTAACCAGACTGCAGAGGGACTGGCCAGCCACAGAGATGATCTTCTGTCAGCTGTTTACTGAACACCTACGGTGGACGGCCAAAGCTGTGAGTGATGGAGACACAGCAGAGAATAGAACAGCTGCTGTCCTTCTGGAGCTGATATTCTAGAACAACTTCAGATTTTTCCCTTTGCATGACGGGAGGCCAGTGGAGGGTTTCAGAGGCTGAAAAGATGAGACCAGAGCCTGTTTTTGTCATAATAGGAAAGCATCTTGCCTGGTGTGTTTCCTGGTTCCTATGAAGGCCCTCTGGGGTTGGCAGGGGCTTTGGTGGTTTGCTGGTTGAAGATAAGCAGATTATGGGTTCTGCCAAATTTCCTCCCTCCATATATCAAGCCTAAAATTGTGGTTTTCAAGTTCCAAAGGAGTATATTTTGAATGTCTCTGGTATGGGAGGGGGGTGATGTAGGGGAAATGAAAAATGAATAGAAAAGGGTAAAGTGTCTCAACGGAAGGATAAGGTAATATGATCACTATGAATATTTGGCACATTCCAGCAGCCCTTCTCAGAGCTGTTTCAGAATGGGATTCCCAACAGAAACAGTAACGAGGCTGGGCCAAACAAAGGCAGAGACAATTCATTTCCTGATAGGTGAACGAGTTCCCTGGAAATTCCAGGACAGGCATTGGTGCTAGTGTCCACTAGCCACATGAGGGCAGGGCTAGCTCTGCCCTGTCCCTGGCTGCAGCCCCTTGGCATGTCGCATATAGGTGCTCAGTAAATGTTGGCTGAATACAACGTGATGGCCTGCCTCTGGCAGAATGTGCATCTGTCTGAACACAGGGTCTCCTTCAGGGAATGTTGACCCTTCTCACATGAAATTTCTGAGAACAGGGGAAACAGTTAGAAACCGTAAGTCTCGATCTGTTATTTTCAACAAGATTTTCCCCAGGTACGTGAAAGTGTGCATTCCCAGTTAGAAGGGTAACCCATAGCTTGAGGGCTTTTATGTAACATGTGTTCCTAGCTGGAGTTGTGTACACAGCTGCAAATATGCAACAACTCAACACAGGGACAGCCATTAAACTTCCAGAGGGGCTGCCCCCCTAGGTCACTCTTGCTCTGTCGGAGCGTGTTCTAAAAGGAAAAGGTATGTCCCCATTAGCGAAGAGTGACTAAAGCAAAGCAGAGTTTCGGTCAATTGTTAAATGAAGCTTCAACACAGCCCACACAACAAGGCATGTCTTGGTTTGCCCTCTGCTTAGAAAGGCCCTCTCTTGTCTTTCTCCTTGCCTGCTTAACTCACCCTCAAAGATTCACCTTGTGTAGCCTCTCCTCCAGGAGGCTGCCCTAAAATCCCTCACAGGTTAAAAGTGGTGGCCAACTTTTATGCTCCCAAGCCTCCTGTATCCAACCCTCTAGTAATAACAATAGCTGATATTTGTTGAACATGTTATGTGAGGGACAGGAACAGATCATGTAAATGACATACGGTAGTGGCTCCAGGAAACATACAAGAGCATAGTGCTAGCAGGGTAAATGTTATTCCAAATCTCCCATCCCATGAAGAGCTGTGCTTGGGCTGCACACAGGTAGATGCAGTGTGCACTGTGTCCCCTGGAGAGGCACCCCAAACCTCTGCTACCTCTCATATTCATAGAAGGATGGGGAGGAGACAGGAATCACTTGACTGAGGAGGAAGACTCTGAGCTCTGCAGTCTATACTAGAGTCTCGACAACCAGCTGAAGCGCAGTTTGCATATCAGTATTGGTGTCGGCCAGCATCCTTGCTGTTCCCCCTGCAGAGCCGCCTTGTTGCTAGGCTACCTGAGAGTGCGCTATAAGTGTTGTAGGCCAGTTAGATTGATTGATTCATCTCCATGGGGTGCTTACCATTTCCTGGGCATTATCTCATTTATTCTTACAACAGCCTGATGAGGTATAGTCCTCATTTTCTGGATGTTGAAACTAAATCTAGAGACTCATCCGGAAACACTTCATAGGAGAGATAAGATTCAAACCCAGACCAGGATGATCGTAGAGTGTCAGCTCTTATCCTCCACTCTGGACTGCATCTCACGACCCTCCCTACTTGATGTTGCCATCATTTCTTAACTTGTCAGGTCTCCATCTCCTTAAAGGCAGAGCCGATGCTTTTAATCACTGTATCCCCAGTACAGACATTCAATGAGTATTTGTTGAGGGCATGAATGGATTGATTTTATATTTCATCTTCTCACGAGGTCATGCCCTCATCATGCTGCCTTTTGATCCAACCCAAGAGAAGGGTAGAAGGTATTGCTCTGAAGACCAAGCGAGCCATAATGTTGACCTCACAGAGCCTTGGGGTCAAGGTCAGCGAAATTGATGAGCATTTCAAGGCTATTCCAAGGTGCACAAAGGCTGCACCATAGGGCCAGAAGAATGAATGTTTTACCTCTCAGTGCCTTGCTGATGTGATTTCTTATTTACTGCACATTCCCATCTAATTGTCTTTAGCAATGGTTTATCAAATGTCACATTTGGCTCCTTGTCCTCCCAAGATCAATAGGAGGGCCCAATGTGGGCTGGCTGTGAAAATATATCAAACATATCACCAAGAAGAGGGAGCAAACTGGGGGTGTGTCCAGTCACAAAATGACTTCCCAAGCCCTAACGAGGAACAGAAACACAGGCACTGCGCAGCTTCTCTTGAAGCATGAGCTGCACCTTTCACCAGGCTGGAATGTAACTTTGCACAAGTTTTCAGCTCTGAGTTCTGCTCTCTCATACCCAAAGTGGGAATAATAAAAGTCCCCACCCCTGAGGGGCACTGTGAGTTCGGCTCGGCTCATAGTAAGCACTCAATTAATGTGAGCTGCTCTCATGGTTATTATTGTTATTATAACACCTTGATGTATTGTAAATCCTTTGAGCTGGCAATTCCACTCCAAGAATTCATCACAAGGAAATTATTAAAAAATATAAGAACATAGACCTGAAAGAATGTTTACTGTAGAATGATTTATCATATTGAAAAAGGAGGATTGCTTGAAAAAAATTTTATTCAAGACAATGGACTATTTTGAGGCATTTAAAATGAGTTTATAGAAAAATATTCAGACTTGGAAAGATGTCCTCCATCTATTATTAAGCAAAGACTCAGGGTAAAAATAGTTTGTGTGTGGTATGATCCTGTGTTTATAAAAATGATGACTATATGTGAACAGAAAACAGTCTGGAAAATATACTAAAAAATGTTAATGTTTTCTGTTTTTCCTATCATCACCATGTCTTACTTTATAATGAGAAAAACAAAAATAAAAGTTATCTTTAAAAAAATTGAAATCTGTTTTGTTTGTTTGGGGTTGTGTGTCATGAATGCTTTGAAACCATAATAATAATAGCTTACACCATTTCTATGTGCCAGCATGAATCTAAGTGCTTTATAAAGATTATTTCATTTACATCCAATATTGATTGCTCTGAGCACATAATATCACCTCTGGTTTATAGATGAGGTAACTGAGGCACAGAAAGGCTGAATGACTTGCCCAAGGTCATACAGCTTGGAAGTATTGGAGGCTGGAGTTCAGAGTCAGATAGTTTGGACTGGTCTACACTCCTTCTGCCCAGGCTCTCCAGCTGTTCCTGTCTGGAACAACAGCAGTTCCACAGCAGTTTCTTTCTCTTTCTCTTTTCCTTTCCCTTTCCCTTTCCCTTCCTTTCCTTTCCTTTCCTTCTTTCTGTAACAGCAGCACTTCCACAGTGGTTTCTTTTTCTTTTTCTTTTCTCTTCTTCCTTTCTTTCTTCCCTCCCGTCCTTCCTTCCTTCCTCTCTTTTTCTTTTTCTTCTTTCTTTTTTTCTCTCTCTCTCTCTCTCTCTCTCTCTTTCTTTCTTTCTGACAGGATCTCACTCTTTTGCCCAGGCTGGAGTGGCACAATCAGGGCACACTGCAGCCTTGACCTCCTGGGCTCAAGCAATCCTCCCATCTCAGCCTCCCAAGTAGCTGGGACTATGGGCAGATACCACCATACATGGATAATTAATTTTTTTTTTTTTTTTTGGTAGAGATGAAGTCTCACTTTGCTGTCCAGGGCGGTCTTGATATCCTGGGCTCAAGTGTTCCTCCTGCCTTGATTTCCCAAGTGCCAGGATTATAGGCATGTGCCACCACAGCTGGCCTAAAGTTTACTTTCTAAATAAGTATTTAGATATTTTAAAAATTATAATTCAACCCCACACTGACTTGATTTATATGGTAGGATCTAGTTATCTGGGAATCACTGGAATTCGTAAGAGGCCACTTATAATGAATACACTTAACGAATGGAAAAATGTTTGATTAGAACTTTATCTTGGAAAAGGAAACCCTGCCAAAAAGTTTATTTTATATCATATTTAGGGAAATTCAGGTTATATTTGCAACTATGCTCTAGTTGTGAGAATGAACACTGAATTTTCATACGTACACAAAAACATGTAAGCACACATTTCGTTCTATCAGCTTCATCGATAGCAAAACACATGCTGTTTTTAGAGATGTCAAAAGAGGAGCATTTTATGCATCTTAGAATCAATGAAACACACAGGACAGTGCAGCATCACTTAGTTTGACAAGTGCAACATAATCAAAAAGAGCATTTCTGTAAGCAGATGGGATATCTTCATCAAATTTCCCAGGATCTCTCTTTACGTTTTTTATAATCACCCTCTTTGATGTGCCGATCTTATCACCTTCTTTGTTAATTTTCTCTGCCTCCGTGTTTAACTGTGCTACCCTCAGCCAGATCCATATTTACCAAGGCTTTCCTCTGACACGTTCAAGAAGATCCCCACCACCATTCTCCTTGACTTGATAAAATTCCTGTTTTTGGCAGCAGGTGTAATTTTACTCCGTAAACTATTGTGTTTACGTTGTACTGTAGATGCTCCTAGAAATGACTGAGCACCAGAGAGAAAGAAGATGAAGGTGTCTGGCTGCTAGATGCACATCCCAGCTTTGAGCCCATAACCTCTGTCTCAGTTCTTCCATCTGTAAAAGGGGACTGCCACTAATGCTACCTAGCTCATATGGTGTTGTGAAGATAAAACAAGATAATGCACATGGAACAATCAGTCCCTGTTACATTGTGGCCCTCAGATAGTGCTGGCTATTATTCCAAGTGGGTTTAGACATCATGTTAAATGGAGAGGGATCTCTGAGTGCAGGACATTTTTATAAGAGCTCGGATGAATGATTAATGAATATTGTTGTCTCAGAACAACTTTAGCTTCCCTACAAAGCATCCTTACTGAGAGGGGCTTCAATGAACATTTTAGAAGCCATTAATTTTTGCAAAGATCTTGGAATAAAGCTTTTCCTAACATCTCTGAGCATACATTGAACTTCTGTAACTGTCGTTTATCAGGAAGCTTAAAGATCTGTACTAGGCTTTCTTTGAATCCAGGCCGATGTGTGTCTGCTCAGATAAAGTCATACAAGCAATTGCACTGATGGATACTGTTCAACGAAATGCCAGGCAGAGCAGAGGCACATGTTTGATTCAGGATGTAAAATCAGGAGTGGAATTCCAAATGAATGTGTAATATGTCCCATAATGGTGATTTTTTTTCAAATAAGGAGAGTTTCAAAGCTTGGGTGCAAATCCCCTTTTTTTATATCTAAGGCAAGGGACGTGCCTCTCAAAATTGCACAAAAACACAAAGTATATAAATGGAATCTTGAGAAAGTGATTGGAATTACAGGTGTCATCTGTATCCTCTCTTTGTTTTACTGAAAATAGACTCAACATTGTTACAGATTCACTTATTACACACACACACACACACACACACAAACACACAGAGATTACAGAAATTAAGAGAAGTATAAAAGATACCCATATTACAACCACTCAAATGAATAAATGTTAAGATTTTGTGGAATTATATCCAGTCTGTGTGTGTGTATGTTGGAGATTGGGGGATGGGGGACTTGCCTTTCCTTTAGTATGTTTTTTTCGATAAAAGTAAGTACTCCTAAAACCTAATTCCCAGTCCTATTCTTCTTGACTGTTCCTAGAGGTGACCACTCTCATGGGTTTAGTCTCTCTCTCTCCCTCTGGATATATATCCACACATATATATTTATACATGTGATTTATTAATACACAAACATACATATACAGAGATTAACATGATAATACTAAACATGGATTTGAACTGTAAACTCTATGGTAACAAAACTATCACTTTCGTCTTTTTATATACAGGGTTCTATATAAGATTTCACTTGAGGATAAAGGTCCTTTGCTTAGAAAGTTTGCAAACTCCTGAATTACAGCACCTCCAAGACTCTCCTCTGTCTAAATATGTGATTTGGTGCTGCCCGTCTGAACTCATTCCTGTTTTCTCTGTTGCTGCCTTCTCTCTCAGTTCCATGAACTCAAGCCTTGTCCTTCTTGTAAAACATCCATGGTGCCCTCCTGTGCACCCTTCACACCGGTTCTCTTTCCAGACTCAAGCATGCCATGAGATTTCTCCTTGCTCTGCTCAGTAGCTGTCCAGGAGGGTGCCCACTGACTCAGATGGCAGTTTCAGTTCCTGTCTCCTGTTAGGATGCCACCAGCTAACCAGAAGGGGTCTGTCCAGAAAGTCCTTTCCAAAAGCACTTTCAGTCCAGTTCAGAAGAAACCAAGGTTCTCTTGGTTTCACACAATCGTTCTCTACAGCTCGAGCTCCTTTGGAAAGGAAGGTTCTGAAAAACATGCCTGTAAAGATCTGGCTTCCTCCAAAATGAAATGAAACTTCGTATCAGGGGCTTCTGCAAAGCGCGATTTGATGTGCTATGCAAGCTGACAGCCAAACCCTGGCATTGCCTCCACATTTCAGCTCCATGTGAAAGGTGAGGCCCAGTGGAGCCTATGTGACTAGTCAATGGGCACTGAGAGGGTAAAGAGAGAGTGGCAAGATGACAGAGCCAAGGAGCTCCAAACAGCCAGGCACCCCAGCATCCCAGGAACACAGTTAGTCCCACATCTAATTGAAACCATGTGCAGGTTTGCTTACTTAGGCAAGAAAGAAGGGGACAAGGAAAGACAGAGTTCATTTTCAAATGAGGATCTGAAATGAAAAGGAATAAACCTGAACTGGCAAAGACTAATACCACTAATCACCATCTATAAATCTGCTTTTAAAAAATGTCATTAGGGGAATTCCGCTGATAAGGACAAATAGAAATGTTGGCTCAACTCATTTTATCTTGGTCCACATATGCCCAATCTGCCATATTTGCATTTATTTGGTATGATCATGGGACAATTTGTGGTCTCTTAAACTGTTCCTCCCTATTGGCTAATGAGTTTAATGTGTGGATAATTTTACTTCCCATCCCATAGATACCTCTCAGCATAAAGCATTAGGGGGTACCAGCATCTGCTCCTGTCTTACCGCCATTCAATCCCTAGAATCTCTTTTAATCAACTTGCTGGAGCTGTAAGCCCATCGTATACTTTTAAGTTGCCTCCTGGCTCCATCGGTCTGAGTGATGAAATAGGCATTTTTAATATTTGCTAAACAGGATTGTGGAGAAGGTGAAGTCCCAGCAGGGCTCCCAAGTGGTAACTGCATCTTGTTGTCTCCGGTTAATCATGTACCTAATCTGCCAATTATTGACTTGTTCTTGCAAAGGATTTTACTTGGCTTGACATATCAGTAGCAATCAGTGATGAACTGTCAAGCAAACTTGCTCACTGCCTTAACCGCCCAAGATTCTGACTTGCTGCAACTGCCTCTGAGATTTCCTTTGACACCTAGCACTGTAGCCAGGTCAGATTATTCTTTTTCTTCTGTCTGTTACCTTTCTAGAACCAGGGCTGAGCAAATCTGACACAGTTTGTAGGATTTCAGATATCTGGCAAGGCACATTAGGCTTCCACTGTACACATACCATCCCCATAAGAATTTGAGTTAGTAGGCTAAGAATGACTCAGATTGACTTTTTTTTTCTGTCTGTGTCTTTAAAAATGCAATGCATGAAGTCAAAACTGCTGCATTTAAAGCTCAATATATAATACCTACCTTTAAAATTGGCAAAGCTTTAGAAACAATAATATTACATTTATGCAAGTGTTCAAGTAAATAAAATGGGCGTTTCCACAATGCTGCTGGTGAGTAGCAGTGTAATTGGTACACATTTTCAGGACAATTTGGGAATATAAATAAAATCCTTAAGGGTTTATTTTCAAGAAAAGGATTGAGGATGCACACAAAGGCCACTAGGACAGGTCTCATAACGTTTTATGTTTAAGTCATTAGGGATCTTCATTGATATTTCTGGTGCTCCTTCCAGGGGACACCATCTGATGGTATGTCCTCCTCCACTAAAGTTATGATGTGACTGCTTTGGTTGATATAAGAAGTGCTTAAATGATATGTGTGACTTCCAAGCAGAGTTCTGTAGGAATTGGTACACAATTCTCCATCTACTCCTTTTCTTGTTCCTCATAGTAGAAGTTTCATAGGTCTGTGTCCTTGAATGAGGTTGACATTGAGCAAAGTTCTTGTTAACCTAAGAGGGACATGCGAAGCAGAGTTTTCTAACCTCAGCACTATTAGCACTTAAGCTAATGTTAATTCTTTGTGCTGGGGCTTCCCTGTGCACTGCAGGGTGTTTAGCAGCATCCTTGGCCTCTATCCACTAGGTACTAGTAGCAACCTCCTCACAGTGTGACAACCAGAACTATTTCCAGGCGTTGTAAAATGTTTCCAGGGTGGGAGTCGGGGAGGGCAAAATCACCCCTGTTTGAAAGCCACTAATGGTGTAGCATAAACAAGAAAAAAAAAAAAACCTTTGTTCTTTGAGGCTACCATTATTCTAGGTTCTTTTTTTTTTCACTGAAATGGATACATTTTATTATAACAAAAATAATATATAAACATTTAGCAAAAGGGGACTGCTTTCTATTAGGAGTGTTTTTACTTTTTTCTTTTGTTTCTCTGTTTGTAAAACTTTTCTGCAATGAAATGTAGTTTTTTCTTTAGAAAGAAGAAGAAACTAGAAATTAATTTATTAAAAAAATCTATATTTGTATAATTGCCTATCTACATACAGGATTTGCCAGGGCTACACATAAATTCTAAGTATAATAGAACACTCATATATCATAGCTTTCTATTGCGCTTTCGTTTACAAAGGGTTTTCCCATCTTACCTTTGTTGTTATTGTGTAATTACAACCAAGTATTGTGAAGCAGGTTACATAGGTAGAAAAGGAAACTGAAGTTAAGAGAAGTTAAGGGACGTGCTCAAGGTCCCCTGGTTAATGTGTGGCAGAGTCTACATTCTGGACATTTTCTCCTATGCAATGTTGTCTCTGTATCTCTATAAAAAGCCAGTTTCAAAAAGTCAGCTGGGACAGACTCTGATTCTTGGGAAATTTAAGCAGGTATGTAATATCCTTGGACAAGGATACTAAACCTTGTAGGCTCTTGGTCAGAGCATGGTACTCAATAAAATTTAAACAACTATTTCACGTAGCACAGCCAATAGAATTTCATATTCTACCCCCACCCCACCTCTTTCACTTTCTCTTTTTCCAGCTCAAATGAGTCACCTTGGCTAGACTGCCAATCCCCATAGAACTTATGTTCCTTGATAGGATATACCAATAAAAATGAGAAATTCTATAATAGTTCGAGACGTCAGTCGCCTATCCCCGCAAAGAGCTAAGCACTGTCTCCTTGAGGAAATGTAGTTCATCAAATGGACATGAATGCATGTAATGACAGCGAATGAATGTGAGAATACATACGGAGTCTTTTTCTTTCTTTCTTTCTTTTTGGAAAACAGTGCCCCTATATTGTACCTGTCTTGCGAATTTCTAAGCATCGGCACGGTGGCTTGCTTACTTGACCCCTCAACACACAGTGAACTTTCAAACTGGCAGCTGGACTGAAACCTCAGCACACATCAGCCCATGCCTATTCATTTCCCTTCCCTTGAAATGTGCGATGGGGCTGTCTCTGGAGTGGAGCTATTTTGAGAGGACAATCACTAGAACAATCACAGTCTAGGCAGGAGATGGACAGTGTGGCGTAGCCACAAAGGAAGAAAAGACATTGTCATTGAGGATTTGAGTCCTGAATGTCAGAACAGCAGGGAAGCCAGGTAGAGTATGCTTCTGCCTGCTGTCCACTACCACTCAGTTACAGAGAGTTACCAACTTGACTTGCCATGATCATTGGCTTTTCCATGATTCTGGTTTCCTGGAGCATGCAAGAGAAGGGGGCAAGCAGAGCTTTGGGGGTAATGTGGGGAAGAAGTAGTTTTCTTAGCAAAGCTCCTTGCATGCAACTGGTTGAGAGGCAAGTTATGCTCAGCGATGCCCAGATTCATGCTCACAGTTACCTCAATAATGCCGATCAGTGGATTTCACTACTGTAAATCCTTCATTTTGCTACAAGAGAATCAGTGGAGCCTGAAGGTCAAGGACACCACTTAACAATTTGCATAACTTCTTAGAACAGCACCTTGCAGCCTGTCCAGAAGCTACAGAAATGCACCAGGGATTCCTTTCAGCTGAACTCCTCTTCTTGTCTTGATGAGAATCTCTTTGACAAGCAGATATGATTTCTGTTATCAAGAGTTCTGCTTGGTCAGGGGCTGTGTTAACTCATCTCCAGATAATCAGTGTCTAGCCCTATAAATATTTTTTCTGGATGGATGGATGGATGGATGGATGGATGGAGGACTCACTGATTACCACATTACATATTGGTCCCTATAGCACGGGCTGTGTATGATCATAAAAACCTACACAGCTCAGCTCTCCCTGCTCAAAAAAGAAATAGTCCTTTTAGTTCTTATATTGATCATTTTAGGCTGTAAAGATGGGATTGCAAATCAGTTTCATCTTGAGAGCCAACAATGGTCGATTGATAGTGGCTGCCTTAAGAGTTATATGGGAGGTATGTGTGCACTGGGCTCAGTAAGGAAAAGTGCTGTCATTGATTAGCAATGTCTGCCATGAGCTAAAGGTAAAGAAATTGTAGCCTGACTACCTTGCATTTGCCAATGGGTTTTTTTATAGCTTTAAGTTCTTCCAATTGAATTTTCTAGATGAATTGCCTTTCCAACACATTTCAAAGTCAGCTTTGACTGGATATATGCATGTTTTGGGTTTTTTCCTAATGTACCTTATGTTCTTCCTGGATTTGAGGGCATACAAGGCAGGAAAAACCCACTGGTTTTTTCACAGGATATACAATTCTTATTGGAAAAGAAAACCAAACTAGGTAGGTGTTAATTTACCCCAGGTGTTATGTATAATAATAGAACTTCCACCACGACAAACTAAGGGAAGAATGAGAGAAAAAATAATGAAATCCATAATGTAATCCAATCTCTTCACTTCCAATGCTGTGAATAATCTCACTTTCATAGTGCCAAGGACTTCCCAAGGAACTTAGTACAGGGGAGCCACAGAGAAACATCTGCTGAATTTTAGTTTATGTTACATTATTCTTTTCATATATACTGAGATGTCTCCTAGTGATATTTTAACAAATTAATCCAATAACCAGAACATCTGAACAGAAAGTACCCAGTGATTAACCCCTAAACCTAGTAAAGCTGTTTTCATCAGGTTGGGATATTAGCATTTATTTTTTGGAGATAAAATTCATACGACACTGTGAATAACTGTAAGGTGGGTAGCTTTTGTGATTTTACAATGCTGTGGCTTGAGTGTATTCACTATGTTGGGTAAACCATCACCTCATTTCAGGCCATTACTATCACTACCCCCCAAAAACCCCGTGGCAGTTAGCCCCAATTCCCAGTTCCTGGCAACCACTAACCTCCTTTCTGTTTCTATGTATTTGCTTATTCTGGACAAAACACATAAACGGAATCATGCAATATGTGGCCTTTGGTATCTGGCTTCTTTCACTTTGCATAGTGTTTTTAAAGTTCATCCATGTTGTAGCATGTAACAATACTCCATTCCTTTCTATATCTGACTAATGGTACGGCTATATCGGATTTTGTTTAGCCACTCACCAGTTGGACATTTGGGTTGGTTCTACTGTTTGGCTATCATAAATAAGGCTATGATGAACACTGATACATACGTTTTTGTAAGAAAATGGTGTTTTCAATTTTCTCTGGGTATATACCTAGAAGTGGAATTGCTCAATCACATGGTAAGTCTACATTTAACTTTGTGAAAAACTGTCTCTTTTCCACAACAGCTGCACCATTTCACATTCCCACCAGCAATGTACAAGGGTTCTTATTTCTCCAAATTCTCGCCAACATTTTTATTGTCCATCTTTTAATTATAGGCATTGTAGTGGATGTGAAGTGGCATATATACACACACACATATATACGTATATATTTTTTTAAATGCTTGATTACATCAAACATGGTCATACCTGGGCATGAGATGGTGGAAGTCCTCTTCTTATGTAAACACCAAAGAGAGCGTCCTTCCCGAGGGAGATGTTGAACTTTAAGAACTGGGGCTGACTGATGTGAATTTGTGACCTCCAAAACACCCCTGGTGGGACTTCTTGTGTTACCCGCCGACCAACTTCTGCTTCACCACTGTCTATGCTGCTGTTTTTCAACGACCAGGGCACTGAAAAAAAAAAAAGGAATAAACAGCAGTCAATGACGTGTATAGATTAGTTGGCTCTATATTTGTTTAATTACATGCCAGGTTTTTTTTTGTTGTTGTTTTAATATTAAGATTAAACTCATGGCAAGTTTCTTTTTAAGTTACAGCTAAAACATTTAGGTTTCAAATAACAAAGCTATAAATGCACACCCCAGGGCATCCGAAATCTTGGCACAATGCTTTCTAAAATTATGTTATTACTCTTTACTGATCAAATATAATCAGATCTGGAGCCTGATAAATACATGTAAAGCTTCCAACTATCCCAAATGTGACTGGGATGTAAAACTTATCAGCAGGGGAGGGGAGGGTGATGTTAATTTGGCACCAAATTTAATTCTTGTAGCCTTTCATTATTCTTTCTAGACACAAATATACTCTGACATTTTCAACAAAAATCAGCCCAGAATAAATAAAACAACTCAGTAGAAAATGAAGACTTGAAACTCAAGCAGATCTTGAGTTAGAGGGAGAAGTCTAAGAGCCGCAGAGAAACAACATCTCTCCTTCATTTATATTAATGCATCTCTGTTGCATTATTTAAAATTGCTTATGTTGAAAATATTGGTTGCCCACACTCAGTATCCTTCAGAACTTTAATAATAGGAATTCCAAAAATATCTATTTTTAAAGTGGAGTTCTTAAAAACAATGAACCAGTCAGCACCCCCTATACTTCCAAGTGTGGTTTCCCTTGCAACCACAGAATTAAGGAAAAGCTGAGCGTGACTAGCAGTTGCCCAAGAAAAGCAAGTTAATCAATCTCTGAGAGCTTCATTTTCCTTATCTCTAAAATGGGGAAAAAAAGTCTCAGTATAAAGGCCATTTGTGATTCCTTCAAATCGATTCTGAACTTGCTAAGAAATATAAAATATTATTCTTCTATATTCCTAAGAACTGCTGAGCCAACTGAAATAAAACAGAAAGAACTGAGGTCATTCTTGTTTTGAGGGGAGTCTTTTCATTTCTGGAACCCCCGATCACTTTTGTGACCTTGTAGATCCAAAAATTTCTTCAGCCTGATGGGGCCAGGATGCTCCCCTCGACATTCTGTGAAGGACTAACTCTTCTAAAAATATTTATCTATCATTTGGCCACCAGATATTGCAAAGGTTTCAGATGATCCTGAGAAATGAGAAAATTGCTAAAGACTGGCCTAAACGGTGAGCGAGCCTGTCTGACACTGTCTCTTGGTCCCAGTTTCTCTATGTGTAAAATGGAGAGATGACACTTTTGGTCTCTGAAGGTCTTTCATGTCTAAATTATAAAAGAAAACCACAGAGTGATTTGAAGATATAAAGTTTTTCCCTCTTATTTTCTTTAAAATATGAGGTGATTGATTTTTATGCAGCTCAATACGAAGCCAGCAGGGACTTAAAATAAAGCAAGAGAAACACTGGTTTCGATCTTAAGAATAACCCTTTGACTTCTAGGATAATAAAAGTAGGGAATGAGGTCCGAAAGGAAGTTTGGAAGCCTCCTTCACATCTCATCTTTAAAAATAAAATAAACAGCCAGAAGTCCTGAGTGGTTCAGACCTTCAGATGGGGACTAGACGGTTTATTTAGCAAACATTCTGAACTTTTGTTTTGTTTTGTTTGTTTTTTTGAGACAGGGTCTCACTCTGTTGCCTAGGCTAGAGTGCAGTGGCACGATCTCAGCTCACTGCAGCCCTGACCTCCTGGGCTCAAGTGATCCTCCTGCCTCAGCCCCCCAAATTAGCTGGGACGATAGGCATGGACCACCATCCCTGTCTGCTTAAAGTTTTTTTCTTTTTTCTTTTTTTTTTTTTTTCGTAGAGACAAGGTGTCACTATGTTGCCCAGGCACTGGTCTCAAACTCTTGTTCTCAAGTGATTCTCCAGCTTTGGCCTCCCAAAATGCTGGGATTACCTCTGTGAGCCACCACACCCAGCATGAACTTTTAAATGTTGGCTAACTTTTCTAATGGATACTGATTACTTACCTGCAGGGGGAGGAATACGGCATCATGTTTAAGAGCAGAGACCCTGGGCTGAAATTGCCATGGCTCAAATCCTAACTTTGATACTGGCTAAATGTATCTTGCTCTGCTTCAGTGTCCTCATGTGTATAGATGGGACACTATTTATTTCACAGGATTGTTATAAGGTTTTACTGAGGTTAGGCTGTGTAAAGCTCTTAGAATAATTTCTGGCACAAAATAAGTATTATTACCTGTAAGGCCCTAACCCTAAATTAGGTGTTGTTTATTTGGGGGTTTTGCTAAAACAATGGCATGTCCAGGGGGAAACACTTGTTATCACAACAAGTTGATCAGGAGCTCTCATTACTATAAACTGGAAACTAAATTTTACTTTAAAATGCTGCATTTGATACCCCTTCCTTGGGGAAGGGATATAATAAAAAGGATATAAATAAAAAGAAGGAATATAATAATATAAAAAGGAGTAAGGAAGGGACATAGTAAGAGAGCCGCCTGGGGAAGAAGAGTGTGTGGGCCTCTGATAGGTACCAAAAGAAACCCCAGCAATCAGCATGGCAACAAGTTAAAGAAATGCATTATAAATAAAAAAAGAAAACTTTAAAAACATGATTCATCTTTAACTTAATAAGCTTGGCTTTCCTTTATGTCTGTTGGGCTTTCCGGCATTGCTGGGTTAATGACAGGATATGAAAAAGAGGCAGGAAATCAGCACCCACGAGTGTTCTAATCTACTGTGGAAACCTGAATGGATTGTGATATCAAGCCAGATGCAGATGCTGGAGATGTGCAAGGGAACTTGTCTCCAGGGAGCAGCTGTTCTGGAGAAATTCAGACAAGGAGCCCCAGTGCTTCTTATAGCAGTGAGGTCCTCTTCCTTATTACACCCTGGCCTCAGGACACTGACTAAATTAGCTCCCACTACCAGCCAGCACAGGCTACTTCCTCAGTAGTCACAGTGCCCCTTAGGGTTTTAGATCCTCGCTTCCTCATCCCATTCACTAAATAAGGGAGTGCACCTGGGGGATGAAGTACAGAAGTCAGATAGAACTGTGTTTGAATCCTGGCTCTGCTTCTTTTATGCTGTGTGACCTCTAGCAATTTGCTTAACCTCTCTGGATTTCCAGTCCTTTTTTTTTGTAAAATGGGAACAATAGTTCTAACTGCCTTGGAGGGTGTAACAAGTAGAAGCACACAAAAGAGAGATTAGTATAGTGCCTAACATGAAATAATCATGAAATAATTGCTAAGTTCTTACATGGAATGAAAAAAAGGATGAAAAACTATGTGGGAAAGCATCTGGCTTTCTTTGCAGAGTAAGGAATTCTCTAAGAGACAAAAAATAGTGTGGGCACATGCAATATACATGAATGTCTAAATGTCTATTTGTATATATCTAGCTCTCTATCAAGAGTCTTATTTTTCTGGAATAGATTCATTTATGGGGACAAGCTTAAAACTGGGAGTCAGGGCCTGGTTCAGGTCAAGTGCACCTTCACACTAAAGTTCTACTTTCCTTTACAATACCACCCCAACCACTGTCCTCAGCCAGACAAAATTGTTTTCTCTGTGTTTCTATAGCAATTATGCTTTTCTGCAGCCCACAGCAGATGTTGTTAGGTATTGTACTTGATTTTGCATGCCTTCCTAAGTCTCTGTCTCTGGACACTGTGCTCCCTGAGGTCAGGCAGAGATGCAGATTCATCTCTAGGTTCTCTAAGCTTTGCACCTGGCAAATGTAAGTGATCTATAAATGCTTATTGAACTGGATCAAACTCTACAAATCCATCTGGTGGGGTATTGTAACAAAACCCCTGTGATGACAGGGTAAAGTGAGAGCCTTAACAAAGATTTACTTTGAAAATCTACATGTGTAAGGAAAATGGATGTGCTGCGGTCTAGGCCGAGGGAGACATCCTGTCACGCATAACTCAGCAAGTTTGGAGCACAGGCGCACAACTCCGCTCATTATGTAATTATGCCATGTGAGGCGCATTAGGTAACCACTCATGTGAGCTTGTGCTTGGCTGGGAGCCACTATTGTCTGTAAAAGGTATAACTACCCTGCTGATGCTGTACATCCAGCTTGCAACCAGGCTCGCACCCAGGCTCACTCATGCCCAGAGAGAGAGAGAGAGTAAAGCCATATTGAAACTGTCTATGATTCTTTGAGGGTTTTTCCAGCTACCCACCACTCTCCCACCGACTCCCCTCAGACCTCAGTTAGAACCTGACAACATGTAAACTGAATTTTATTTATTAAATAAAATAAAATTTTAGAAGCTCTATATGAAATTTACTATTGAAATAACTTTTCTTGTGGATCCTTTTGAAGAGTCATGAGCAAATGCTTAATTTGCCTTTTGTGTAAAATCTTAACAATAAACAAACAAACAAACAAACTGGGAGAGGTGTGATATGGTGAGAAAATCCTTAGATTAAGAACCAAAAGTCAAGAGTCCTAGTCATGACTTAATGACTTCGAAATGTTTGTGGAAGGAACAGGTGTAAATGAATGATTATGTTGAATTTCCATCCTTGTTACTAAGCAGCTAGCTAGTTTTAGGCAGGTGTATTTCTCAAAGTCTCAATGTCCATATCTATATTAGAGTGTCTCAGACCCAAAGATATCTTAAATGGCATTCCTTATTAGCCTATTGTGGTCTCAGAGTGGGTCAGGAGGATCATTGCTGGGTATATGCTATGAAGAAGTGTGAGTGTGAGTGAGTGTGTGTGTGTGTGTGTGTGTTGGGCGAGGCGACAGGGGTAGGGGGTCAGCAGGAGGGAGGAGGAGTTATTAGAAAGCTTTTAGGCTTGTTAACAGGTGACTTCACTTTCACAAGCTCGATTTATTTAACAGAAGATATCCATATTGTTAAACAAGCTAGTGTTTGCTTTCAAATTAAGTTCTTCAGGTGTGTAACTGAATTACACTTTTGGAAAGAGGGGTTTTCACTTTTTACTCATATATATGTACATATATAGATTTTTTTACACACATTCTTTCTCTCTATATATATACAGTCATGAGTCACTTAACAACAGGGATACATTCTGAGAAATGTACTCTTAGGCAATTTCATAGTGGTGTGAGTATACTCACACAAATCTAGATGGTGTAGCTTACTACATACCTAGGCTATATGGTATACCCTATTGCTCCTAGGTTACAAACATGTACAGCATGTTACTATATTGAATACTGTAGGCAACTGTAACTCAGTGGTACTTGTGTATCTAAACATAGAAAAGACACAGTAAAAAAATATGGTATAAGAGATAAAAAATGAATGGTACACCTGTATAGGACACGTACCATGAATGGAATTTGCAGGACTGGAAGTTGCTTTGTTTAAGTCAGTGAGTGAGTGGTGAGTGAAAGTGAAGGGCTAGGACATTACTGTATGCTACTTTTGACCTTGTAAATACTGTAGACTTAGGCTACACTAACTTAATAAAAAAAGTAACTATACTATAACATTTGGACAGCTAAGATGTCACTAGGTGATAGGAATTTTTCAGCTCCATTATAATCTTATGAGACCAGTACTGAATATCTGGCCAATCATTGGCTGAAACACTGTTTTGCCATGCATGACTGTAATCTATAGGCCTTATTCAAATTTGTCAATTGTTAGAGAAATATTCATGATAGCAAAAGAAAAGTTTTTTATATACTTTTTAAAAATCTTGAAAATGAGTGTGTATAACTTTTGTAATTTTAAAAACAATGAAAAAGAGAAAAATGTACAAATACTGCCTCCAAAGAGATAAAAAGAAAAGGTGTTTTTCTGTAAATTGCTGCAGCCAGCATGGGGAACCATCTCAGTGACTCTATTCCTGGAGGTCAAATTTCTGGGCCGATGTCCAGGAGGACAGATCTCTGTTGTTCTCTAAGGTCAAAAAGAACAGCATCAAAGCCAGGCTGAGTTCCATGAAGAAGGACTTGAAGCTGGGCTTCCCTGAGCCATGCCAGCTGTTCCAGGACCACCAATATGGTGAGTCCCTCACAAGACATCACTGAGAGGCAGACAGCAAGGAAACAAAGTAGTTAAGATTTTTATCTTTATCTTAAAATGTCTAATGCCTAGCTAGACATTTTAAGGTCTAGCTGAATATCCTATTGAGAAGTTCTGAGACCTTAAGGAGGCAATGTTGCCCAGTGGAGCTAGTCAGCCTGGGTTTGAATCCCAGCTCTGATAGCTACCAGCTGTGTGCCTTTGGGCTAATCAAAAGCCCTCTCTGAGTCTGTCTACTCATCTGTATTTTGGGGTGCTTCTGCATGTTGTACCTAAATTGTAGGTGCTCTACGTCCTTCTGTCCTGTCTGTTGTGATGCTACCTAAAATCAGCTGTAAGTACTTTTTTTCAGTTGCGGGGGGTGAATTTGTGATGGCCTAATAAAAAATACAGGCTGCCTGCTGTAGGCACTATTAATGAAAGAGGGCCAATGGGTGGAGTAGCCCTTAATAAAACTGGCAGTCATTTTCCAGAGCAGCTGAAATCAATATACAGTGAGTGACCAGTACATCTGCAGACTGGGAGGGGCAGACAACAGGTCACATGTATTAAGATACGATGGTCAGAGAAAACTGCATCACCAGTTCATTCTCTGCAAATTGCTGGTGTTGGTGTGTGGTCTAGCTGCTTCTCACATGGGCAACTCTGTGCAGTCTGCGTTATTGAAAAGCAGCCAGATTTTATTTATTTAACAATGATTAAGAAATGTCCTAAGCAATGTTGGGTGGGCCATTCATTCATACTTCCATGCAATAAATATTTATCAAGCATTGACTATAACAGTAGGTATTCTTTGGTCAACATCAGAGTTGGGGTGTATGTTGTATTCCCATTATCTCTTATCTAGGCAGCCTGTTGTCCAGCGTCCTATGAATTCACTTTGAGATTGAATTAGGGGCATCAAGAGAAGAGGCATTAAACAGCATCCTGTAATCATTCTGTGAGGATCTCACTGGTATCCTTGGGTTCTAGGCAATGACTAGGCCTGGCACCCTGGCATGCAGGAACCAGTCCAGTTCATGTCTCCCAGAGTTGGGGCTTCCATGGCAAACCTTTCAGTCTATCCAAGAGCTGCACAATGAAAAGTGTCATGATGATCATTTTGCCCTAAGAAGCACGTGCTTAAGATACAATTGTTCTGGCTAGTTCATCTTTAGCTTAGAGATGAGATTTCTGGGTTTTTAGAGGCAACATTCTAATGATCAATTTTACAGGATAGTCCAACTCTATAACTCCACGGAAGATTGCTCATGTAAATGTGAAACTATTACCTATTTCTGAAATATGTACCTAAAATTTCAACCAGTTAAACACGACTGATGTTGAGCAAAATGACAGCCTTCCATAGCTACATTAGGAGCTAATCATTTCAGAAAATGTTGCCATAATTCATTTACAGAAACAGTGAAACTATTCCCCAAACAAGTGATAAAGGGAATGGACTCATAGTCATACCAGGGAAATGAAGCCTCATATTAATACTTCCTAACTTAACCGAACTCTGGAGGCACCTCAGCATAAATCTGCCTTGCAGATTATTCTGCCTCACATATTTTTATCTATTGCAAATAAAATTGAATTCAGAATATTGCTACAGTCATTACACCTCGTTTCCATTTATTTGGGAATCAGGACAACCATCTGAGGGTTCTGTTTAACCAACAGATAAGTGAAAAGATTCTTCCAAGGACCTTAGATTGACTGCCCAAGAATACAGCTCAGCTGAGACATCAGCAACCCATCAGCCTTCACCCTGCTGCTGGCTGGCTATACTTTAGGAATGCAATTACATCCTGAAAGTCACTGCTTCTGTGATGGTGTTCACAACATCACACAATAATGACTTTTAGAAAATGTTTCAGCTCTTGGGACTACATGTGGCTTTTACATCTTTTGAAATTTCAATTTGTTGCTTTAGATAAAAATAGTCAACTCTTTGCCGCTAGGAACGTTAACAAGTATTTATACCTATGACTCTTCAGATGAACTTGCTCCTGCATTAATATTTAGTTTAGTTTACTATTATTGATAGTAGCTAAAATTTATTGAGTGGCTGCTAATCACCATGTAATCTCCTGATACTCTTACAATTTTTCCTGTTTTTCAGATGAGAGAACTGAGGTTCATGGAAGATAAGTGACTTGCTTAGGGTCACCCAGCTTTTTACTGGTAGATCTATGATCAAAACCCACGTCTGACAGACACTAAAACCCATGTGGCTAACCCCTATGCTGACTGCATTCAGGCCCACAGTCATCCCTTGGTATCCACAGGGTATGGATTCCAGGACCCCTGTGGATACCAAAATCTGTAAATGCTCAAGCTCTTTATATAAAATGGTGTAGTATTTTCACATAACCCATGTATGTCCTCCTCTATAATTCACATTATCTCTAGATTACTTATAATACCTAATACAATGTAGATGCTATGTAAATAGTTGTTATACTATCATTTTTATTTGCATTTTGTGTATTATTATTATTCCAAATATTTTCAATCTGAGGTTGGTTGAATCTGTGGATACCCGTGGGTATGAAGGGCCAACATATCAGAGGTATACCACAGGTACATATTTAGAGATCATAGACCAGATATCTGGGTGTACAAGTCAATTCTGAAAGAGAAGTGTGGCCAGTGAGGATATGGGCAAATGCACAGAAAGGGAAATTGGATCTCATTATTAATGCCCATGTCAAGCCACCATGATGCTATGTACAACAGAAACTATGCAATTTAGAATGGGGCTATGGGTGGCAATCAAAAGCAAAAGTCCACCAGTATAAGTGCATGTAAGTAGTACCCATCTGCAACAATGTAGAACAGCATGGCCTCCTAAATGAGGGGAGTTGTTGGGTTGGTAGTTAGGATGTTGGTATATTTGCCAGTAGACGTGCAGTAAAGGGGTGTTTGGCTCAAACATAATGACCCTTTGCCCTTCTGGGAACTTCACCGACTTTGGAAAAGCCCCATATAGGGAAGTGATCATTTTAAAACCCTGGGCTGTGTTCATTGAGAGGCTGATGAGAGCCAGCGGAAGAATTTACGAACCTCCCTGCTAATCTGGCTCCTAGTACCACGCATTAAGCCAACTAGTAAAAATCATTATGAAGTTTCTGCTGAAAGGGCAAGTGTAGAAAAACATGTTTCTAAACAGAATAACAGTCTTTGCCATTTTTTTCCAACTTGCATACCATCTGGAAATTCTAATTTTTTTTTTCAAAGGGTAGGAAGGAAATGTGCTCCAGGCACAAATAAATGTTTACAGCTGAGTTATAAACCGAGAATGGTAGGGCTTAAAACAGACAGGCTGGCAATGATGGAACTCAAGCTCCAGTGAGACAAATAATGCAGTGTGGAGGGGCCAACTTGGTGTACACATTGGCCCTTTGGAATAGGAAGACCTGCTTCCTACTGACCTCATCAAGCCAATGTTGGGAAGAAATCCTCATCTGGGGTTTGGTTAATTCTTAGAAGGTAAAGGAAAAAGGTGAAGTGGTATTGTCTATCTTCATATTCTGAAGGCCGTCTTCACCTTTGTTTTATTTTATATATATACATATATATGTGTGTATATGTGTGTGTGTATATATATATATACACATACATACACATATATATGTGTGTGTGTGTGGGTGTGTGTATATATGGACACAGAGTCTCGCTCTGTTGCCCAGGCTGGAGTGCAGTGGCATGATCTCAGCTCACTGCAAGCTCCGCCTCCTGGGTTCACGCCATTCTCCTGCCTCAGCCTCCCGAGTAGCTGGGACTACAGGCACCCACCACCCCGCCTGGCTAACTTTTTTTTTGTATTTTTAGTAGAGACGGGGTCTCACCATGTTAGCCAGGATGGTCTTGATCTCCTGAGCTCGTGATCGGCTTCCCAAAGTGCTGGGATTACAGGCATGAGCCACTGCACCTGGCCTATTTTTATATTTTTAAAAATAGGGATGAGGTCTCACTTTGTTGCCCAGGCTGGTCTCGACCTCCTGGCCTTAAGTGATCCTCTCACTTTCGCATCCCAAAGTGTTGGGATTACAGGCGTGAGCCACTGCACCTGGTTGGTCTTCACCTTTGGAAAATATAGCCTCTCAAAAGATGTGACAGGCCATGGAAACTTGTTAAATGGACCAGCTGAGAGATGTAAAGATGACATCAGTTTCAACAACTAAGACTCGTGGATCATTTATTACATGCCTGATGCCACATGCAATGTTTTACAAGGGTCATCTCATTTATGATGGACAGCAAGCTTATGAGGGAGTTGCATTTCACAGATGAGGAACTGGAGGTTGGGAGAGAACAAATGACCCACTTACAGTCATACAGTTGCTAAGTGATGGAGCTGGTGTTTGTATCCACCAGACCAACTCCAAAATCCTATATTATAGTGCATCTTCCAATGCAAAGTTACCAAGAATATATTATAACTAGGGCTTGGTCAAGTAGGAAGAAGTGATGTATTGGGAGTTTGATCTTCCTCTTCTGGACTCCTATAACTTGGATAGTTATAGGAAAAGTTCTAGAAAAGTGGAAATGGGATTGGCAATGATACAGAGTGGCCATCAAACTTTTTATTTTTTTTAAAGGGTCAGATGGTGAATATTTTAGGCTTTTTGGGCCATATAGTCTCTGTTGCACCCACTCAATTCCACCATTTTATTCTGAAAGTAGCCATAGACAACAGGTAATAGTCATGGTGGTGTTCCATTAAAACTTGATTTATAAAAACAGGCAGCTGGCCAGATTTGGTCCATGAGATGTAGTTTGCTGACCCCTGATATAGAGGACAACTTGAATCTAAAATGAGTGATAGGTTTTGAGAATGATCCATGCAATTCTATACTTGATAGTTTATTCTTTCTTAAAATCTGTGCACAAATTGGGTACGTATGATGCGCCCTTTAAAATCTCTTGTATGCTTTCCCTGGGCCTGGCCAATCAAACTGAATTCCCTTATGTTATCTGACCAGGTCAGAATACTGTATTGAATCGTCTTTCTCAAGGCTTATCTAATCCCAGATCTACAGAGAAAGTTCTCCATGCCCTTGTAATGAAGATGTATGAGTTCATTCCTTTTAACATAGAAATACACACAAGATGGTGAGTGATTCTGGCAGACTGTGTGTTCCCTCTTCTTGATGTGAAAGCCAGCAACAATTCATGTTAAGGTTTAATTGAAGGAGAGTGGAAGAAAGAAAAATAAGACTCGAACAACAACAAATGGAAAACGGAAAGGCAAAGACCAAAGAATGTACTCTCCCAACTAATTAATCAAGTGCTTTGTTTCCACCAACATATCAGAGTGTGTAGGCTGCCCTGTCTATTAGACTTGTTCCCAAACCTGAGGAATGTAAATACTCCTAAAGACCAGGTAATGAAATCTCTATCGATGTGCCATCTTAGATGGGACTCACATGCCTGTGTTTTGCTTACATTTAATTTGCTTCTGCTGGATACTTATCCAGTAATTGCTTAATGAGATTATCCTCCTTGGCAATGTGTGGTGTATCTTGGTTAAAACATTGGAGTGAAGGAATATCCTACACCAAAAAAAGGAGGCGGTGTTATTTAATTAACTTATTGCCAATATATCTTGATTGTCTCTTTGAAACACTGGAAAAGAAGTCGATTGGAATTGATTCAGGTTATCTAAATGTATAGAATTGGGGAATGGGGAGCGCGGAGGTCACTGGGTATACAAATTCAAACCCAAGGTCACTTTTGATAAAAGAAATAGGCATGGGTGAGAGAACTGAAAACATTTTAGTCATTTTATAAGCCAAACCTTAAAACCACTTAAGAAGAGATCTGATCTCTTTTTAAGTTTCAAATTTTATTTCATCTCTAAGCAATTTTAAATTCTCACACTTTTTTCTTGAGTATTCTATTGACAAAATTCACTGGACAATGATTTGGCAAACATTTTGTCTGTCTCTGCTGGGCACAGTGGCTCATGCCTGTAATCCCAGCACTTTGGGGGGCCGAGATGGGAGGATTGCCTGAGCTCAGGAGTTTGCAACCAGCCTGGGCAACATGGTGAAACTCCGTCTCCACTAAAATACAAAAAATTAGCCAGGCGTGGTGGCACATGCCTGTAGTCCCAGCCACTCTGGAGGCTGAGGCAGGAGAATTGCTTGAACCGGGGAGGTGGAGGTTGCAGTGAGCCGAGATTGCATCACTGCACTCCAGCCTAGGTGACAGAGTGAGACTCTGTCTCAAACAAAACAAAACAAAAAAACAAAATAACATTTTGTCTGTCACATAACTTATTTGGAAAATATCTGAACTAGTAATGTTATATGACTTCTACAACAACATTTTCAAAAGCATGTTGCACAGGAGGGGAAAAATTCTGGTCTTTCCAAAGACACAATGGAAAGTGTTTCTTCATTTGTTAATTTAGAGACGCATACTCTTGTACTCTTAAGATTTGTTCTATGGGTGTGGGATGCAAAAGCTGGTGGGGAGCAGAGGTAGAAATAGAGGCTTATCACAAATGGGAGGAGTGCTTGATCTTGACCTTAATTTACGGAGGCCAGTAGAGATCACTAATTCCCATTTATGAAGGACACTACTCGAAAAGCATTGGCATATAATTTCAGAATGTATACACATATAAACAATTTCTCTGTGCCCAATGATAGAATATGCATATTCATTTCACATGTGTGTTATGCATTCTTCTGAAGGGATGAGGTGCTGACTTGTAGATTAAAGGACATTTATGGATAAAACGTGACGGAGACCCCATAAAGTGGAGTTTCCAAGGGCAGCACTATTGTCATCTTGAAAGGAGATAATTCTTCATCACAGGGGGCTGTCCTGTGTATTATAGGTTGTTTAACAGCATCTCTGACCCCTATCCACTAGATGCCTGCCATGCCCCTTCCAACTGTGACAATCAAAATAGTCTTTAGACATTGCCAAATGTCCTCTAGGGGTGCAAAAATGCTATGACTAAGAACCATTGCCCTAGATAAAACTGAAGGAGCAGACAGTGTCAAGTACTGGAGGTGACCAGGTTTCAAATCTGAGGTCAATACATTTGGCTCTGGGCTTTTTGGTCAGTTAAGGCAGAACATGGTCAGTTAAGGCAAAATATACTTTTCAGTTTTAGGTCTAGTTTAACTTACCCGATTATGGAAAGCATATAATTTCATCCTCAGATAAAACTTTTTCATGCTTACTTAAAGGTAATTTAGTGTTATGATTATGACAGATGAGTACAGCGATTCTTAAAGACTGGATAAAAAGACAAAAAAGTCATCCTCAAAGCATTAGGACAGCTCTGGGGAGGATAATTGAAGCAGCATTAGCATCTCAGGATGACTAATGTGCACCTCTGGGGGCAGATGAATTCTGGAATCTTCTTTGTGGAAAATGACTGCTTGAAGGAAAGCTCCAACCTCCTGCCCAAAGATGCACAGGGCACAACTCTGAGTCCAAATTTGTACCTATTTGAGTAAGTTTCTATACCTTCTGGTCCTGAGTTTCTCAGAGAGATTTTTCCTTCCTTTAAAGTTGTTAAAGTTATACAATGCTAAGCCTGGCATGCAATAGGTGCCTAATAAATGCTGCTTCCTTTCCCTTCTTTGAAATATCCCTGTAGGGTGTTTCCGAAATGTGGGGGTGAAGTGGCTATAGATGCTAAAAGGCAGAATGGAAATTTGCATGTTGGAGAAATCCTTTAATACAATCTCTCCCTTGCGATTTCCATCCCGAATTAAGCATATCTCACTGCGTGCCAGCCTGGCTAACCATTCCATTGGCTGCTCTGTCTTAATTGCTCCAGTCTCCCCCACCCCCACCCTATGGTTCTGTTTTCTCTCCTCCTTCTTAGCACCTTGTTAGCACCTTTTTTTTTCCCTTCAAGGATACAGTTGCCTGATTGCTTCAATAAACATTTCTATTGTCCCCTTCACTGTTCTGAGAAGAGAAGCTTTGTTGCCGAGTTGTCAAAACTCCTTTCTATTCTCCCCCAAAGCACAGCAGCTCTGAGCCTTTCTCTTTCATGCCAAGCCAGGCAGCTTCCTCCCCAGGGAGGCTGCATGTCTCCTGGGAGAGGGACCCAGTCTGATGGCATGTGCTGCCTGCTGCTCTCTGCCTTCTGATTAGGCAGGACTTTCTCCTGCTGCTGCTGCTGCTGCTGCTGCCACTCCAGCTGCTGCTGTGGCTGCTGTTTCTGCACAGGCCCTGGGATGCTTTCAAGTAGCTCTGGACCATGCCAGTTGCTGCAGATAGCATAGGTATGCACATTGCTCTGAGCAGGCACTGTGCCAGCTCTGAGTGATCCAGCCAAACACAGCTAACAGACAGGAACAGCAAACAGCTTTTAATGGGGGCACCTATGAAAGGCAATGATTTTTCCCCCCGTTTCTTTTTCTTTTGGCATACCTTCCAAGATTTGGATTAGAAAACCTGAACCAGCTGGCGAGAGCTCAGAATTTTCCTGTGACCTCAAGAGGGCAAGCAGCAGCTGTAACCTCACCTTTGCCTCCAGATGGCATTGTTGCCACATCATCGTTTCCTGGTAAGCCGGTCCTTATCCCATTGTTAAAGGTGTGCCCATCTGCAGGCTGGAGTTGCCAATTGAGTCCGAGCAGATGCATTGCTGCAGGAGAGACAAAGTAATGAAAATATGAATAGATAATTCAGCAATGCAAATGTCAAGGGGGAGGGCCAGGTGCCCTTTTCCAAGCGATTGCCTTTTGAGGAAGCTGCGTCAAAAATGGCTTGCCCCAGGCCACAGGGATTAGCTAAATACAGAAAGCAGAGACCTGGGTGGTTAGGTCTCCCCTTCTGGCGCTGCTGCTCACAGTCTCAGGGGGAGAGGATCCCTTACAGTGAGCGGAGGAGGGAGGAGAAAACACAGCCCAGATCTTCCAAACGGTGCCACCATGGAGGGGAAAATGGCCCTTTCGAATCACTGTAAAGAGTGCTGCTCTACCACATCCATCCTTTTCTACACTCTGGACACAGTTGCTTTTAGACTGTTAGTCTAGGGGCATTGACAAGGATTGTTTCCCCAAACTATACACTCACAAGTAAATCAGCTTCAAAGGAGGCTACCCGAATAGTACCTGTTTGCTGGTACCT
This sequence comes from Homo sapiens, assembly GCF_000001405.40. Lineage (NCBI taxonomy): Eukaryota > Metazoa > Chordata > Mammalia > Primates > Hominidae > Homo > Homo sapiens. Next base: position 168,046,941 of record NC_000005.10, on the reverse strand, counting down.
GTTTGCTGGTACCTGCTCTGAACTATCAGTGCAGCCAGCAGCATCTATAGTGGTACTGGCCCACCTCCCTAACTATTTCAAACTTTTAGAATATTTTTCCTTTCCACTCCTCTTCATGATGAGTGGATACCTTTCAGCACATTGTAGAAAAAGCTTGGGGGGTTGATGGTGGAATGGGGTCCTTTTCTGAAAACATTACTATTCTTTCTGTCTCTGTCGCTCTCACTTTAGCAGAGTATGGAATGAAACAGAGTTCTGAAATACTGCCTGTTCTTTGCTAAGGAACTGAGCACGTCTGAAGAAGTCTTGACTCCCATGGGCACCCCAGGCCTCCAAACAAACTTCTGGTCTTCCTTGTCATCCTGCCTGTGTCAACTCCCCACCATGAGTTTAGCAAACTTAACACAACCCTATCCCTGATGGTTCTTGGTGAGTTTTTTCTACTGAGTGGAATGAAAAGCAAACCCTAAACACCTGTATTCTTTCAAAGCCCTTATCTAAGAGATGCTTCCTTTGAGAATAAGTAAGGAATTTATTCCCCTGCATGTCTCTCATCCAAACGATGTCTGGCATTTCCACTGGACACAGGTTGACACTGTTGCTACATTCCTACCACCGCAGGAGAGAAAGGGCTGTTGACAGGGAGACGTTTGGAGTCTGATGTGGGGATGGGAGAAACAATTATCTGCAGGGAACACAATTAACAATGCTTAGGAAATTGTTCACACAGCAATTAATTCTGCATGCCTACCACCACGTAAAGTCAGACTGCATTCTATTAAGGTTAAAAACCTATCTTCAAACAATACAGCTCAGATTGATGGCCACAGATGAAGGTGGCAAGGTGTCCGTGTGTGTGTGGGTGTGTCTGCTTTTCACTTACACTCTTCTCCATCTTAGAACCATGTTTTCTTTCCTCTAAAGTGAAAGGCCCACTGTTACAACTTCTTGAGATGATAAATAGTAATAAGAGTAAGTGACATTTACTGTACACTTTCCATCAAGGTAACACCTAATTTTCTCCTGCAGTTTGTCCGTTATATGTAGGTCACTCACTTGAAGAGACCAGATTCCATTGCCTCAAATAATGACATATTTTCACTATACAGAGGTCAGGAAATGAGAACTAATCATGGTGGCTTCAAGATAACGATAGCTTCTGATTTGTAATTACCAGGTGAAGGGAGCCAAGGAATTAGCTATTTTAAAATAATTTTTTAAAAAAATGATACTATTGGGTTATTGAAGCTCGCCTTGGGCCAGCTGCAGCTGCACTGGAGGTGCGGTTCTTTCAAGGAGGGTCTTAAGACAGACACTGGCAGGTACTGCAGGTGCCGCTGGAACCCAGGCCTAACAAAGCTTTGATTTCACGTCTATGGAAGGAGTGGTGGGTCCCATCAGGCAAAGATGACAACCTCCCCAACATCCCATCTCAAACTCTTGTCAAAACTGCTCTGCTCTTATAGCACTCAATCTTGCCACTGTAAGGTGCAGAACATATTGCAACCATCAGCTTTGGGAGAAAAGGAAGCAAACAATCCCCTAATGTTACTGAACAGGAAGAGACATCCCTGCAACTGTGTTTCCTCTGTTTCCAAGGATGCCTTCCCTCTTGCCTCCCCTTCCCACCTTTTTCTTTGTTTTGGGTTCCATGGCATCTTTTTATTTTTATTTTTTAAAAGTATCCTGAAAATAAGAAAACTACAGATGAGGTGGAAAGGGTTAGGGTCAGAGTACACCAGTAACTTCTCAGACAACTCCCAGGAGTGAGAAGAAAAATAAGAAAGTGAGATGGAGGTGGAGAAGGGGAAAAGCCAAATCTGCTGAACATGAGACCTGTCCTTCCAAAAGAAGCAATGCAACAAAAATGAAACTCAAGTTTGGGCATATTTTCTGTTGTTGAACTGAACATTAAGTAAATAAGTGAGAATTATATCTGGGGTATAACCACCTTCTCTTGTTTTTTGGGAGCGTCTGAAATAGGTTTTTGTTGGCACTTTTTTTTTTTTTTAATCAGCCATTCTTTCTCTCTCACTTGAGTAAGAAAACGAGATGCTCTCTCTGGCCGGTGGGGAGGGACTAAAGTGTCCTTAGGATAAAGACCCCAGGGAGCTGTGAAGTAAATGAGTTTCCTGACTAATGAGAGCCCTATTTCTTATTCTGCTACTGATTTGCTCTATGGCTTGGGCTGAGAAATCAGTCTCTCAATCAATCTCTCCCTTTACCTTTCATAAAGGTTTCCCTGTACAGGTAGAATAATGGCTCCTTAAGGGCCACAGAGAGGTTACACATCTGCAACCCCCAAAAGATCTGACAGTGTCTTGAATATAAATGGCACTCCATCAATATTTATTAGAATAGATAATGATACACGGGGGGCAGATTTGGGGGGTTGGATTGTAGGATGTTATATGCTTATAAATTAAAAAACACATAATCAGAGGCATAGAAGATGGGATAAAACAGTGCTGGTAGCAATATGGACTAGTTTGCAAAGGGAAGGATATTTTAATCATCAGCATATCAACACCTGCTGCCAATCATTGAACCTTTTCTTTTAGTGCAGTGGCGCTATCTAGGCTCACTGCAAGCTCTGCCTCCTGGGTTCAGGCCATTCTCTTGCCTCACCCTCCCGAGTATCTGGGACTACAGGCGCCCGCATGCTTGGCTAATTTTGTTTTTGTATTTTTAGTAGAGACGGGGTTTCACCGTGTTAGCCAGGATGGTTTTGATCTCCTGACCTCGTGATCCACCCACCTCGGCCTCCCAAAGTGCTGGGATTACAGGCGTGAGCCACCGCGCCCCACCATCATTGAACCTTTTCTATAGCCAGGTACCATAGTAGACATTCTAAAGGCATTATCTTAAGACTCACAGGTAGGTACTATTATCAACCCCATTTCACAGATGAGGAAACTATTGACTGTGAAGTTTGAGAACAGGGATTTCAGAATCAGAAGGAAATTACTGTGGGAGGTGGCTATCTGCTTCATATTTCATAGTGATCTGGTTACAGATTCTATGGGTAATGGAGTCTCAGCAAACCTCTTCTTTGTTTCAAAACTCATAATAATCTCATTGGGGTTGGTGAATGACCACACCCCTTCCCGAGAGGGGTTAGATTTCTTTATACTGTTGAATTCAGCACATACTTTATCACATAGCCATTCTGGGTCTTCAGTGAAGATGACGTGGGCTACAGCCATGGCTGACCAGTGATAGAATACAGCATGTATGAAGACATGAACTGTTACTGTTATAAGCCACTGAGAGTTTGGGATTGTTTGTTACAGCAGCCTGTCTGAGGCTAGCTTGACTGATACTTTCACCTATAAGGAAACTAGGAAATGGCATTTTTATACAGCAAATCTCTGTGCATCCCTTTAGGTTTTATTGGGTTAAGGTCCTTTCTGAAACTCAGCCAGAGAGAATTAGCACATACTTTGGGCCACTATATTTGCTTCTATGAACAACAACAAAAAACAGCACTGTAAATGTGATATCATCATACCTCCAATTTTAATTTACTCTCAGAACCAGACTTAGAAAGCTGAGCTGGATGGGGTGGCTCACGCCTATAATCCCAGTGCTTTGGGAGATTGAGGCAAGAGGATTGCCTGAGGCCAGGTGTTCAAGACCAGCCTGTGTAACATAGGAAGACCCTATCTCTACCAAAAATTTAATTAGTTAAAAAAAAAAAAAGAAAGCTGAGAAACCTCAGAGTAGCCAGAGTTATTGCTGCTTCATCTCAAGATTTCAAATAAATGCTGGTCTCCTCAAGAGATCCTGGATGCACTGGGGTGGTTCCCTCTCCCGCCCCACCTTGAATGCTCTAGCAGTTCATCCCAAAAGGCCTGGTCCAAATCATCTGGGGGTCAAAAGTGAAATGAGTTTGGGAGGCCCTCTCCCTAACATTCCTCCCTCTCACTGACAGCCAAAATGTACAATTCATCATGATCTGACAGGCTCCGCTTCAGAGAGACCCTCGGGCTCCATGGGTCACTAAGGATGGGATGGGGAAGGGCTCTGAGCGGAAACTCATGAAATCCAGGTGGCAGCTGGGAAGCCAGCCACTTAAAACACAATAGGCAGCCAAACTCTGAGAGTATCCCTCCGGCTAATTGGAGAAAACTTTCTTGGCATTCTGAAGGGAACCAAGACAGGATGGTGGGACCACACACAGATCCCCGATTTCAGTAAGGATAATAAACAGACCTACGTGGAGTGAGGGTGTGATATTTTCTTATTGAAGTTGCTGTGTTTTTGTGCCAGGTGGGTTCCAAAGGCAATACTGCAAGGGAGTGACACCCGAGAAAGGGAGCAGGGTTCGTTGCGAGTAACTGAGGATTCTCCAGCAACCACAGGACAGGGAGATTATAGGGCCAGAAAAGTGGCAGCTTGGAATGGGGGTTGTATGAAATAGTAATTAGGGAATGTGTGGGCCCTGCTGGGTGCCACTTAGAACCTTCTGTGTTCATTGGCTGGCAGAGGATCAACCTGACAAGAGAGTCAATCAATATGTCAGCAATACTTCCCAGAGAGCTGCTCAGCCCCTGCTTGTCAAAGAGGGCAAACATGGAGGCCACGGATGCTCTGTGTTTGCCGAGCAGGCCCCCAGGAGCAGGGGGTGTCTTTAAAGATCAGACTTGTCGATACATAACGCGAGGAGGAGATTGGGCTTTCCCTTTGAAAATGGAAGACTGCAGGCCAAGCAGAGCTCAGGGAGCAGGAGGAGAGAGCCATGCCTGCTGGGTCTTGGGGCTCAGCATGCCATCAGATACACAAGGGCCTTAGAGATGATGGCAGAGCTCATTCAGAGACCAGGTAGGATGACAGAAAGGGTTAGGGCTGGGTCTCCGTGCCTCTGCACCAGCCAATTAAGTCAACAATGTCGGGGCTCCTGGGGGAAATATACCAATTCCAAAAGTGCCACTGCTGGGAGGAGAGAACCACAGTGGAATAATCAGGGCTAACATGCACAACTGCTTACCCTGAACTTGCATAGGCAACCTGCAAAGGCCCCTTTGCAATCAGCAGTGAAAATTAACACATGTGAATAAGTCTACTCAATGGTGATGGTGACAATTAACGTTCATTTTGACCATGTGCCAGGTATTGGGCTCATTATTTGCATGCAGCATATATTCATAATTTGCCAGTCAGCACATATTTACTAAACACCCACTGGGTGTCAGATGTGTCCTAGGCACCAGGAGTAAAGCAGTTTTAACAAGACAAAATCCTTGCTGTCATGGAACCTACATTCTAGAGGCAGGTGTAGAAACTAAACACATAAGTGAAAAGCCAGGTTTAGGGTTCAGAGGCACTCGCAGGTGGGGGATGCATTGAAAATTTCTTCCTTTTTTCATTTAATGTAGTCTGGTCAAGGATGGCATTTGTGATAGGTAACATTTGAGCAAAGACATAAAGGAATTGAGAAAGCAGTTTATGCTGACGTCTGGGGAAGAGCACGCCGAAGGGGAGTGGAGTTAGTGAGAAGGAGGAGTGGTGGGTGAAGGGACGGGCAGGGTGAAGGAGTAGTTGCCTTTGAGGAGCTTTGCCTTTTGTTTGGAAGAGAAGGGATGACACTGGATTTTGAAGAAGATGAACGTTTACTTTTTCCCCTTCATTCTCACTGGATTAGGTGGTAATATAATCTACATTTTATAGATAAAGAAATAGGAGCTTAGAGAGGTTAAGAGACTTGCCCAAGACAATTCAGCCAGTAAGTGGGAAATCTGGGATTTAGACCCAGACACATGCAACTTCAGAGTCAGAGTTCTAAATTCCCATACTGTCCTCCTAGAGACTCCATTCAGAGTTCTCACTGGAGGACATCGGCCCTCTGAGGTTTCCAAGTGAACCACTACTTAGACAAGACCGAACAGGACAGGTAGGCTATAGAATCACTTACTTACTAAATATTGTCAAGGCTCACTCATGAATACACACTTCCCTTTGTAAGCAGCCATTAGTCTCTACGAATATGTCCTTGGTTGGCAACTAGTTTGCTATTTAACTTGAACCACCATTGTCAACGTAAAATAAATCTGCTCGGCAACTTCAATTGCCAGTCAGGCCAGTCAACAACATGTTTGGTGTTTTTTCCCTTGTCAGTTTGCTTGTCATCCTTTGGGGATGCAGTTGAGTGCAGTGCCTCTTCCTCAAAGAGGAGGGGGCCCACTGCAATGTATTATTATTTTTAGGAATGCTGTCAGTGCCAAAATTACCTTCAGCCTGAAAGAAGTAATGCAAACAAAACTATGTGGGATAACATTCTTGGAAATGCCTTAAGTCTTAAAAGGAGTTTAAAAATTTAAATCTTAAAGGGTTACCAAAAATCCTTTTCTAACCACCTTGGTGAAGTGATTTCTCCTATTTTTCCCAGACAGTGTTGCAATACACTGAGTGGAATGAATTTTCAAAGCACTGCATGGAAGTTACACCCACAAATCCCTTTAACGGTAATGGGATTTGTGCACCTATCTCCCGAGAATGTTCTGAAAGCTTACTAGCCTCTGTCCGACTTCCAGCTTGCAGCTCCAAATGGTTGCAAGGCTTATGGCTCAGGAATTACAAAGAAGAGGAAAGATGAGAGGCAGATACAATCCCAGAATCGTGGCAAGATCATCAAAATGAGAGGGGGCATTGGAGAAACTCACCTGCATTCACCTCTCTAGAGGAACTCAAATCTTCCAGCTACAGTCCCAAAACTGTCCTCAGCAGGGATTTTGTCTGCTGCCTTCCTACTTCTAGTCCCTCACAAAAGTAGCAAGGCTTTCTGTCCCCTCCTTTGTGTCTGCCATGAGAACAAGGTGATAGTTGCGTGAGGCAGCTCTGGGATCAGGGAGCAGTGTGTTCTTGAGACAAGAAGAATCCACAGGGAAAGACCAGAGAATTAATCTATTCTCATGACAGGCTCAGGATGGTACAGTGAGTGGGAGGTGGTACGAGATTAATCAATTGCTGTGTTTGCAGAAAACAAATGGGGCTCCTGTCAGCTTCAGGATGCGTGGGGCTCCCCGACTGGCAGCGTCCCTCCCCTTGTCTCCTGGAACCCGCTGCTGCAGGTGCACTGCAGGTGGGTGCTGTTGACACTGCGAGTGTGTGGCATCTGGTGTGCCGAGGTGACCTCTAACCACACCCCCTAGCTCTCAGCATCACTGGAAAGATCAATACATAAGAAAGACACATGTGCTCACAGCCACTTTCTTTTCCTTGTGCGGGGTGGCCAGGAATGCACCTGACTGGCAATGCTAGTCAGGCATCCTATTGTCCACCAAGTCAGCTCAGCCTCATGCAGATAAACACAAGCCTGGAGCCATTAGCCGCACAGAGTGTCGTTTCCCACCGCAGACCACCCCGTTCCTGCTGCAATTTTTTTCCTGGTTAAGAAATAAAAGCTTTTCTTTCTCCAAGAAAGGACCCATGTGATCAAAATACCTTTAGAGAATGATAATATCGGTAGGTTTTATTCACCAAATAAATCATGGTCTGGGATTTTAAGAGCTTTTCTGATAACGAAACACATCCCCACAATACACACATCTACACCTAAATGGATCTTTCTCCCCTCCGAGCTTGTCATTCACTGTTGACAACCCAAACAATATTTGTCTTTCTTCAAAGAACGGCAACCAGCAGCCCCGTTAAAGAGGGGCAGATCGGTGAGACCACTGACTACAAAGGAAAGAAGACGCAGGCTGCACGTGGCACGCGGCCACCAGAATCCTAGGAAGCAGACATTATGAATGTTTTAGAGGATAAGATGTCATATCGATCCGTAGATGTGCAATGAGCACTGGAACAAAGAGAAAGAACTCTCTCGTGAAAAATAGCCTTCTGCAAGGAGGAGAGGCAAGGGGGTCAGAGTGTGCCAATTAGGACACCCGAGATACTCCATTCCTAGGGCACTTTCTCCCCTCAGTGGCTGCAGGCAAGGGAGGAGAGGGTTGGGATTTATTTCCCTTCCCAAGTCCCCAGCAGCCCTCAACAAACTGCTCCCAGTGAGCCCTCTGATCTGAACTCTGGAGCCCACAGGCAGCCATCCTGAAACTGGGGGAACATGCCAGGAGGGGCCTTAGGAACCAGGTATAAGGGAGGAAGGATCTCCCTATCCTGGATCTCCATCCTGAAACTGGGGGAACAGGCCAGGAGGGGCCTTAGGAACCAGGTATAAGGGAGGAAGGATCTCCCTATCCCAGATCTCTGGGATATATATGCCAGGTTCATGTCAATCAGGGTTCACATTTCTGCACAACTATGCATAAGCGGATACCTTGGGCAAACAGATTTACCTCTCTGAGCTTCACTCTCCTTAGCTATGATAACAACTAACATTTTTGTAACGTACTGACTCAGTGTCAACCACTGTTCTAAGCCCTCTATATGCTCACCTCATTTGCTCTTTACAGTAAACCTAGAGGTAAGAACTATGATTCCCATTTTACGGAGGAAGGAGTGGAGGCATAAAGGTGTTGACAGGGTTGGTAGGTGGGGCAGCTGGTTTTAGAGCCAAGTGTGTGCTCTTAGCCACATTTTCTTGCTCACACTGACCTTATAGGGTGGAGAAGGTGCAAAAGTGGTGAGGATCTGGGTGGGGGTAACCGGCACACAGGAGGCACTCAAGAAACATCTCACCTCCTGCTGGGTCTTGGGTTGTTTTGTAACAATGGTGATCATGGCTAACTCTTATTGAGTCCTTTGCATGTGCCAGGCTCTGTGATAAGCAATTGTTACGAATTTTATGAGATATATAATGCTTTCCCATCTTGCAGATGAAGAAATTGAGGCTCAGAGTGCTGAAGTAACACGCAGCTGGTAAGTGTTAGAGGTGGGATTTGAACCTGAGCTGTGTGACACCTGAAGCTCTTGAGTATCACTCCATCCACTGACAACCATCAGCTCAACACTAAGCATCAGTGAAGAATGGGGTTCTATTCACCTAGGTATTATTCTCTCATTTGCCTGAACCCCCTCCTTCAGAGAAACCTCTGTGGTTTCCTTTTCTGTGTCACATTAGAATGGCAGAGGTACTGTTAAGATGGGCCTCAAAGGCCATCTGGTCCAGACTTTTGCTGTATAGACAGATGGTGACCCTGAGCCCTACTTAAGTGAAATGACTTGCCTAGGGTCATGACAGCTAATGGCTGACTGAGCCAGGATTTGAACCTTGATCTTTGGACTCTCTGGTGCTCTCTCTACTGTCCTCTTCCATCTCCTTAAAGAAAGACAGAGAATTCTGGTGTCTGTGTGCAATGTAATGCCTTATTAAAGACAAAATGAGGTGGACTTCAGAGAAGCCTCCTCCTCTTACCCGCTTAATATTTTTATTACTACTCTTTGCAAGGTAGGGCATGAACAAAATAACCTGTTAATAAAATTAGCCAAAAAAAAAAAAAAAGACCATTATGGTCCTTTCTGATCCTAAATTCATTAAATTGAGTTTCTATGACAAATATCTTCTACTGTAGAAGTTTATTCACAGCTAGAATCTAAAATCACCATTTTTCTATTTCTACCTGGTTTGACGCCATTGTGGTCAATATAGATATGTTCCCTCCTGCATGCAAACTTGGTACTTTTTCAGGAGTGAGAAATGAGTTGAAGAAGTAAGGATGTTGAGCAAATCCTGTATGTAATTCTCATTCCAATTTGGTCATTTGTTCAGCAAAGCCAAATTAGGCACATGGGGAGGCTGCCAGAGTCCTTTTCAATTTTTAATTTCTGACATGGTTAGCTCAAGATTTTTTCAAACTCAGAAATAAAAAAAAGTCCTGTATTAGCAAATTGGATTTGATCTCTCTTGCAAATGGTTTTAAGTTAAGTGGATTTCACATAGCTAACCTGAAACATTTAAAACTTGATTCTGATGGAAAGAAACATCACGTTAAAAAAATTAGTTCTATCTCCCAGGGCCTGATTAGGTAGCAGGGAATGAAAACACAGGCAAGGGGTAGTCCTCCTCAGCCTCTGATATGCTTAATGTCAGTATGGTCAGCTTCTTATGAGGAAAGAGCTAATCTGGGGTGGGGTGGGGGAGGATAATTTCTTTTTGGAATGTAAGCTACTTGCATCTATAAAAAAGAACTACATTTTCATCTGCAATTAGATAAGTGATACAAGTAGACTTATTTTGAATTTGTGACAATTTATATATATATACACATACGTATATATATACACATACATATATATATACACATACGTATATATATACACATACATATATATACACATACATATATATATATATATATATATACACATACATATATTATATATATATATATATATATTTTTTTTTTGATGGAGTTTCGCTCTTGTTGCCCAGGCTAGAGTGCAATGGTGCGATCTCGGCTCACTGCAACCTCCACCTCCCATGTTCAAGCGATTATCTAGCCTCAGCCTCCCAAGTAGCTGGGATTACAGGCACCCACCACCATGCCCAGCTAATTTTTGTATTTTTAGTAGAGATGGGGTTTCACCATTTGGCCAGGCTGGTCTCAAACTCCTGACCTCAGGTGATCCGCCTGCCTCGGCCTCCCAAAGTGCTGGGATTACAGGCGTGAGCCACCACGCCCATCCCAAGAGAGCTAATTTTAAGGGTTTTATGTGACACTCAAGTCACACACATTTCTTTGGTGCTAAAGGCACATGATTCTGTCAACCGGCAACAGCACTGCAGACTGTTGTGGCATTTCTGGCTTATACAAGGCATTGCAATGACAGCAGAGTGACATTCGACATGGTCATTATGTGTCCCCCTCCTCCTTATGGCTTATGATCCCATGCCGGATCCTAACTCCATGGAAATCCCCAAGCCAGGCCTAACCTAATACATCTCCCAGGTAGGGGCTGGTGTCTCCCTTAACACTGGCCTGGGAGAGCTCTCCCTGACCTGCATGCTCAGAGCTAAAGAAAGATAGGCACGTTTGGAAAGTTCCCCAATTTGTTTTCATTGCTTAGCTCTTTTAGGCCAAACTTTCTCAATGCATCTCCTACTAGTCTTATTTGATTCATTTAAGCTTTACAGGACACTCACGAGGCAGTTACTTTTTTATCCCAATTTTAAAGATGAAGAGACCGAGGCTTGTTGCAGTTCTATGACATACCCAAGGTCTAGGGTTGCCGGGTTTTAATTTATAAGTTTGCTAAATCTGGCAACTCTAGCAAGGTCCTGTAGTTAGGACGAAACCTCAGAGGCACTTCTCTTCTCCTGCAGCCCCAGAAACAGCCTTTGAATCGGTGCCCTCAGATCCTTTAAGCTTTGCTCTAGATCTGTCAGAAAGAATTGTCCAAGGTGACCGAAGTTGGGTCTCTTCTGAAATGTCCACATCTTCTGGAGTTCTCTACTGTGAATGTCATTTGCATTCTGCTGTAATCAGCACTGTCCAATAGAAATAAAACACAAGCCACTTATGACTTTTTTTTTTTTTTTTTTTTGAGACAGGGTCTCCCTCTGTCGCCCAGGCTGTATTGCAGCAGCTCTATCTCAGTTCACTGCAAACTGCGCCTCCCAGGTTCAAGGGATTCTCATGCCTCAGCCTCCCGAGTAGCTGGGATTACAGGCATGCATCACCATGTCTAGCCAATTTTTGTATTTGTAGTAGAGACAGGGTTTCGCCATGTTGGCCAGGCTGGTCTCAAACTCCTGACCTCAGGTCATCTGCTCCCACAGTACTGGGATTACAGGCGTGAGCCACTGCACCTGGCCCACTTATGAAATGTAAAATTTTCTAGTAACCACATGAAATAAGTAAAAAAATTTTAATACTATGCTTTTTACTCAATATATCCAAAATATTATCAACATAAAATCAACATAAAAATCTTTAATGAGACAGTAAAAAGATTTTTTTTGCACTAAGTCTTCAAAATCTGGTTTGTATTTTATAGTTAACAGCACATCTCAATTCAGATGCTAAATTTTCAACAGTTAAAGTGAAACATCATCTTGCAAAAACAATAAAAATGTGCTGAATGAAAGTATTTTATATCATTTGAGTTTTTAAATGTAAATTAATTCAGTTCTTCAATTATACTGAACACATTTCACAGAGGAGGTCCTAGACCACTGTGGCTGACAGGATTTTTCTAAGCTGATCTCCTCCTGCATGCTCTCTGGACATTTTATCATACTATTTATTTATTTTTTATTTATTTTCTTTGAGATAGGGTCTCCCTCTGTCATCCAGGTTGGAGGGTAGTGGTGCAGTCATAGCTCACTGCAGCTGTCTGTCTCCTTGGCTCAAGTGATCCTCCCACCTTAGCCTCCCAAGTAGCTGGGACTACAGGTATGCGTCACCATTCCTGGTCAGTTAAAGTTATTATTTTTTATTATTTTTATTTTTAATTTTTTAGTAGAGATGGCGGGGGGTGGGGGGTCTCACTATGTTGCCAGGCTGGTCTTGAACTCCTGAGCTCAAGTGATCCTTCCATCACAGCCTTCAAAAGTCCTGGGATTACAAGTATGAGCCACCACGCTTGGCCTTCCCTGGATATTTTATAACCACACCACTTACAGAGTTTATGGCTTTACACTGGTAATTACCTATTTATTGACCATCCTGTTCCCCCTCCAATTTTTTTTTTTTTTTTTTAGACGGAGTCTCACTCTTTCACCCAGGCTGGAGTGGAGTGGCGCCATCTTGGCTCACTGCACCCTCCCAGGTTCAAGTGATTCATTCTCCTGCCTCAGCCTCCCAAGTAGCTGGTATTACAGGCACGTGCCACAACTCTTGATTAATTTTTGTGTGTGTGTGTGTGTATATATATACATATATATATACACATATATATGTATACATATATATATATACACATATATATGTATACATATATATATACACATATATATGTATACATATATATACACATATATATATATATACACACACATATATATATATATTTGAGACGGAGTCTCGCTCTGTTGCTCAGGCTGGAGTGCAGTGGGGCGATCTTGGCTCACTGTAAGCTCTGCCTCCCAGGTTCACGCCATTCTCCTGCCTCAGCCTCCAGAGTAGCTGGGACTATAGGTGCCCACAACCACACCTGGCTAATTTTTGTATTTTTAGTAGAGACGGGGTTTCACCATGTTGGTCAGGCTGGTCTCGAACTCCTGACCTCAAGTGATCTGCCCACCTCAGAATCCCAAAGTGCTGGGATTACAGGTGTGATTACAGCTACCATGCCTGACCTCCCCCTCCAAATTTTGAGGCATGAACACATTGAGAGGTGAGAGTAGGTCTTCCTTCCCCTCTTTCAAATTTGTCCCCACAGCTAGCATAAGCTTTAGAACACAGTAGTGTTTAAGAACTATTTATTTGAATGAAAGAATGGCTTGAAAACTTCTGTCTAAAAAACTACAATTAACTGAGGTCTGGGAGTGTGCCAGGCTAATAATAATGATAATAGTCATAAACAGTGTCTACTGAATTCTTATACCTGCTTTTAAGACATTTCTCATTGATCATTAAAAAAAAATCACCTTTGAGGTAGCAAGTATCCTCACTTTACACATAAGAAAACTGAGACTTAGAGAGATTAAATAACCTGCCCACTGCCACCTAGCTACTAAAAGCCAGAGCCAGGAATACATAGATGTGTCCTAACTGCATTTCTAGTGCTTCCTTAACCATAGTCATCATTTACTGTGTTCATGGTTTTCATGAAATCTAAGCTCCACTTAGACTGTTATTTCTTAACTACATTTTAAAATCAGTCTCCTTTTTAGCACTTGTGTTTGCTTTTGTTTGACTTGTGGACAAAGACTTATAGTAGACAGGCACGAAAAAATAAATCCTCTTTTGCAACCCATGAGTTGTTATACATGCAAGAAGGAATATTATGAAAAAAGAAAGAAAAAATAGCAATCTATTTTTTAAAAACTTTAATCAATTTAGCCTCATCCCAAAGTAATATCTGTGAAATAAAAAGCTTAATGTGTTAAGATTTTTGTGACACATTGAAATGAACATAACTATTGTAATACAGAAGTGTGTCCACATGCTACACATAGCCATATGGTGATATGACTACCATACCTGGGTAAATATTACTCTCTGCTCAGTTACACCTAACCTCTAACATTGGTCTTTCTGTTTCTAAAGATCCACCATTATTTCTGCATTTTCCCCTTCCTCTCACACAGTGGTCTAGGAAGGAAAAACACCAGCGGCTGAGGAAAGGCTGGAAGGGAGGCTCTCCCTTGCCTGCCTTTTCTCATTATTTCTAGCTGTAAAAAAAGCAAGACACAAGCAAACCATAAGACCTAACTCCCCACTGCCTCTGCCTTGAGGGTTTTTCTTTGCTTCTTTAGAAGCCAGAGGACAAAAACTGCTTCAGGGTGGCTGGACCTATGGGATCGGTCCTTCTCGCTTTGAGGTTTCCTGCCTTATTCCAGGGCAATACTAACAGAGTCTCAAAGCTATTCAAATCTAAGAGTCCTAACCTCCTCCCCTGCCCTACTTGCCTTTCTCCCAGCCCTAGAGGGTCTTCATAGCCCAGACTACCCCAGATGTTTCCTGGGCATCCCAGTTTCTACTTCATTCAATAAATTCACCAGCAACTATTGAGCCCCTACTATACTCCAGATATGGCAAACTCTCAAGGCAATTTTCAGTAAGAATCATAGCTAACACGAATATAGTGCTTACTGTTTGCCATGCACTGTTATAATAAGCACTTTAAATATTTAGACATGAAATTCCCCTTTTTGGAGATTAAATATGGTAGAATATCACCAGTTTCACATGGTTTAGCTTAACTATGGGAACTATGGGAGAGAGAGATTAAGTATGTTGTCCAAGATTAGTCTGCCAGTAGTGGCAGAGCTGGGCTTTGAACTTGGGGACTCTGGCTCAGAACACTTGACTACAATGCTTTCTGTCTCTTATACTGAAAGTGGCAGAAAAAAGAAAGCCTACTTCCCTCCAAAGCCAGACTCTACATTTCAGGTGCATTGTGGGTAAACTAGGCTTTTGTAGGAATAATAGACTATGGTGATTAGAGTAGCTTTGGAAGCAGCAGACCTGGCTTCAGGTCCAGGTCCCAGTCTTGGTTTTTAGTAGCTGTGAGGCTTTGGGAAAGCTTTTTTCTTTCTTTCCCTTCCTCCTTCCCTTCCTCCCTCTCTCCCTCCCTTCCTCCTTCCCTCCTTCCCTCCCTCCTTCCCTTCCTCCTTTCCTCCCTTCCTCCCTCACTCCTTCCTTCCCTTGCTCCCTTCCTCCCTCCCCTCCCTCCCTCCCTTGCTCCCTTCCTCCCTCTTTCCCTCTTTCTTTTCCTTCAGTTTTTCCTCCCTCTCTCTCTCCCTTACTCGATCCCTCTGTCTTTCTTTCTTTCCTCCCAGACCCTCATTTTCCTCATCTGCAAAATGGGAATCATAAAACTTCCTACCTCCCAGGGGGGTTGCCACATTCAATGAAATAAAGTATGCAAAACATTTATCTCAGTGCTTGACACACAGTTAAGAACCCGACAAAGAGCAATTATTGTGTGAACTGTCCAGAAGGAATATGGTCTGTCTGGAGAAAAATCTCTGAAATTCCAAATAGCTAGGTTACAAGCAAATAGCCCATTCCTAAATTTGAGATGGCTTGCCTTTTGAATTAAAATAATAGAAATTATGAAATATAGGAAAATACTTAGTGGTCACCTTCTCCAGACTCATTTTACAAAAGAGGTTATGGAGACCTGGAAAGATTAATACCTTGGCAGAGAGGACATTCATCTCTATTGAAAAGCACAGATCCCCGATCCCATTCACTTCCACCTCACTGCACTGACTCTTGAAGCTGCACTTTTGTGGTGAAGCTTGACAGAGGAACCTCAGATCAGCTGACCTGGTACACATACCTCATGCACATGTGAAATCAGTGGTGACACTAAGCAGTGGTCGGGGGGTGCAGTTGGGGTGGAAAAGGAAGGTGAGTAGGAAAATTCTAAATGATTTCCACCAACCTTCTCTGAAGTTACCACAAAAAGAGTCTCAGTAAAAACAGGGTCTTTCCTATGCAAGTGGAGTTTTAAGACGAGCCCCCAACCTCCCATTTTCCACCCAGACTGGCACCTTTAATCCCCTCCTGTATGTATTCTGGAGATGCCACTGTGTAAAAAACACATTAGATGGCAATAGTATTTTCTTCTTTTAATCCGATATCTGAAAATTCAGGGTATTTACATGATTAGCCTTGATGCTGCAACAGGGTAAAGCCTTGTGTAGCTTCATAGAGCTCCATTAACAAGCATTTCCTAACCTTCAACCCTGTGCCTGGTGTTGTGCTAGGTTCTGGGGATACAATGATTCTGAAGAGACCACTCCTGCCCTCAAAAAGCTCACTGTCTGGGCCGATGGTTTCGGGCTGTAGTTCCCAGACCAGCAGAATCAGCATCCCCTGAGAACTTATTAGAAATGGAAATTACTGGGCCATACTCCAGACCTGCAAATCAGAAACTCAGGGGTGGGGTCCAGGTATCTGTGTGTTAATGAGCCTTCCAGGTGATTCGGATGAATGCTCAAGT
Organism: Homo sapiens; assembly: GCF_000001405.40. Classification (NCBI taxonomy): domain Eukaryota; kingdom Metazoa; phylum Chordata; class Mammalia; order Primates; family Hominidae; genus Homo; species Homo sapiens. The sequence continues at coordinate 168,030,420 of NC_000005.10, read as the reverse complement.
TTGAGAACCACAGGTATTGCACAAGGCTTGGCTGACAGCAATTAATGAAAGAGAACATGAAGGGAAGGAACAAGCTCCTCTTGTCTGTTTCTATGAAGGTGGAGGAGGTGAGAGAGCCCAGACATCTCCCTCCAGGTCTAGGCACTAGGTCTCTGCCCATACAGGTAGTGTGTCAGAAGCAGCTGGGAGGACGCAATATGGAAAAGAGATATTCAAGCCAGGGTGGAAAGATGAAAAAAAAAAAAAAAAAAAAAAAAAAAAAGAGCCAGAACCAGACTTGGGCCAAAGTAACATGGTAAAACAGGGACATTCTTTCTCAGCATGCCTCCTCTCCATCCAGTACCTGCCCTGTGTCCATTCTGCCTGCTCCAGGTGACCCATGATCAGAGAGACTCAGTGCCCCCCTCCAAACTCAGCAGTGCCTCTTGTATGAATGCTTTCCCATCACATCAGAGGTTTCCAGGACTCCCATCCAACTCTGTCAGAACTCTGCTTTCCAAACTATCAGCCACATCAATGGAACTTTAAAAAATCCGTTGGATCTTGATATTAATTATTAATTCATCCACATCCTCCCCACAACATCACACATTCTATCATTAATGGATGTGCAATTATAGGGAAGACTAACGATTTAAGCCAAACATATAAACTCTAAAGGTGGAAATTTTAGGCACGGTGCCAGTTAAGGATGACAGATATTTTCAGACAGAAGATATTTTAGACAGTGGCTCAAAGTGGCATGACAGGAAGGCTCCCTTCTCTATGTTCTGGTCAGCCCTGACTGTGGAGGTACTGACCTGAAGCAGGTGCACAGTTTGGCAGAGCAATTGCCACCCCTTCCCCACTATCAGGCACAGGGCTGCCCAAAGCCAGCGGATCCACCAAGGATATATTGTGGCTGGAGCATCTGATTGTAAACATCTGTCTATAAGCATTCCTAGGGTGAATTCCTCTTTCTTTAGTCCATCATGCCAAACTTGGGAGTTTGGGCTGGGTAGCTACATACTAGCATAGGATCCTTAGGGTTCAGCTTGTTCTACCTTAAGCAGGAGAGAGGAATTTTGTTTTGAAGGCTATGAAGGCAGGTTGTGAAAGTGAAAGAGTAGCTGACCAATGGTTTTTGCTATGGCTTGAATGTCTATCCCTCCCCAGAATTCGTATGTTGAGATCCTAACCAAGGTGATGGTATTAGGCAGTAAAGCCCTTGGGAAGTGATTAGGTTATGAGTGGGGTTGGTGTCCCTATAAAACAGCTAGATAGTCTCTTCCACCATGTGAGGACATAGCTAGAAGGTGCCATCTAGGAACCAGAAATCGAGCCCTCACTGAATCTGCAGGTGCCTTGATCTTGGACTTCCCAGCCTCCAGACCCAAGAAATAAGTTTCTGTTCTTTAAAAGCTAGTCAGCCTCTGGCATTTTGTTATAGCAGCCTGGCCAAATTAAGAGAGGGTTTATCCCTAAGGGGAGGACCATGGGCACAGAAAGTAATATTCCCATGCCCTTGGGCTACCAGGAGAAAAGAGAGCTCCACTTTCCCAGTTTCACTTTTAGGGACCCTAGTTAAGGACTCTAATTGGCTCAGCTGAGGTCACAAGCCCATTTTTTTTTTTTTTTTTTTGACAGTTGCTATGGTGAGGAAAGTAAGATAATAACATCAACCCTGCTCGATTTAGGGACCCAAAAAGGGTGTTGGATACAGACACAGCCACCAAGTAAACTTGCCAAACTTAGCAAATAAAAACTCAGGAAGCCAGTTACATTTGAATTTCCCACACAATATTTGGGATATATTATATTAAAAGCATTTTCATTATTATTCTGAAACTCAAATTTAACTGGGCATCCTACACTTGGCAACCTGTCACCAAGGGAACTGGTGTGAGCCAGGCAGACTCCTCTTCATTTGGTGTCCACTACACCTTGTTTAAAGCTTGAAGAAGTAGAGTTCTTTGGGGAGAAAAGCACTGCCCATGCCTAGAATCGCCCCTGAGCACCTTCTCTGTGTCACGCTGGGATGGGTCTCTGCCTAGAAGAGAATCCATATCAAGCCTCTACACTTTCCACAAAGTGTCAAAACTGCCTGGCTGTCTCGTGTGTAAAGCATATGGACTCCTCTTTTTATCAACCACAGTGATTCCCGGGTGGAACCTGAGGATTTATCAGGAACTTCAGCTAGGATCAAATTGTGATTCTACTCTTGCCAAAGCTCCTTAGAGACATGTGATATTGAGAGAGGCGGCAGAAGGCTGACTGGCTGGTCCAACCCTGTCTCTCAGGCTGAGTGCTAGTGCCCTCCATAGAAGGCATACCATAGCCACCCTTCTAAGGTCTGCTCCTCTCTAGAATGGGCAGAAAACTTGGAACCCAAAGATCTCTGCAAGCTCCATTTGTGCCAGTGGTGTTGATTCTCGTAAATCCTCACTAAACTTGCTCTGCAGTTAGGGCACAGCCATTTTTTTCTCTTCTTTCTGGAAGGAAGTTTATTACACAAAGCAATAGGTGGACGTCTTCTTACTACCACATAAATCTGCCGTAGTACCTATGTGCTACACTTCTTAGACAGGAAGAACAAACAGTTGCTACTGGAACATTCCACACAGGGGAAAACAATAAAGCTAGAAACAAAAGCAAAACAGTAAACAAAACATATATAGAGATGTATTCTCTGTTAGAATCTTTAACACAAGATAGGGCCACGCAAAGCTGAGGTTCCATTATATTTCCGAAAGTAGAGGAACCAGACAGTTCAACTTGACTTTTCTTTAGACAACACCTTTCATTCTGGCCACGAGGAGTGATGTTTTCAGTACCAAGCATCCATAAAAGAACCCTGAGCACTCACATGGCCCAGAACATGGCACCAGAAAGCTAGAGGCAAAAACACGGAGCTCAAATTTGGGATACACAAAAGGCAGTCCAGGGCTGAGGTCAGTTCCAGGCAAGATTTGGAGCTGAGCACTTTTTTCTTTGTGTACTCCAGTCTGCTAGCAGAAGCTATGATGCCTGAAAAATCCTGTGTGAATTATCTGACAGTGTTAGAGAAACAAAAAGCCATTCTAGGGGCTTCTGGGCAGTATGTTTGGATGTAAGGGGGAGGCTGCATTTCCTCTTCTGGGAAAGCCCTGTGCACTTAGAACAGACTCCTTAATGAAGTGCCAATGATCTCAGAGTTGACCTTCAGAGTCCTTGCCCCACAGCCCCATGATCAGTACCTCGGTCGGGAGTCAAGTCTCAGTGGGTGACGGTACCTTGGCTCTCCACAGCGTGGGGAGTGTGCTTCTGTGTCATTTCACATGCACGTGTGTGTGTGTGTCTGTAGCTTATTTCCTGACAGGTGCACATGCAAGCGCCTAGTCCATGTGGAGGGATTATCATTTTAATAAGTAGTTTTAGCTAATTAGTTTATTCTTGCTGACATGGTCCCATTCCTCCTAATTTGATATTCTTATTTCATGTAGAAATTGGGAGGCTGATAGACCCTGGAATGGTTGTGAAGTGATTAATTTTCCTTGGTTTTATCTGTGTATGCTGGTATGTATTCTGGAAGGGGAAAACCTAGGTTTGTTTGGTTCACTGTGGTGTAAGCAGAACCTGTCACAGTAAAAATCTATTTTATTTAGTGCTTACCTTTGGCCAAGCACTGTGCTAAGGGCTATTCAAGAATTATCTTGTTTAGTCTTTATAACCTCCCCTATGAGATAAGTGCTATTATTGTATCCATTTTACAGGGAGGAAACTGAGTCGCAGTGAGGTTAAGTAACATAGCTGTGCTCCTGTCACTGGTAAGTAGAAAAGCTGGGATGTAAACCCAGCAGCCTGTATTCTAGAGCCTGTTCTCTTTCCTTGTACCAGGAAACATTTGTTGTATAAATTAATAGCTATGTGGATAATTTACCACATATGATTTAAGTGCCTCTGATGACAAATCCATGGTTTCCATTCTCAGCTATCAGGCTCAAAATTCACATAATAAGCCCTAAAAATACTATCACTTTCAGGATTTCTCTCTGCCTCCATAAGTCGGCATCTCTTCTGCTGCTCATCCTAACTTCACCCTCCAGAGTGTGTGCTGTTCCCACAGTTCTATTGAGCTAATCCCCATCATGAGAGGGCTAATTGCTAATCCTCACGTCAGTGAATAAATGTTTAGGTGGACACTGCTTCTGCCTGTTATTTGCACTGTGAGAGGGGTCCCCAACTCTCAGAGGAATGGTGGGTCAAATCTCCTCAGGGAAGGACAGGCTTCTTGTGGCTGGAGCTGCTGTTCCTGGGAGGCCAAGAAGAGGCCCACCTGACATCATACCTTGAGAAGAGCAAAGAAATTACATCATACCTTGAGAAGAGCAAAGAAATATAAGCACTCCCAACTATGATCTTCCCCAGAGAGTTGTACAGACAACTTATTATTAATAGAAGTTGTGTTTTTCCCAGTTCCCCATCGCAAGTGAGCCCCCTTCATAGCCAGGGAGATAGGAGTTCCGCCTTTGGAGCTCAAATAGGCCCTCTCCCACACAGAGAGACTTAATTCCAACCTCAGGACGCACTGGCCAATGAAGCCTTTATTGCTAGCCATTGCAGCTCAGGTGGAAGTTATTTTAGTTTAAACAACTTGTGGGTGGTCTCTTCATGTTCAAGAATTTGCCTCCATCTTTTCATGTTCCACTTATACCAACACATCTTCAATGGCGGCATTTCTGGCAACCCCACAGGACACCTGCTCCTCTAATCTCATACCTGAACCACACAGTTGTGTTTGCTCTTTGGAACCCAAGCACATATGGTAGTCAAGAGAACATGGAAGGAAACCCTACCTGTATCCTACCCTATTTCCCAATGTAGCCACATAAACCTAATACTTAAACTTCTTCTTGCTACTTGGATTTCAATTTTCAGTCTCTGTTGGAGATACCAAGTGTTCTTGCTATCACATCATTTATTAATGTCTATTGTCAACAGAGAACAATTACCCAACACTAACATATATGAAGAAAAAAAAAGATTCTACTTTCCAAACCAATTTCCAAGAATTGCTACTATAGGGAAGTGTCAAACACTTTTCCACTTTAACCATTCTCAAAACTTTTAATGAATCTTTTCTTTTAAACAAATCATGCCATTAGCATGGATGCTATGCAAATGAAATGCAGGGCCTGTATTTGTTTGGCTTCCTCAAAATTGTTTCAGAAACCTGATCACATCAAATATTTTTCAGTTTATGCAAAACAGAACCTCCCAATACATTTTTTTTGAAGACCATGTAGTTTTCCATTTGCATGTGAGTCCCAAGTGGTAAATTTACACTTTGAATGTAGGATTAATAAATTTCCATGTGTGTACTGCATTTTGAAACTTAAATCATAGAGAAGTTACTTTTGTATGCCAAGGGCCTTACGAATCTGAAATCAAATGACCTGATAAGCACCTGGATGCTGGAGTTTAGCACAGAGATAACACGGAGGAAGCCTGTTTTCCTAGAGTAACATCATCTTTGCATTTCATATAGCATTCTTTCAAAACCTAATCTCAGGTCATCTTGGAGAATTTAGGGACAAGAATATACTTTTTGCAGCTAAGGAATCATTCAGAACCAAGGACTCACAAATCCGCACGTAAAACCCTCTTCCAAACTGCTCTTTCCCAGCCTGGCGAGTGGGCCCTGGCAGTGGCCCTTTCTTACTGTCAGGGAACAATGTTATGGCTTGAGAGAGCTATGCATGATCACACTTACTGTAGCATCAACTATTTTTTTCTTAATTGTCCTGAGATCCTAGAAAGGAAACAAGCGTCTGTGCTGACAGAGGAGCTCAGCGTGAACTCTCATTTTTCACATGGAGCTAATTAAAAACTGAAATTAGTTAAATATGGAAATGACACTTGCAAGCACTTTAGTAGAATTCTGGCAAAATCCCTCTGGAGTGCTGTGACATTACCTGCTGCTTCGAAACTCCCCAACTGAATTTCACAGTTAAAAGGCTGAGCAAAGGGAAAGTTATTATTGAGATTTCGGATTCAGAACGTGTCTGTAAAACTCCAAATTAAATTTCATGGCTGGCCCTTGAGTGGCTGGCGATACGTAACACAGGCCAATGGAGTGGGCTGCTCACAATGTCCCTGCACGCAGGAGCTCCAATTACCCCTCTTTAGGTATGGTACTGTAGGTGGCATAGGTGCGACAATCGGAAGGCTAATGGATATATTTCTCCTGGAATCTGACTCAAGACAGTTCACATATGCACAAATTCCAACAAAGAAAAGTGCCTGAACTCATGCATGGGGTATGATGAGCCCAATTATTAAAATTGAGGTTGCTTAGGGGTAATAAGACATACTTCTTGAATTTGGAGTCTATCTGTATATGTCGGTCTATCTATTCATCTCTCTATCCATCTATAAATGCATATGTATGTTTATATATGTGTATAAATATCTCTCTCTATATATGTATACATCTTATATATACGTCACAGTTTTTATGCATGATTGTGACACACCATCACAAAGCAGAGAGATCAAACTGCTTGAGACTTAGAGGAAAGTGAGAATGGTCTTCTCTTAAAATCCCTAGCAGAATCGCCTTTCCACATAAACAATGATGAAGAGGGAGCTCCCAGGGCAGGTGGCAAGAGAGCACCCTCCGGGATGTCATGTCCCCCTTTCCAGGCAAATGCAGTAGTGTGTGCTCAAGGGCAAATTATGAGGTTTGCTTGCATCTGCATACAATTTAATTAAACCCACCTACGTGTCTGATGGCTCTGGATCTGTGGCAGAGTGTTTGGGACGTCCAGCTGCTCTCTAAACAACTGGAGTGTTGTGATTTTATTGTTTTTCCGACACCCCATCCATTTGCCCTTGAGGCATCCCCTCCCCCTGGACCCCGGCCATGACTGAGGCAGGCCCCGCATCCCCGCCTGGGCAGGCCAGTGAGAGGAGCCACTTAGTGCCAAAGCCAGCCCTGCTCTGCAAGTCAGCTGGCAGGCAGCCGTCGGCGGGCCAGGCTGCCAGAGAGAGAGTTCTCTGGCAGCTCAGGCGCTCATCTTCCCATCACACTCGGGCTTTGCTAGTCCGCGGCCTGGAAATCATCACGGCTTACCCAGCTGGATGGGGGGAATGCTGCAGCTGTACCATCAGGCTGGCTTATTTTTATTGAATTTTGAATATCCAATTTCAAAGCAATTCAAATGAATTTGCCCAAGGCCTCGCATCAGCGTGGCTGCCGACACTCTCTGCAGCAGGGTTTCGAAGTTCATATTTCTAAACAAAGGCAAGATTACAGAAGCTTTCCTTGTCAGAACCAGTGCCTCTAAAGAACCCTGTCTTCCAACTCTATTAGGCTGCATGCTGACAGTAGCAAAAGCTGTTGGGCTAATCCAAGTCCCTCCTGCCCGAGCTGTGGTGGCCAAGCAAACTTCTTCCATTGCTTAGAGAACGACAGGGGAGTGGGGTGTGGGGTGTTTAATAGCCTGGCACACGCACCCTTGCCTAGATAGCGCAGGCGAGATGGACATGGAACACTGCAGTGTGGCTTCGAGCGGGGCAGAATGGGCAGGCGTGAGAGACACGGCTGCCCCTGAGTCCCCAATCTCAGAGGGGTAAAAAAACCATTTGGACAATCAGGAACGATTCTAAAGTTGTTCTGTAACCACTGTTCTCTGCCTCCTCCCGTTAAGATGGGAAATAAAAAGAAACACTATACATGCTTTTGTATAACTAAGCTGAGTTTGGTACAATGCTCCATTTCATGGAGTGTTTCTACCGGTTTCCAAAAAATCTGCTTTCCTTCACCCCCACTATTTTATTCTAATCCTGCAACACTCATGCTTGGCAGGCACTTATTGTAAATGCACAAAGCAAAACTTAACCCGAGTGGTAGAAGGCTGAAGAGTTGTGGCGAAAAATGGGCCCCAGAGAAAAAGCCGGATGCAGCGCCTCATGGCCAAGGGTGGCTAGACAATGAAAACATAACCTGCTCTGATTTCTTTCAGTAGGATTTGGGAGACAGTTAGGGCTTGGCACTCGTTGAAAACTGTTTTTAAGAAGCCTTGGGACAAAACCAATTCAATAACTATTGATGTTCACAATCTGTCAACTTCTCCCCTAGGGGTTAAAAAAAGACCCTCAGAGCAGAGAGCAAATTGGGATGTGGAGACTCTCGGAGTGATACCAGAGAGAAAACTCCAGAGGAGCGGAGCTCCCGGCTGCTCTTCTCTGCGCTGCATCCCCAGCCCCCGGCACGGTGCCTGCTCATGCATGGTGCTTAATGAATATTTGGAATGAATGGATGAGTAAATGAATAAACAAAGGTCATCTTTATTTATACCACCAGGAGTACAATATTGATTTTAAAATGAGAAAGATTCCTAAAATGATCACTTAATTGTTATATCACACTAGACAATCTCTAGGTCTCAGTGTTCCCATCTGCAAAATGCAGTTGATGACAGTATCTTGTGATGTAGGATTGTTTAGACAATTAGATGAGAAGATGAACAGAAAGGGCCTGTTACCACTTAGGAGGGGGTAGATCTCACCCCTTCCCTTTCTTTTTTGAAATTGGATAGGTCACAACTCTGTTCCTAATCATTTCTGTTACTTTTGCAGCATTCAGTGGAATCTGCCTTTAAAATAGAAAAAAAAAAAAAAAAGATTTCAAATATGTAGGACAGTCTGTTTCTTAAAAAATCTTATGGTCCTTTGAAAATGATTGTTTGACCTGCTGAGTGCAGCCAGTGTTGGGGTCTCTTATGAAACTTGAGTGTGCACTGTAACAGGGGGAGCCATGGTTTTTCTTGAGTGTGAGTTCTGTAGATTCAGATACAGAGTAAAGACATGAAAACCAAAACGTGGAATAAATATTCAGATACAGAGTAAAGATATGAAAAACAAAACGTGGATACCAGGATAAAGCAAAAACTCCAAACACGCAAGGAAAGGAAGGCTGTGGGTTTCAAGAACCCAGTGACTTGAGGAACCTCGGGGAGCTGGGTGGATGCCTCGAGAAACCAGAGGTAAGAACAGCCACCATGGGTCACTCCACTTTGGTGTGCAACCCAATCAGTTTTAAATCATTTGCTCCTTTAAGCAAATACTGCTGCTGGTTAGTTATCCAGTACATGTTTTTAATTACAAGCTGAAAAAGTCATTCTGTAGCCCTGAAACCAGTGCCCTCATGCCTAAGAAGTGCTTTTTAATATTTATACATCTAAAGAGGGTTTGCCCTTCCAGACATAGAAAATCATTAGGAAGCATTCTCAGGAGGATATAACTTTGGTCAAGGTCATGCACAAATCTAAACTTCAAATTTAAGCCAAGGCTTACCAGTAGGTGCCACTTTTGTGCCACAAACGATTCCTAGCCTGCTCCTGACTTTCTAGGTTATCAATTTTTAAATAGAGGAAAGGAACAAAAATATGCTTGTGAGACAATTCTGAGCATATAAAAGTTGAAGAAACTTTTCTTTTTTTTCCTCGTTCCTTGGCACATCTATTTAATAGAGCTTTTTTGATTTCACTTTTTTCTTCCAGCACAGCAGATGAACGGGTGAACCAAGGAAACTGCACTCAAAGAAATGTCTTGTAACGGCTCTAACTTTGGTTTGGCATGTCACCTTTCTAACGATATCAGGCAGAGGAAATATTCCGTCAAAGCTGTGAGTGTGGAAGGAAACAGCCTGGAAGGGGTCCAAAGACACACTGTATCTTAGCAACTTTGGAGGTTCAGAAAAGCCAACATATCAGTTTGGGAAGCCGGCGGGTGGAGGTTCCACCCTACCCAACCACGAATCACTGAAAGACACTCCCCAAGGTGAAGACGCAACCGTCTTCAAGATCTGCCACCTAAGCTGCTGAAAAATCAAATGGCTCTCAGTGAGCAGGGAATGATACTCTCATGAAAACAAGATAAAATGACGACGTCAAAAACCCAAAACAGGAAACAATCATAACCAGGTGAAGTCAAACACAGAATGACTGAAAAATGCCTTGCAGGAGCATGTTGGGCCAATTAAAAATGTTAAACAAGCACAAAATTAACTTCCACAAGAAGCAAAGGACAGCAGGAATGTGGGTACTGTCTATTCCAAGACCTTCGCTTGAGGTCTAAGGGTCTGGGTTTTGGAGAATCCTTCTTTCTTATCTCTGGAGAATGGGCGAACTCTAAATATCCACTAAAGAAGTCTCGGGTGTCACCTTGTAGCCCCTAACCTTGTCTTTTGTAGCAAAGTGGCAAGTATATATTTGGGTCGGGGGAGGTCTAAATGAACTTGACTGATATTGACCTACATCCTCGACATTCTCTTCCCAATTTGATGCTGATTGTAAATCCTAACAATCTAAACCCTGGCCCCTCTAAGCACAATTCTGAAGCCCAGTGTGGATCCTAACCCTCAGAGAACATGGTATATAATTGCCATATAGGTAGAAATCCATTCCCTGCTCTAAAGCCCAACTAAGGTTATCTGTAGTTCCACTGTTCCTTGCTCTTAGGCAATTAAGTCATCACATAGGTGAAACATGTCATTTCAATGGAAGAGAAGAAGTGGGTGCTTTTAAAGCCTTTTCTTTCCTCTAAGGACTTATTGTCCTTAAAACATCATTCAGTGGCAATTAAAAATAGGAAAGTTTATTAAACCCAATTCTGCTGTCTTCTAATTTTTTCATTACATGCATGAAAATAACTTAGGAAGTGCATCTTTTGTCCCAGAAACTCCAGCATCATCTAGCCCAGCTGACATCCACTGAAATTGCAGCTGATTATTCATTGTACATTATAGGAACAGGAAACTTTCTTTTACCCTCTACCCCTTTTTCCCAGGGGCTGGCTCCAGGTTACTCTGTCCAGTATCGAGCAAAAGGCTGATCAATGGACTGAATTATGCCTGATGTCTCCTTTCCCCTCCCACCAGATTCAGTCAATGATCAAACCAGGACATTCAACCTCTATGATGTCTCCCTCATGTCTCCTCTCCTCTCTGCCTGCCCTGCCATTGTTCTTGTTTTATTCACAGTCTCCTCTTTCTGGGCTTTGGAATGGCCTCCTTGGCTCTCATCTAGTTTTCACCCCATCACTTCATTCTGCATGGGGCTGCCAGACGGCTCCATGCCCTCTTCCACTCAGAATTGTTGGCGGGTTTTGAGTCACTTAAGAATCAAATCCAAATACACATTCTTATGGCATGAAAGGCTTGTTGTCATGCTGTCCTTCTCCCCAATACCTTTTCCATCAATACCCTAGATCCTTGTATACTTTTTGCTCCAGTGTTAATGATACGTGGCATTCTACTCACCATGATTTCCCAGGCTTTAATCACTGCACTTGGTGTTCTTATTCCTGAAAGGTATTTCTCCCCTCTTTCCCTTCTGCCAAAATCCTATGCACCCTTCTAGCTACATATCAAATGCCATCTCCCCTCTAAAGTACTCTCTGATACCAACAGACAGACGACTCCTTTTCTTCTCCCCGTGCTCACTTCCATGCTAGCACAGGCGTGGTCTCCTTGGTCTTGTGTTATAAGTGATAGTGTGCACATCTATTTTCTCTGTGTGTGATGGAGATCTCCTCGGGGACAGGGACCTCAGTCACCCATTTCTGCATCACTAAGGTCTTAGAGAGAAGGAAGTTTTTAGTGAATGCTTGCTGAATTAATGAATAAAGGACAAAGTCTGTCCTTAGGAGGCACCCCAGAATCAACCCAAGTATAAGAATGTGTCTTAAAATTAAAATATTGATGTAGGGAATCTCTCACCTAAAAAGTCATCAGTTTCCAGGCTAGCTCTATTTTCTGAATTCATTTACCCTCTCCTCTCTCCTCCCTCCTATCCTATTCCTTCCTGGGACTTCCTGGGCAGGAGTCTGAATAAAACTGTCCCCCTCCACCCCAGGTGGTCGACAAGTCAATATCTGCAGTTACTCCAGCTCAAAATTGTCATCAACAAAAGAGACCCAAGAAGAGAGTGAAATGCAATCCTTTTCTCCCCCTAAAGCTCATTTCCCTGGAAATACTTATTTCCTTATGAAAAAAAAAGAAAGAGGAAAAAAAAAAAAGAGCTCACAACACCATGTTAAAGCAAATGCTTAGAAAATATTTTTGAAACATTTGGAAGTAATTTCTATTCACAAATTATCTCCATTCACAAAATGAAAAGGCAAATTATGTAAGCTGGATAAATTCAGAGAGAGAAAAAAATCAGACTTAATGTGGAGAGGAGAAGAGGAATAGGGAGAAAGGGAAAGAGAGAAAGATTAGTGATTCTTGCATTGCTATAGTAAGGAGAATTTTTAAAACAATTAACACGTATGAACCTATGAACCCCACAACCAACTCCGAGATGCTGGTAGGCAGTTAATTTCTCCATTTTGCCAGAAGATAAAGTTTAAGCTTAAACAAAGACAGCTCTTCTGTTGCCCAACAGTGGAAGTGCAGAGGCCGGAAAGTACGAGGTGTAGAAGAGGGAGCTATGAGAAAGAGCAGATGGGAAGATGGGGACGGAACAGAAGAAAGCTATTATGTCAAGAAGAAAGTGACGGGAGAAGGGGGGCCTGAAGAGTCAAATGACATCAACGATGAAGGGCAAAAATGGCATAAAGATCGATGAAGTCAGTCTCTATTTTGTACTCCTGACATATGAAACCTCTTTCTCAAATAGCCACAACTGAAAAAACAGTTGGGATAATTATTGAGCCAATGAAGCCCCTTTATTCTCAGGAAGGTGACCCACATTGACCAAGAGATGCCAATCCTAGGCTAAGTGCAAGAAAATGGGCCTTGAGCATCCCAACGGGGCAGCCTGCTTTCCTTGTAATACTTCTTTCTTTCCCCAGTACAAATTAAATAGCCACAGATGTTATTCAAAGGTGATCTGCTAGCCACACACTGTAAGAGACTGACCAGCCACACCCAGAGTGGGGAAAGTTCACCACACAAACAGTGCCAAATAAAGTGAGCAAAGGACATTTGTGGAACTCAGGTCACTTCTCAATGGTCTGTCACGAAGAGCTCCATGCAAACGAGTTGGCCAATCTAAAAATAATAGCCATTGTCTTATTACATGTCACAACACTTTATAATTTTCCTCTTGTTTATTCTTAATAACTCTGCAAAGGTGAACATTATTATCCTCATGCTGCTGCTCTAAAATGATAATCTGAAACTTAGGGAGGTTTAAGTGATATCCAAATTCAAACCTGGGTCTGAACAGATCTGAAGCCCACATGCTTTCTACCCCTGTCCCCTGCTTCTAACATCAATCATCAATTGTCTCTACTTCCTTTTACTTTGGTGAAATGATGAGTGGTCCCTCTAGCTGACTCAGTACAAAGGAAGTGAAGAAATCTTGAGGGGCAAGAGAGGCTGCTAACTGGTCAGTGCAGATCATAAGGACCAGAGCAGGGTGCCTTCTAGGAGATGAAGCCCATTGCAAGGTTGAGTCCCATCCTGGGTGGCTCAGTGTGGTGATCCTATGAGGTCAACTCTAATCTCTTCTAACAATCATTGAGCACTTTGTACCATGCACTTTGCAAAAAGCTGTGCATACAACATCTAATATAATCTTTGCAATGACTCTTGGAGATGGGTGCATTTATTATTACCATTTTATAGATGACAAAACTATTTCAGAGAGGTGAAGTAACTTGCTCAGAGTCATGCAGTCAGTAAGTGGAAGAGTGGGGATTCCAGCGCCATTCTATCCGATTTCAGAGGTTTTGCTGTTAGCTACCAAGCAAGCTACCTCCTTCACCTCCCACTGAGAAGGTGCTTGGGGATTATGATTTCACTGCTCATACGAGGTCAAGGCCAAGAGGCAGTAGACGTGGTTTCTGAGTGCCAGCTCCACAGAACCTACGTTAACATGGGTGTTGGAATTCGGCAGGTCTGACTTTGAAGCCACTCTTGCTCTTCACTAATTGTTTTACTCTTAGCAAGTTATTTGATTTATGCTTCAGTTTCTGCATCTATAAAGTGGGAATAAAATGAAGATAATGAATGCTCCTTGAAATGTTGCAGGAACTCACTATGAAGCTGCTGCTTTCAGGAAGAAAAAATATATACCGTTTGTCAGATAAAATAATGGAATGATAGTAAGACAGAGTTGAAGGGCGTTGGGGACTCCCCATGGGAGGTGATGGAGCATTATGGTTCAGTGCACGGGTGTTTCATTAGGGCAGTTCCTATCTGTACAACCTTGGACAAGCTACTTAACATCCGTAAGCCTCAGTGTCCTCATCTGTGAAATGGAGATAAAAAGAGTACAATCCCATAGGGTTGTTGTGAGGGTTAAATGTGTTGATGCAGGGAAAGCCTAGTGACCAGCATAGAGTGAGTGTTGCATAAATGTTATGATGGAGGAACCAAGGCTCTGGAAAGGTGCATGCTTGTCCCTGGTTGCAGCTCAGGTTAACAGTGCAGAAGGAGGGGAATATAGGCCTCTTGATTTCAAGTTTGTGCCGCTTCTCTCCAGCGGTGCAACCTTGGGCAAGTTACTGAAACTTTCTAAGACTTGGTTTTCCCATCTGCCAAATGGGGACAATTCTTCTTACGGAGAGAATTAAACGAGGGATTCAAGGAAAGCCCTCAACTTGAAGCATCATTAATGCTCACCATGTGTTAGCTACTATCATTCTGCCTTCCCTTCTGATCTGAAGGAGAGGTTTTTTTATCCTCAGGAATGAGGATGAGAAAAACGGGAGGAAACTTTTCTCATGGCTGTTTGCTGACTCAGAGAAGGAATGGGAAACACCCACCACAGAAAAGAAGCAATCATGAAGTGGACAAATCCCAAACTCAAGAAAGCCACTGGGGAGACGCCATTTGAGGCACTCTGGTCTCCCAAACTAAACAGACTTCTCCTTGAGGCGCAGCACATGGAATAAGTGCCTTAGTCTTCTTTGCGGCATTCTTTCTCTTTCCGATTCTAGAAGCTTCTGTCAGTTCAACTCAGAAGCACTTTATTCTCGTTCTCTGCTGCAGTGCCGAATGTCACTGTGGAAAGAGCATATTGTTTGGAGTCTGGCTACCCGGGTACTGGGCCTAGACCTGCTGTTTGCTAGCCTTGTGTCGTGGACAAGTTCTTTCCCCTGCCCAGGCCTGTTTCTGCCATTGTAAAATGCAGCTAATAATGCCTGCTGTCCACCACAGAGTCATGAGGTGCCTCTCAAACATAAAGCATGATTTGCTTTTTCCCATCATTTCCTGCACTGTCTGTCTCCAGTCAGGAGGAAAGGGGGAAACTGTGCTATTGCCTACAAAAAGCAAAATTTCCCTCAGTCTTCGGTCCTTTACTTGAGAGGAAGCAGCTTTCCTTTCCATCTGTGGTCCTGCTATAGAAGGAGGATGGTAGCAGAGTACTGGCTGATGGTAAGAGGCTACTTAGGCTGGTTTATAGCAAGAGGGATCAGTTACAGGCTTGTTTAGCCAAAGCAATGCCTGCAAAGCAGATGAAGCTTCACCAGTCTACACAGATCAATGCCAGGCTCCCAGCGGCTGATCCAGGCCAGAGGACAGCATGGAAACAGCACTTCAGCCTCATGAACTGCTTGGCTGGAAATGGCGCCATTATGCTCCCCAAGAGCCCTTCTTCATCTCTGGGGCTGTCAGAACAGAACCACTGTCACTCATGAGACCCTGGGCAGGGGTTGCGGGCAGGAACCACAGCCTCTCATTTTCAAGTCATTTGCCTTCAGTTTGGGAATCCTTCCATTTCATTGTTCCATTAAGGGTGATTTCATCTTTTAAGTGAACTTCAATGAATGATGAAATAAAATACTTTGCACAGATGGCCCTGCATTTGAATAAGAGGAAACCATTACGCCTAGTGCAGAATGAAGTGTTTTATTTGCGTTTCTAAGGCAGCAAAGAAAGCCTTTGTGGAAAAATTTTTTTTTAAGCTTTAAGGAAATCAACTTGTCTACCCTTATTTGGCATTGATGAGCAGGAAACCTATTATACCAGAGATGAAGATAGCTGTGGTTAAGAGAGTCTAGATGATAATTAAATGCAAGGACTCAGAGGCCAGCGCACTTGGGGCTGAGACCTGGCCCTCTTACTTACTAATTACATAATTTGGAGAAGGTCACCTAATATTTTTGTGCCTCCATTTCCTATTCTGTAAGATAGAAAAGATAATAGCACCTATCCCATGTAGTGGTAGTAAGAATTAAATGAGAAAAATCTATGTGAACTGCTTAGCATGTAGTAAATGCTCAAAAATATTAACTATCGCCATTACTATTAAGATATAAAGAAGAATTTAGAAAAATCTTGTATTACGAATAAGCTGAATTGCCCCCCTCCTTCACAAATGTTGAAGTTCTAACCTCCAATAGCTGTGAATGTGACCTTATTTGGAAATCAGGTCTTTGCAGATAATCAAGTTAAGATGAGCTCAATAGGGTGAGCTCTAATCCAATATGAATGGTGTCCTTATAAATAGGGAAAACTTGGACGCAGGGACAGATATAAAGGCAGGCAGAATATCATGTAAAACTGGAGTTGTGCTGCCACAAACCAAAGAACTCCTAGAAGCCAAGAGAGAGGTCCAGAACAGACCCTTTCCTAGTGCTTTCAGGGAGAGCGTGGACTAGCTGACACAGCGATGCTGGACTTCCAGCCTCCAGAACCATAGGAGACAATAAGCTTGTGTTGTAAGCCCCTCAGTGTGTGGTCCCTTGATATGGCAGCCCTTGCAAACTAATACACTCTCCTTCAGAGTGCCACCCTGGACAAGTATGTAAGAGAGATTTCCCAGAAGTAGCTGTTGCATCTATTTCCAGAAAAGCAGAAACTTGGCTTTTTGTTTTGTTTTGTTTTGTTTTGTTTTGTTGAGACAGAGTCTTGCTTTGTCACCCAGGCAGGAGTGCAGTGGCACGATCTCGGCTCACTGCAGTCTCTGCTTACTGGGTTCCAGTGATTCTCCTGCCTCAGCCTCCTGGGTAGCTGGGATTACAGGCATGTGCCACCAGGCCTGGCTAATTTTTGTATATTTAGTAGAGATGGGGTTTCACCATGTTGGCCAGGCTGGTCTTGAACTCCTGACCTCAGGTGATCCGCCTGCTTCAGTCTCCCAAAGTGCTAGGATTACAGGTGTGAGCCACCGTGCCCAGCTGAAACTTGGCTTTTGAATATTCAAGTACTCTAATCAGACACTGTTGATTTTTGGCGGCATCAGACAATTCCAACCCTCGTTTCCCTTATCATCTTCAAAGGGTCTAGAAAACCTTTCCTAGACTCTTTTGAAACAAGGGATAGACATATAACACAGTTCTGATTAATAAGATTTAAGTAAAATTTTGCTGGGATGTGTATGTGTGTGTAAGTGTGTGTTGGGGGCTGGGAATGGTTTAGACTTTTTCTGGTAAGAGGGGCAAATAATTTGAATATTTCTCCACTTCTATCTCCCTCCTTTGAAGGTGGATGTGATATGTGGAGCTGCATCAGACATCCTTAGACAATGAGGCAGGAAACCTAAGGAAATAAAACCAAAGTGCTGGGAATGGCAAAGTGGAGATGGGAAGAGCCAGTGTCCTGGATGGCATCACTGAGCAGCAGAAACGATGCCAGGGTTGCCAACCTTGGACATCTAGCTAGTAAGGTCAGGAAATCAAGCCTCAATATAAACCACTGTTAGGGTTTTTTTTTTTTTTTTTTTTTTTCAGTTGTTCTTGATAACTTACAGCTGAAAGGTATCCCTAACTGAAACACTGCCTTGGCTGAGCATCCTGAGAAGGACTTTGGAATTGCCCCCTCACCTTCAGTTTTTTTTTTTGTTTTTTTTTTTTTGAGACAGAGTCTTGTTCTGTCACCCAGGCTGGAGTGCAGTGGCATGATCATGGCTCATGGCAGAATCAACCTCCTGGGCTCAAGCTATCCTCCCACCTCAGCCTCTGAAGTAGCTGGGATTACAGCTGTGCACCACCACACCTGGCTAATTAAGAAAAATATTTCTTGTAGAGACAGGGGTCTCATTATGTTGCCCAGGCTGGTCTCAAATGCCTGGGCTCAAGCAAGCTTCTCACCTTGGCCTCCCAAAGCGCAGCGATTACAAGTGTGAGCCTCTGTGCCTGGCCTCACCTTCAGTTTTGAAGTGTATTTCTTTTTATCTCCCAATTCCTTCAACCTGTTTCCCATCTTCCCACGTGCCCTGACATGGATTGTTTTACAATGGAGTACTAGCTAAGGAATGTGTCATCTTTCAGCTCTCAGGACAAGGCTGATGGGGAGCTGACCAGTCTTTGGATGATCAGAGGGACTGTACATTTCTTTTTTTAGAAACATTGTTATTAGGGGCGGTTCTGAGGATACTGGGGCTTGGGGGATGTGAACACATAAAGTCAAAGTCACTCAAGCATATATTTACAAGTTGATGGCAATACACATAGTGGTGAGAACGTGAGCTTTGCAGTTAAACAGACCTATATTTTCAATTCCAAATCCTAACCACTGACTATGCATGCCTATGCATAAGTTATTTGGCCTCTCTGAACCTCTTTCTCTAATTATAATTAGGAAAACTGAGTCACTGCGACATTTAGGTCAGATATTAAATGTGAAGTTTCTGCACATAGTAGGTTTTTCATAAATGGTTGACTTTATTATCCTTTTAAAGCAGAGAAAAACCAGCAAGTCATGCTTTAGGAAGATTTACATTCAGCGGTACTTTTCATTATACCTCTTCAGTTGAACCCTGTTTACGCTGCATAGAGCTGACCAGTTCAGTCAATAAATTTTTGGAACTTAATGCCACAGCTTGTTTCTGTGAAGGGGACTGAGGGCCATGGACATAAAAAGAATCACCAAGAGGAACGAGGGACACAGAGCCAAAGATGAGCTATACAGGGCAATATAAGCTCTTATTTTCGTTCAAGTGGTAAAAAAGAAAAAATATATCTGAAGATGTAATTATAAATCAATTAGAGCAGGAATTTTCAACCTTGGCACTATTATCATTTTGGATCAGATAATTCTTTAACCAGGGGCTGTCCTGTGCATTGAAAAATGTTTAGCAGCATATCTGGTCTCCGCTTGCTACATACTGGTAGCATCTCCCAGTCGTGACAAACAAAAACATCTCCAGACACTGCCAAATAAATGTTCTCAGGGCTGATGTGAGGGCGCACTGACTTAGAGAAAAAGGCAGAATCCTGATGCAAGAAGAGAATCTTGCTGGGTGAGTCTCACTGGAGACCATCTGCACATCATTCCCACAGCATTGTAATCCTGCATAACGTGCAAAATAGCAAGAGAGAAAAAGAAATAACTTTGCACATCTTAGGACCCTGACCACCTCATTAATGAGCAAAGGCTGAGGCGACTGGTTATTACTCTATCCGGACTGCAGAACAAGGAGTGATAATATTTGGACTATTTCATCAATCTGTGCCAAGGACCTCTTCAAATCAAGTCAGCTTAATGGGCAAAATGTTTGATATTCTGTAAAAAGACCTAGCGGGTTCCCATCCATCCTTTTCACACAAAGTGCTATTACAGCCAAAAGGATCACTGCAAGAGCAGTTATGAAAAGGAAGCAGAGCCTGAGAAGGAGCCTCATTCCATTTTTTAATAACGCCCCCAAATTGAATATGCGGAGGGGCATTCGTTCCTAATACACGGACAGTGCTTGCCAAGCCCCTGCTCATCTCCCACACGGAAACTATAAAAGATCTGCTAATCAGCGTAGCTGCAGAATAGGAGTGTTTGCATTTGACTCTCATTCTCCACGACTTCCAATAATTTTCAGGGCTTTTCCCCATGAACATCTCTCCTTATCCTTCATCATCATTTACTTACAAAAATGCAGTCTTAGAGTTGTTACTCATTTACACTTCTCTCAGGATCTTTTTGGGAGCCCTTAGTCTGGAGATTGTAAAACACTGTTCTAAAAGATGCTGTTGTATATTATTATGAAGCTCTGAAGAGGGCAGAACTTGAGGGAGAGGCTGCTCTGCATGAAAATATTCATACACATTATTTCATTATACACTTGAGAAATGACAAGTTGGTTTGCAAGAACCGTGTAAGCTGTTCTCTTACAATTTTACCCATGGTTAAGAGCCTGTTCACTTTATTCCAAACTCCACTTTAAACTTCTCCTGGATGTCTTACAACTCTCACACAATCTTTGTATTCCCAAGGGCAGGTTTCCTTTATATTTTAAAGAGGCTTTCAGAGCGTTGTCAGCTATAGGACCACAATTAGACAATAACACTATAGCTATCCTATGATTATTCTAACCTGGCTGATAAGTCAATTACATTTAAATGCCATTGAAAATAACTCCCCATATGTATGTTGAACTATAGACTTGTCGGGAATGCACTCCAAAATTAATTCTTCCGTAAGATGTGACATTCCTCTCCAGTAACTTATCTCTCATGGCAGGGAAGCAGGAGGGAGCTGCAGGCTTCAGGGGTGGATTCATCACAGTATCACGGTATTGCCTCTCTTGTGGGCTGAAGTGAAGACAGCAAGGGTCTGACCATGGCCTTAACCTAACTGAGCTTAGAAATGGTTACCGATGTAGAATTCCCTAAAGACCAGTATCATGGCACAGGGTCAAAAACTCCACAGAAATGGGATGTCTGGCTTCATGGCCAAGCCTTAGCTCCTGCCACTCTGCAGCAGAAAGGAGACTTGAAAGATGAGAGTTAGGATGAAGATAAAAAGAAAGCAAAGAGACATAATTATCTACCACATTTAGGCTCATCCTCACAGGCAATCCCAATAGCAAGAACTAAAGTGGCTTTGGGGCCTAGATTACTTTGGTTAGTTTGGAGGCTAATTCTAAATTCCCCAGGTGAGCATGCTATTTGATGCTTTACTTCGGGCTCCTAGCATCTGAGAGGGTATTTCATGCACTTCAGTCAAATGTTAACACACAGAAAATAAATCGAGACTTCAGTGTGGTGGAGAGAGAGGGCGGGGGGAGGAGGGCAAAGGCACATTCCCTGATGTCTAGCCCTCTCTGCCCAATCCATAAACCCATAACTAACTTCATCCATCTCACCCTTCAGCCTGGTACGGTAAGTCAGCCTCATTTGCAGATATACAGGCAGATGCATTAGAGTTTAAACCTGCTCATAGAATGAATATGTAGCAGATTTATCATAATTTCA
Organism: Homo sapiens; assembly: GCF_000001405.40. Taxonomy (NCBI): domain Eukaryota; kingdom Metazoa; phylum Chordata; class Mammalia; order Primates; family Hominidae; genus Homo; species Homo sapiens. Next base: position 168,009,315 of record NC_000005.10, on the reverse strand, counting down.
AACCTGCCTCTAACCAACTGATCAAAAGGCAAGTTTCTTCTTTCAAGATTTTCATTTGTAAGCTTCACTGCCCCAAATCAAAAAGGGCAACGGTATAGACTCCCAGGACCACATGCCACATTTGTACAGGCAAGTGCCTTCAAGTCCCGGAGGGTGGTTTTCTGTTTATAAATGGGTATGCTGAGTCTTAATGTATATTCCAATGACTCTTCTTGGTTCGCAGAATTTGCACTACATGTAAGCACTACGTTATGGAGGAATTTTGTTAGCCTTTTAGAGTTTAGTTTTTACCCAATTCTGCTCTCCTTTTTCTCTATAGACTTCCATACAAAATCCAAAGTGAATGCCTCAGAAGGGGTCTTGATGGGTTTTATTGGATCAAAGGCCCTCTCATAATAAAGAAACCGTGCAGAGATTTACTGAGTGCATTAAAAAAGAATGGCTTCTGGCCAGCCTTGGTAGAATTACATACCAATAAAAAATGTTTTGGCCAACCATGCTTTTAGAGAAGTGAGTGGTGATTTAAAGATATGAGGTTAATTTTTAATTTTTCAGTTCTCCCATTATGACAACAGAGAAACCTTAAGGCCATATTAGGTACTTCTGTCTTCTTTGTCTTGATAGTCGACACAAGACAAATTGTATCACAAATCTGTCTTTTCTTTGAAAGAAATCTCTCGCAGTTAACTCTGAAGCTCTATTTCCATGGCTTCCCCTTTCATCAGGGCCTCACCAACACACACCCACTGATTATTGACGGGGCCTTCAGAGGAGTCTCCCTGTCTCCTGTCCCATCTCCCAATCTATCCTGAATCCTCAATCAATCAACAAATAAATATTTATGGAGCATCTACTAGGTAACTGACATGATATCATGTCATAATTTTATCATATTATACTCCCGCTTATGAACTTGAAGCACCTCCCTATTGCCAAATTAATCAAATTAAACCTCCTGCCAGATTTCAAGGCCATCTATCATCTGGTCTTGCTCCACTGTTTTTCACTGTTCTTAGCAGGCGTCCCTCTCCTCATAACACCCTATTAATTCTGGCTTCTCCTTTTACCTTTCCTGTTGCTAGTTCCCCCATCTGGAATGATTCTTGGCCCATTCCTAGTTCAGTTTCTAACCATCTTCCCAGGTCTGGGTCGGCCTAGAACCTTCTCCATCCAGTTATCCTCAACTATTCCAGCCCTTGGGAGTTTCTCCCTTCTCTGAACTCCAATAGCTCAATTGCTGAATTGTAACTTAGCATCTCTGCATAGTTTCTCTTGAATGAATACACAAAGAACAATAATAATATTAAAACAAAGAACAATAATATTAAAATATCAAGCCCTACTTTAAACTTTACATAGAGTGACTATGAAAAAGGTATCATCGCTATTACGGTTATCAACCATTTCTTACAGTTGAAAAAAAATGAAGGCTTAGGAAATTTAATCGACTTTCCCAAAAGCACTCAATTAGAAGAAGTTGAGAGTTGAACCTAACTTCTAAACTAAATTCAGGGTTTCCTCACTGAACTACCTGAATACCCAGCTAGCCCTTCAAATGAGGAACTGTTAAGACTACAAATCAGGTCTTCTGAGCCAAGTAAACAACCATCCTTGAAGTAGATATTTTCAGTGAGTCGTTCGTTTCAGTGTGTCAAGAAAGGAATTCTGTGTCAAGGTGTAGAAAAGAGAACCCATCTCAAATTGATAATCAGCTCTCATGTTGAGTGCCCTTCTATACTGAGCCCCCTAACCTTTCTCAGATCATGACTGAAACTCATCTTTGAAGACCCCATAGTCTCCTTGGTCGCCAAGGTGCAGGGTGGCGTAGCACCGAGGTCACATCAGCCTCTCCAATACACATCTCACTCCTTTGAAGAAGGAAAGCCTGGCTGGGTGTGGTGGCTCACACCTGGAATCCCAGCACTTTAGGAGGCCAAGGTGGGCAGATAACCTGAGGTCAGGAGTCCGAGACGAGCCTGGCCAACATGGTGAAACCACGTCTCTACTAAAAATACAAAAATTAGGTGGGCGTGATGGCGGGCGCCTGTAATCCCAGCTACTGGGGAGGCTGAGGCGGGAGAATTGCTTGAATCCGGGAGGCAGAGGTGTTGCAGTGAGCCGAGATCATGCCGCTGCACTCCAGCCTGGGTGACAGAGTGAGACTACGTCTCAAAAAAAAAAAAGAAAGAAAAAGGAAGGCCTGGAGTACATGTGCTGATTTGTGAGTTCCTGAGTTGGGAAAAACTCAGATAGCTGAGTGAGCTTGAAATTAAAAAATAAAACTTCATACAATCTTCAAAAAGAGATAAGCTTGGGCCTGTTGATGAGCAGAGGTGAGTAAAAATAAAACAGCCGTAACCACGACCCCAAACCATCCTGATTTCTTCATCCCTGGCAGGCACCCAGGTGGAACCCAGCTGAAATTGCAGCTCATTAGCACGGACAGATAGAAGTTTAAGGGAAAGTGTGTAGTAAACAATGGTAATCCTGACTTAAGCAGGAGAAAGCGACCTTTCTCTCTTCTCTAAAATAAATCGCTGTTTCAGGCAGCACGTCACTGTTTTACTATTACTGGTTAATACGACCGCAGGCAGAAGATGCAGCTGTGGCTCCGTGAACAGGCTCCACAGTCAGGCTGAACATAATCCCTCATGTAATGAAAAAGCTATTTCTATTTCTGAGGCCTCACTACTCTTCATACTGAAGAGCCTTGTGCCTGTCACACATTTATTGAAGCTTATTACTCATCTAGGCAGCGGGCCCCAGTTAGTATTTGGAATTATATTTTAAATCACAATTTTTCTATTATTTATTTTAGGATTCCAAGGCTATGGTGAAAGCATGGCAGTGTTATTCTCAATGTGCATTCGAAGGCATTAAAGCCCCAAATCAAAATTCTTTTCTACATGGAGAATCTATATGCACATGTGGAAAACCTTCAGTCAAGACCGCATGACAACCCTCGCGCCCTAGAACCTCAGGACCCTTCCAGAGTCATGTGGTTCAGGGTAGCGATGTTAAGTCTTCCCATTCAGCTTTAGGGTAGTCTTTTCTGGGCTACCAGCTTTATTCCTCCCTCTCACAACATGCTCTTTTCTTTGGCTTTTAAAGATAAATGGATAGAGTCTCTTAGGATGCTGGGGACAGGGCTGTGAACAGATGGGCTAAAACTGTAGCCTCATCATCCAGTGGAAACATAAGAACTGGCTTAATCTAAGTCAGAGGATTTTCCTAACTGCCCATGAAGCTTGAACTTCTGTTTTTTCACGAAGCCAGTGATGGGCATGTGGTTCTTCCTTGTTCTGTAGAAGCCGATGGAAACTATAATTCTCTCTAGCTAGGCATTTGGCCTCCTCTTTTTATATTCCCAGGAATATATACCATATATACTACAGTGACACAAAGGAATGCTTCTCCTGTCTTTTCTGTCTTGTGCATGCTTGCTTTTTCTTATGGTACTTACTTTCCCCTCTGCACAAAAAATACTCTCTGTCATTAGGGTCTGCACCCCACTTGGCCTATCATATGAATGACAAATTAGGCAGCACTCGACACCATTATCTATACAACACAAAGAATTTTTTCTATGTTTCTGCAATTCATACCTAGTTACTTTTCATGTTGGGGGTCTCTCTATACATTTCTACCTAGAGAGATTCCAGACCAGCTCTTCCAACAAAATCCTACTGTATAACTGCCCTGGTAAGTGACTTTTGAAGGGCATGATAACAAGCCAAGAGCCACTTTAGTCCAATCTGGGTATCTTCTCAATCAGCTGGTTTTTTGGTTTTGTTGCTTTGTGGAATTGTGGGAGACACAGGTACGATAAAGTTTTTGGGGAGGGGTGAGACAGTGGTAGTGTGTTATGAATAAAGAATTACAAAGGGCGTGGGCAAAATTAGCAAGGTATTCAGACATGCAATTAAAGAGTTCAGACTTGGCTTTCGTGTGATCTCTGTATTTTTTTTCATGTTTTGACAGCATTCTCCCTGGGTGGGGTCCACAGCTTGTTTAAGAAATCCCTTAGTCATACAAACACGACAGACAGCTCTTTTTCTTCCTTCAAGATGCATTTAGTCACAGATCATTTCATTGTATCCACTCTCCTATTTACCTTTGGCATAAAACAAGCCATCGGTGTTTCACTACAATATGGATATCACTGTGGGTCAGCTGACCTTTCCGAAAGGCTTAATTCCTGATAGTTTTGAAGAAAAGAATACAACACCATGCAATCAGCACTCACATCCCCAGAAAAGAAATACAGACACTTTCTCCCAGACATGGCAGAGTTCATGAGACCTTAGGCAGCACCTTTACCCAACAACCTTCCACCCAAAGAAGCGAGGGTGGAGATGGGGATGAGGGGATGGGGACAAGAGTCAGAAAAAAATCACAGATCCACAGACTGGTAAGTTTTTTAAAAGCCTAAAATGAAATTAACTTTATTATTGTTTTGTATTATGTATATGACTTAAAAAAAATTAACCGTGACAGAGCAGGATAAATCTGGATTTCCCCCAAGGCGATTTAAAGGTGCAGTGTATAGGGTAGGAGAGAGGAGGAAAAAGAAACGGTGGCATCCATATCTGTGCAAATGCAAACACTGTGAAAGATTAAATCTTTGGAAGCAGGACTAGAAGTTGGTTTCCTGAAAGTCAAACCAAATCCATCCGTCCAGATACTTTATTAAGATGTGCACATATTAAAAGAGGTTTCTGATTGGCATTTTTGAAGCAGGGTCAGCGGGGATAGTGGTGTGTGTGTGTGTGTGTGTGTGTGTGTGTGTGTGTGTGTGCGCGCGCGCGCATGCGTGCATCCCAAATGGGGGCTGACCTCCCTTCCCTTCTCTTTCACTGCTCCACTCCCAAGTCCCCACTACCACTAGCCATGGCCTCAGCATATCTATGTCCTGGTCTAGACCAGACCCTGTTCCACTGGGATTAAGAGACTCTCCCAAGTGCAGGCAGTTCATAAATCCACAGAATTTGATTGGGAACTAACATTGCAGGGTAATCTAAAATATCACTACTGGATCTTTCTTCACACTATGAAGTTAGGCAAAATAAGGCATGGGAAGGGTCTGGTATAAAATAATTCTCCCTTATGTAGATTTTTTTACAAATCAGGATTGAAAAGAAGACGTTCATGAATGCCCTCACTTGATTAAAAAATAAATAGACTTGCTCTCTGGCTTCAAGGATCATTCCAACGACAATACATTTGAAGACAAAGGCGATTTGGAACCCCCAACTTGCTATGGTCTCTGGAGAACCAACAGCCACATTCAGTCTTTCCATCTCTTACATCATTTTCAGTAGCAAGGGTTGTAGCTGAATTACGTGGAGATCAATTAGACACAACAGAAGATAAACCACCTCTAGTGCAAAGTGATTTTGTAGCATAAGTTGTTTCTCGAGGCCCTCCTTCATACTATACTTGAAATATAGATTGATGTTCGACATTAGACACATTACTCTCGTCTATTAGGCAAGAGTCCGCTGTGTCTATAAACTCAATTTCCTTTATCGTGGTAGCTTTCTGGTTTATTTGGATAAATGTTGAGCTGCCCACTGTTGTTTATCTAAGTAGTTCATGAGGGGACCAAAAGTTTAATGATGTAAGATGAGGTGGCGAAACAGCACCTCCAAGCAATTCACAACGATTGCTTTTCATCTCATTACCTTGGTTGGACTTATAGGTTCAAGAAATTGTGCAGAAGATATTTGTAATTTGGTATGCTGGGTGCCATTTTCCCCTCCTATTTGTGTCCTTTAACTGTTCCATATTTTATCCCAATTGATGTATGGCATTTCCTAGTTTCTCTTGCTAGTTAATGCTTCTAATTACTCTATTCTCAGCATCTTATGCCTTTTTCTTACTTCTTGACTTAATTTCATCCCACCCTTTTTGGTATTAATTCCTCTTTCCTTGGCTCTTGACTCTTCACAGTTATGCCAGCTTTGGGGGTGTGTGTGTGTGTGTGTGTGTGTGTGTGTGTGTGTGTGTTTTTTCTTAAAAACTTTGTAATTTTAAACTCGGGAAAAGATAATGTCATCATTTGATTAAAACAGACTGGATAAAAATAGACACAAATGTCCTCAATTTCTTATTGTACATTGGTTAGACCCTTGTACATATCCAGGAAACAAAAAGGATGGCTAATCATTGATTTATACCAATCAGGTAATAAAAAGCTTTTTAGTATAAAAGCTTCTGTTCCCCTGATGGTCCTGGGAAAATGAAACTCAGATGCCTTCTATTGCTGCTGTGTGTGCCTGATTAACACCAGGACAGGAGATGCTCATGCAAAACACAACTTACCCCAGGCTTTTTAAACTTTCCTGGTAACTGTACTATTTCATTTGTTGCTTTTTGGGATCTGGATCCAGGAAAAAAATTTCAAGTAAAAATATCCTGGATATTAAGGCTGGCCTGCAGATTTCAGCACACAGTGCGACCAGCCAATCATATGCCAAAGTGAAATTTCTTGCCCAGTGGAAAAGCATTGAATGAATATACATGAACCTATTCAAGTACATTTAATAAACTGTAAATTAATTAACATAAAATTAATGTACAGAGTAACAAATATTTTCTTCACGGGAAAAAGAGTCTTAACTCATAATTCTCTCGAGATTCAGGAAGTCTACAAATCTTGTTACTAAAAGAAAGTTTAAACACACTACTCCAAATTTAGCTAATGTCCCAGAAGTCTGTTTGTAAAATTTGGTGCATAAGGCAGCCTTAAAACCAGTTTCAAAGATGCATCTAATTCAAAGGCACACTGAACTTCCTTGAAAGATGCCATCTTGTTTATCACGGCCTGAAGAACAGAATGCATTTGACACACTGCCACTGACCCTTCCCTGTGGAATATAAGCAAGTCTAATATAAACTTCATTAACGTGACTTTAAAATGCTCATGGTGTAATATAAGTAAGCAAACTGAGAGAATTGCATCATGACTGCAAAGGCAAAAGCAAGGTAATATGCCCTTCTTTTATAAAGACAGAGTCCCTAGGGGAGTGCCGAACATGTTTGCACGAATCTCCCCACAAATGACCTAACTCAAATGAAAACCCATCCCAAGGGAAGGGCCTTCCCTAACAACTGCAAAGAAAGTCATGATGAAAGAAATGTAAAGGTTGGAGGCAAAGCTTCTCCTCTCTTCTCATCCATGGCTTTGGTTTTTAGAAACAAACAAACAAAAAAAGCCTTTGAAAGATGACACATATTACATATCTTATAATTTTTTTCTCTTTCCCAGAAGGGAGGATAATATTTTCTTTAGTAAAACTCTTTTCTTACCAACATGTAGCTTAGTGCTGTTATATTTTCTGATACAGTGTGATATTTACTTATTAATGCCAGAAGGCTGATGATATAAAAAGTGAAATTAGCAGAACATGCAATGCATTATCTTCTTTTTTATGGTAATGATAAATGTGTTAATACAGTTGATGGACTATTTGCTCTCTGAATGCAGAGAATCTTATTATGAGGCATCAATTTAATAAATGACTTGTTTGATAAGAGAAGGGCTCAGGCAAAAATTCTGGGTGTCTATTCTTAACAATCAAAACATGAATTTTCTATAAAAGAATTTTCAATGTGGGACACAAAAAAGTCTGGTTTTAGGTGACCTTAAAAGAAACATGTATGTTTTAGAAGTTTGCTTTGGGTTAGGTTTCTGTTGTATGAGGCCATGTAGCTAAGCAAGGCATTTCAGAGCACAAAAGATTCTGTGTGGGTTGTGTACAGAGACCTAATTTACCATATAATAGTTCTTTTCTCTACTCGGTGCCTTGTAGCGATTGCTTTCTTTTCTTAGTACATCCTCATTTACAGAGAAATAGCCAACAGACTTTTAGATTTATGCCATTATTTGCTTCTTCACCTTGAACTCCAAGTAAATTCTGCTACACTTTTGTAATATCAGTGCCAAATGATGGCCTTATGCCAGATACAAACACTTCCCAGTTTCTCTCAGTCAGTTCTCTCGATTTCAGGGAATCACAGATTCCTGCTAGAGGGCTTAAATGTGGTGCTTACATGGCCCCCTAACCATTCCTTTGCCTAAGTGCTTTCTAACTCAGAAGTGCAATTTGGGAACGGAGGCAATTACCACATCAAGAAACCAAAAACCTCCCCTTACATAGGGGAACAGTGAAGCTAGGGATCAAGGATTCTGGGTATTTGGAAAACACCTTCCACAACTGGTACAACTCAGATGTAACCCTAATCAGCATTCATGAGTTCAACAAATATGTACTGATTGCCTACAAAGCGCTGGGCAGTGCAGGTCACTATTTTGGGCATACTCTTCTCATTGGACCTGGCATGCAGTCCAATGCAGGTCTCATTGGACCTGGTGTGCAGTGGCTAGTACAATGATCACCATAGCTCCATTTAGTTGAGCTTCTATTGTGTGCCAGGTACCACCATGTTCCACTGACTATAAGATTCAGAATTTTTTAAATATTTCCACAAGTCTGGAATCAGAATGCACCTTATAATTGGTGTTGTATTACAGGGCCTTTGTGACCACGGACCTACCTATTCACATGGTTGTTACATCAATCTATCGTGCCTGTGCCTATCTCTTTCCAAATATATAAAATAAAAATTACAAATGCTAAGAAATCATGGCATAGTTTAATTGACAACCTCTTTCCCTCTTAGGGATGCACAATGATGGCATTTCTCATAATTGATGACATTGGATTTGAAGAAGAGTTGCATGCATCTACCATTTCAATGAATGCTTGAGGCATGTTTACAAAGTAGGAATTCTCCTCATTTTTCTGATGAGGAAACTAAGGTGCAGAGATTTTAAATAGCAAGCCCATCATCACATGGACTTTATGTATACAGGCCAGACTTCAAACACAGCCCTCTCTGACACCAAAGTCCATGTATGTGCTTTCTACGACATCAAGCTGCTTCTTGTCTAACTACCAAGGCAAAGCAAGAACTTGAAATTGTGTTCCAGATAAAACATAGAATGAAATAACACTAATTTACAGTCCATTAGAAGTTGTGTCAGAATCCTCAATCAGGAAACCCCAAGCACAAATCAATGAACCAACGAAAGATGTCAGAAATGGAGAATTTAAAAGCACACTGTGGAAGCTGAAGGGCCTGTTGGCTTGGCCACCACCCAAAGGAATCCAGTCAAATAAGTAGGGTGTGTGAAGAAGTCAACACTGATGTTCTAGCATTCTATTACTGCTTCTGGATGGATGACTGCTAGAGAGATCATCGTTATAGAGAGAAAGTCTAGGGCAAGGCTTGAATGGTGATTCAGGGATAGTAGGTGGAGAACTCTCCATATTCATTTACTCAATGTATACTCTGTGGAGGCACGAAGTCCTGGGCTGGCAGACGATACCATTGTTGTTTCCTTGGCATTCTTGAGGTGCACAGGGTTGTGGCACCTATCACTCCTCTCTGGCTCTGTATTACGATGTTCTACAAAGTCAGGACCAGAACCTGTTTCCTGGCTCTCATCACCAGCGTCTGCCCACAAGGGTGAGAAAGCCCTGCATGGGCCGACTATCCTGACTTCTGATGGGAATCTCGGAGAGGAAAGCAAAGGCATCTCCCGAGAGCTGCTGACCCTCCTGAAGCACTTCAAGTCCCCCAGATTGCACAAATATGTTTTTAAAGAGGCCACGTCCTCCTCCGAAGCAGAGGGATTCATTTTTTCTGAATGTCAAACACGAGGTACAAATATTGCCACATGGCCGCTAGGTGATGGAGACCTAGCTAATGAATGATGTAATTGTCTTCCCATAAATTGACAGGCCCTCTGAAATCAGATGTTCAGTTACGAAATGGCAGTCCCCCTGCCAAAGACTCACCAGTGTGTAAGCACTGACAGGACTTTATTATCAGGTTAAGAGCACATTAGCATATCTATTAGATAAGAAGTCTGCTACTAACACTGGCATAGATAATATGACTGGGTCCCCTGACTTACTTGTGGGCAGCTCTCTTTTTCTCAGTTTGACCATCTGGGCCCAGGGAGTTGGGTGGAAATGTTATTTGCTTGACTGTTCAGATTTAATCATTAGCATTTTGCCCTTTAGATGTGGGAGGTAAGTACACAACTTGGAATTCATACAGGAGGATGAGGTTTCCCATCTCTCCAGATAGTCAAAGAGCAGTGAGTTGGAATGAGAGGGCTGACATTTTTCCTAGTCTGCGCCCCCACAAAAGATGCCAGGCAAGTGTACCATTCTCATCATTTTCTGTCATTTTCTTTATGTTTTCTCCAAACCTGCTCTGTTCAGTGAGATGAGAATACACAAAATAGCAGCAGAGAACGCAAGATTCATCAGCGTGAGTCTCAACATATCAATTTTCAAGTGTAGCAACTTTAAACACATGGTAGGCTTTTAGTTTCCATAGAAAATAATCTCTCATTGTTTTCAAAAGAAACTGAAAGCACCCCAAATTACCACACTTTTAACATCCTGACATGTTGATGGCCCGCGTTCTTTCCAGATCAAAGTCAGAGTGGCAGAAGACAGAGTGTTGAGCAGCTAACTTCAAACATAGTATTTCACATTTGGCAGGAATTACTGTAGTGAAAAAAGACAAGGTGACTTTCTAATATATATATATGTATTTTAGTTTGGCAGAGATCTGAAGAGCTAAGAACTAATTTAGGATGACATAAATGCTCTTATCTTTCTCTCTCCTGCCTTCCCTTACCAACCCCGTGAAGTGTCTTTGGCAGAAGCTCAGTGTATGTTGCGTATTGTTTTAGCTCAGGGGTGACAGTCTGAGTCCCATGTCATGCCGAACTCTTGTGTTGACTCTCGCCTTAGAATTTCTAAGATTATCTGGAGTTAAACAACAGAGTCACACATGAGAAGCATCTTTCTTCCTTGATGTGGGGTAGCCCTGCAAGAACTTCGATGCCTTTTAAGGAAACTAGATCTATTCCAATGTTAACCTAGGACAAGAAAGCAATGATGTCATTCCATGACACAGCATCATTACAATCTGTTGGAAAACCTCAACAACGAAGGCATCAGAAACTGAGTAACTTCTAAAAACAGGTGATAATTTTCCAGAGGAACCTGGGATAATCAAAGATTGAGGACAAATGAGTACTAGGCAAAATGGCCAGGCAATTCCACTCTATCCATGGATTGGAGCACTGTTTCAAGCAGTCTAGTTAAAAGCTATGCTTTCATGATGAAGTGTCCTAAAATTCCTAAAATTTTCCTTGGAAAAATTTATCCTATAGAAAGTATTTAAAGAGAAAAGTGACTTGCTTTTTCTACTTTTTGGTTTGGGCCAGAAAGTCAGATGCAATTACTCATTGTGAAATGGAGTTGCAGTATCAGAAAATGTCAGTCACCTGCTTCATTGACAGTGGACATATGGTTGGACTCTTAGCCAGTTGGGAAGCAATTTTTTGTAATAGAGATGTGGACAACCTGAAAGGTATTCTTAGGAAATAAGCTGTAATGTAATCAAACAAGGGTTGACAAACTATGGCCTGCGGACCAAATCCAGGCTGCCACCTGTTTTTGCATGGCACATAATCTAAACAATGGGTTTACATTCTAATGGCTGAAATTTTTTAAAAAGAAAATAATATTTCATAACACATAAAAATTACATTAAACTAAAAAACCAGGGGGCATAATTAAAATTTTATGGGTGCACAGCCATACCTGTTCATTTACACACCGTCTATGGCTGTTTTTAACTTACAACAGCAGAGTTAACCAGCTGTCACTAAGTAGCACATGAACCAAAAATATTTAGTCTCCAACTTTTTGCAGAAAATGTTTGCTGACCTCTATAACACAAGACAACTGGAAAGCAGAAATATGAGGACTGATTATAATACTGCGGAGGGGCTATAGTTTCTATCCACTGCGTTAGAAGATGATTCAGGAAGCAGGAACCAACTACTCTACCTTGCTAAAGAGGATAGAGCTAGATAAGGTGAGTTAATGCTATCAACGGGATCATTTATTTCAGTTTCATACAGTATGTGAGAAACTGGTTAACTGCAATCTTGAGGAGAAAGAAGTGAAGAGAAAGACCTTCAAGGAGACATCAAGAGACCAAGGGCCTAGTGCTCGCCCTGCAACTATCTACCTAGGCCAGGAGACTTTAGACTCTCTGGGCCTCGGTGTCAGTGCTTGTCAAATGATTGTAATATGCAGATTTTATTTTCTGCTAGAGTGTTGGTTGACGACTGGGGATATGATTCAAATTGAATAGTTGTATAAAAGTGCTTCAAATGGGCTGGGTGTGGTGGCTCATGGCTGTAATTCTAGCACTTTGGGAGGCTGAGGTGGGTAGATGACTTGAGGCCAGGAGTTTGAGAGCAGCCTGGCCAACATGGCAAAACCCTGTCTCTACTAAAAACACAAAAATTAGCCGGGTGTGGTGGTGCAGGTCTGTAATCTCAGCTACTTGGGAGGCTGAGGCACGAGAATCACTTGAACCCGGGAGGCAGAGGTTGCAGTGAGCCGAGATCATGCTACTGCACTCCAGCCTGGGCACCTGGACAATGGAGTGAGGCTCTGTCTCAAAAACAAACAAACAAACAAACAAACAAAAAGTGATTCAAATGGAAATGCTTCTAGTTCTAAACAGGTAGAAGGTTCTAACTAGTGATTGTTATGCATACTATCAAGATAACACAATACATCTTGTCTAAAATAGGTGAGGTTGGTAATAAAATACTTTGGTTACATGATTCAGAAACTTAGGGACTTCTGGTGGTGCAGGTAATGAAAGTACCTGAGCTGCCTGAAGAAGAAAGACACCTTCCTGAGAGGAAAGTCTCTTGCATTTCACAGAAAAATTCTCCTAAACCAGTATTCCCTAGGAATTGTTTGTGCCAGGGCCTGAGTGATGCACAAAGTGGTCCCCTGGTGGTTTATTCAGCTTTCCAGAGTAATTTATTCCAGGATGTTTGTACGCTGAGAGAATTTGGCACAGAGAGGGTCTGATGGAGGAGCAGATCATAAAAGTTCTCTGACCCCAGCTGTGTGGGTAGGAACTGGGCATCTCTGCTGAGCTCGTAAAGACCTGGGTCATCTAGTTTGCACAGGGCTGGCATTCTGCTTTTACACCCGCCCACGGGCCTGGATCTATGGAAGAACTTGTCAGGGGGCCGAGCAATGTCCAAACTGCTCATTTCTGGAAAGTCTTCTTTCTTCGGGTTTGAACACGCAAGGATGATAATTTGACTTATTTGTCACGGTGCCTGGCAGGCCTGAACCCACTGCCTGCCCATAAAGGTCCTGGGGCTGATGCATCAATTTCAGGACCTGTCATGTTCTAGTGGAATGCAGAGTCATGTGTGAACCAGAATGGACTCAGCCCTTAAAAGCGCCGGTCTCCTTAACAGGAGGGCCTCGGTTTTCATGTTGTCTTTCTGCCCTTCCCTGATGGCTTGTTTCCCAGGTGGGCACAATCATTGGTTCTCCAAAAGGCACTTTTCTCTGTGTTTGCAATGCACTGTTTATGCCCCTGCAGCTCTGTAAGTAATAATATACTGCTTTTCATCTTCAAAGTGATTTATACACATTAATTAATCCTCACCATACTTCTGAGTTTCTGCACGTAAATAACCATCCTGCCCCCATGTTGTACTTAGGAAACCAAGACCCAGAAGGCAAACAAGTTTGTCAAGGCTAAGGAGAAAGGAATAACTGGGGCCAAGATCAGCACTTCAGATCCTGACCCCTTACCACGCTTGCAGACCTGCGGTCACCTCGGGAGAGTGGCTGAGAGTAGCCCTATAGCTGCATGCTCACTGCCATCACTGCAGGGTAAATTGGCCCATTATATCACTCATTTTGTGTCATAAACTATTTTTTGATACTCTAGGGTCAAAGCATAATCTTACCTAAAGAATACATAATAGGAAATGATGGATTATGAACTAATAAACGATGCTAAGATGCTCAGGTCCAGCTTCTAGCAGCCTGCAGATTGAAAATAAATATATTTCCTAATCTATCATTTACAAGTTACATACCTGATTAAAACATTAAACTCTCACTATACGGTTTCCCATGTATATGACTGCCCTTACAGGAAGCTATTCTACTTTAACTATCAAGCCCCATAAATCAGGCAGGAGCCATCTGTCTCTCTCCTGGAAGTAGAGTAGAAGGCGCACTGGGACGGTATTGGCAGAGGCAGGCAGTACCTCAATTTCTGTATCTGGGCTCCCCGTGGTGCTCACTGGCCCCGTGGTGCTCACTGGCCCCGCAGAACATTAAGCCTGAGAAGTGAGCACAGGAACCCCTTCTGAAGTTTCTGACACAAAACCAAATCATGAAAAGACCCCGAAGGCACATTCAATTTGCTTCCACGGAGCCCCCTGAACAGCCACCTGCAGAAGCACACAAAGCTACTTTAGCAACACACTAAGATGTACTCAAGAGATTCAGAGGGGCAACAGATATCCTTCCGCCTTTCTGAGGTCAATCCATTACTTCATCCTTCATCAAGAGGTAAGTGAGAAGCAGACATGACTCGAAATTAGGGGTGCTTGGGTCTCAGGCCTCAGTTCCCGTGTACAGCTGTGGTTTAGAGTGCAAGCTACACTTCTGCAAAGCCCCAGATGAACACGGCACCTTTCCCTGGAGAGTCAGTTTTCTCACTTTGGGAGGGCATTCCTGAGAAATGCAACTGGTAAGGAATATAAATGCTTATTTTTCCATATTAAGACAAGAACAGCTATAGTGTGGAAGAAGCTGAAAAATTTATGTCAATTGTTGGCTCATATTGGTCTGCCTTAGGCAGGGCCCCAGATCTGTGGGGGTGCACAGTCATGCCCCTTTGCCATCAGGCAAGCTTAGGAGAATGGTCTGGGAAGCGCTGGGCCAGTTCCTTCTTTGGCAGATACCATGCTTGCTGCCTGGGGATGAAGGAAGTGTGGGAGCCCCCAGTGCTGAGCGAGAAGGGAGGGTTTATGTTGAGGGAAGGGGCAAGGCCAACACAGTCAGGGTTGCCTTTTCTTTTCTCTTAAATGGGAGGAGTTTCAGCATACGTGTTGGGAACTGTTTTGGAGTCAGCTTCATTGAGCTGGTGCTTTATGGGTTTGCTTTGCAACATGGCACAGCCAAACTGGGCAGGTCTCTCATAGCTGCCCTGAAACCAAGCCACAAGCATCAAGTGTTTCAAATAAACTTTAACAAACATCACCATGGCCTCTTCCTAAGCCAGGAGATCTGCCTTTGGCAGGCTTAACTGACAGAGCAGCAGCCTTGGGGCTCTTTGTTGGGGCCAGGAGCTGTGAGCAGGCTTTGTGTGCAGCCTGAGAAGCTCTTATGCACGTGGCACCCTGCCCCTGGGCGCTCAGCATCTGCCACTTTCTGTGGTGACACGGCTACACCCTATGGCTGTAAACCAACACCTTTGGCATGCAGAGAAAGATACTCCAGCAACTTCACCTATGTCATACACTGAGTCACCAGAAGCCCAGTTGCCAGGAGAGGTGACCCTGATTCAGATTCAGCTGTCCATGGTGAGGAGAGAGTTGAGGATGAGAAGACAGAGGCTGTGGAAGGGATATGGGCAAGGCCAAGTGTGTCTGGCTAATTCGATTCTGTATAAAGACCTGGATGGATGCTCCAGCCTGTCAGTCCTGTTTCTGTTCCACAGCTCTGAAAATAAGCTAGCTACTTTGGCTTTCTCTCGAATCAAGATGTTCTCAGACATGCCAACCACTATTCTTCAATTCAGTTTTTGGCTGAAGTTAACCAATGTTGCATACATTTCAAAGCACAGACCTGGGTTAAAATCCAAGGATGGAGAAAACTAGAAGGCCACTCTGAGAGTGAGGGATAGGTTTGCGGGAATGAAAAGTCTCAGCTCATCTCCAAGAAAGGATATAGTAAGGATGCTTAATTTCCCTTCTGATGGATGTCATTTAGAAACATGAAGGAGAAACTCATCAGATTTAAGTGGATTTCAGGAGGGAAAAAATCACCTCCATCCATCACTCATTATCACATCTTTCAGGAGCAAAGAAGCAAACTGTACAGACATCAGAGGGCCTCTAGATTCACAAGTCCATGGCCTCTCCCCTCATGTTGTCATCCCCAGCGTTGCTGAATAAGGCTGCCCTGACTTACCTATGAAATACGCCAGCAAAATAGCCAAGAGGAGGGCCGCGGCAATGGCGGAGAGGGCAGCACATTTCCAGCTGCAGTATTTGGAGGGCTTCTTCAGCTTGAAAGCCTTCCTGGAGAAAGTATTCCTGGGCAGCAGGCGGGGCGGGGGCGTGTAAACCGTTCCTGAGGTCAAAGGGTATCCCGGGGAAGAGCTGCTGAACAAGGGTGTGCTCCCCGAGGAGGTCTTGAAGAGGAAGTGCCTGCCAGGAAAAGGGAAAGAGTCAGAGTGGTCATGGGTAGCCAAGGAGCAACATTTAGCTATTTTTCTTCCACTCTGCTCTATCTAGTCCTAGCATAATCCTAGTTAACTAAGCTTACCCTGGAGTGGAAGAAGGGGCGAACATTACATTCGATGATGACATAAATTAATTCCATAAATGTGCATAATTTGCTCCTTTCACATATGCATCTAGTTGTTATCTTCCACAACAACCTGCAAAGCATTCAAAGCAAATATGGAAACTGAATGACTGTCACCTCCTCAGAGATGATGAGGTTGAGGATGCTAAGTGTTATCACATATTAGATACCTACTATTTTTTAAAAAAACTTTTATTTTGGGTTCATGGTACATGTGCAGTTTGTTATATAGGTATACTCGTGTCACTGGCATTTGATGTACAGATTATTTTGTCACCCAGGTAAAGATAATGTGCTATACATACACCGTGGAATATTATGCAACCATGAAAATAATGAGATGGTGTCCTTTGCAGGAACATGGATAGAGCTAGATACCTACTATTGAAAGGTACTTGAAATGTATTGTCACAACTATTTACAAACTAAATATTTTAATATCTCGATTTCATTTCATTATTTTTTAAAATTTTTAATTTTTTCTTTCTGTAATCCAGATATATTCTTTTTTTTAATTTCAATAGTTTTGGGGGTACAGGTGTTTTCTGATTACATGAACAAGTTCTTTAGTGGTGATTTCTGAGATTTTGGTCCACCTGTCATCAGAGCAGTGTCCACTATACCTAATATGTAGTCTTTTATTCCTCGCCCCCTCCACCGTTCCTTCCAAGTCCCCAAAGTTTATTATATTATTCTTATGCCTTTGCATCCTCATAGCTTAGCTCCCACTTATAAGTGAGAACATATGATGTTTGGTTTTCCGTTCCTGAGTTACTTCACTTAGAACAATGGCCTCCAGCTCCATCCAAGTTGCTGCAAAAGCCATTATTTCATTCCATTTTTATGGCAGAATCTCTCCATTTTAGATTGGAGATATTAGCCTTTGAGAAGCCAAGCAACTGTCTGAGGACTGAAACCCAGAGCTCTGTCTTTCGATAAAACCTGTGTACTGACATTTTACCCTACACTGTCTCTGACCCTTGTTCCGTTTTCACCTCCCGTGAAATCCTGATTCCTGTTCTGAGATGCCTTCTCCAAGGTCATGTGATCATGATTATTTCTTTGGAATCATCTTTGCCTATCAATTGAATAAGGTGTCCGTGTTAGCCAGAGCTGTGGTGTGACAACCACACAGCAGAACCATACAGTAGAACAGGCAGTGTAGAAGAGGATATAGCTCCTCCTCAGGGTCGGGAGTCTGTCGCTCCAAGGGCACTTTAAGGAAGGACCATTAATTCTCTGATGATTCTTTCTTATACATGCCACTTACAAGACTTCAAATGTGACTTGCTAGACCTTGTTTAAAACGATGACTTGTCTTCCAGGAAATGTGTAGTGGGATTTAAGGCAGGAGTTAAGTAAATGCTAGAATCTGAGCAGCTGGAGGCCATGGACTATGTCTTATTTTGTACCTTGTTCGTCCTATGTTCCCAGTACCCACATCAAGCCCAACATGCAGAGGGGGATTTTAGTGAATGAATGAGTGAATGAATGAAGTCCTCTCATTGTCTTGCAATTTTACTCAGCTGCAATTCTAAGGTTTCAAAATGTTACTACAGTTATTTCCTTTCTCTTGATGTCTTCAGTAGGTGCTACTTAGTTTATTGACCACTCACAATGTGTCAGTTACAATGCTGAATGTTTTACTTGCAACTAAACCTCACATTAATCCCACCAGGTGGGTACTATTATTACCTCAGTTTTACAGATGAGAAAACTGACGCTGGGAGTTGGCAAGCGGGTCATTAGGGCTCAAGCTCCAGTCTGCCTGACTTAAAAAATTTTTTTATTTACATCCAGTTAGACCCTTTGGAAGCTCTAATCAGACCTACTACACCACACTGCCTTGCCTCTGGGGGCTAGCAGGCTTTCCCAGTGGGCTTCTAAGGCAGGATTGCTATCATTACAAATATTTGTATCTTGGCTGTTTGCAGATAAAACCTTGAAAGTATTTTAATCCTTCACAGAGATCAAACAAACCCAATATGACTGACAATCATGTCAGAAAATGAGTATCTGATTAGTGAATTATTTAACACAGCTAATGTTAAAATAAAGCCTAGAAGTTTGATTCCATAAATAAGGCTTTGGACTCCTTGTCCAATGGCTCTTTTTTAATGCTCCATTTTAAAATGGTGTTTTGGAAGAGGAAGCTAGGCATGGTGTTCATGACAGCATTGTAGCACAAGACAGACCTTGGTAGTCCTGGTCGTGCCATTTCTGACAAGTACCTGACACTGCTTTTGAGAACCTCCATCTCTTCATTTGTAAAACAGAGGTAATAAAAGTACAGGTACCTCATAACTGCTTGCTGTGAGGATTGCAACACTGTGTAGGAAAAGCATCACTAATCCTACAATATCATGCAGGATTACGTAGCAAAAGAACTTAACCAAGGTGTGTCCCATAGTAAGTGTCAGCCCATGTGAGTAGCTTTTATTATTAATTCTTCAGAGCTACATAAGGAGCCTGAAATGCAGATTTTAATTTAAAGCTTGACAAATGTTGAACAAACACCTGAAGAGTTCTCTAAGTCACTAAATAATAGTCTGCTGCCTTATAACAACGCTAGAACATATCCACAGCAGAAAGCCAGGGTGACAGAGAAACCTCGGAATTTGATTTAGGAGTCCTCCGAATTTATTTCTTAAATGATTCTCCCAGAGTGAGTAGTGAAAATAGGAAATCAAATGAAAACAAAGGAACGTAAAGGCATTGTAAGGAGTCACTAATGAGTGAAAACATTTGAACTCCAGTTCTCGCATCCTCAGTGATCTTGCCAATTTCTAGGTCTTCAGCCACCACTGATGGGTCTGGAGTCTCCAAAGCTCCATTTCTATCTAGCTCATGACTCCTTAGCTCCTGACCCACATCCCGTTGTGCATTGGGCAGCTTGTCTTCTACATTTCACAGCTGTCTGGAACAAGTCACAACCAAACTCAGACTATATTCCTTTACATGCCCAACTCCACCCCTCCTGGACTTCCTTTACTCCCAGTTACCCAAGGAACTTCCTCCTTTTCCCTTGCCTTTCCCCATCCAATAGCTTAATGAATCCCAACAATTTCATTTCTGAAAACCTTACCCACCAACCCCGTCCTTTAGCCTTCCTGCCTTTTCCTTCCCAAGCCACAGTGCCAGTGTGCTCTGGCTTGCAAATCCGTGGTTATCCTTCCATGCCTGAAAGATGAGACCTAAGTTTCAACATGGAACCAAGCTCTCTACAACATGGAACCATGGCTCTCTACCCATTTTTTGACCCTTGTTTCTAATCAGTGCTCCCAGCTCCTATGCACTCACGCTTCAGCCACACAAAAAGACACACTTTGTCTTAACAAGCCCGTTCAATTGAATCAAATGGCTTTTTCTTCTCTGTCCCACCTAACCCATCCTAGCTAACTCCTATCCACCTTCCAACCACCTACCTGGGGAATCTATTCTAACACAGCCCCCTTCATTTTGTGCACTCACAAATCTATCTATCTCTCTCTCTCTCTCTCTCTCTCTCTCTCTCTTTCTCTATCTTCTATCTATCTATCTACATTCTATTTATAAATAGAATCTTATTTCTCCCATGATACAGTTATATCCTGGTGTTATTAATCTCTTTCTATATATAATTATTTTAAATGTGTCTATCCCCAACCAGAATGTGAACTCCTGGACACTTGAACTGGTAGATATTCCTTACTCCTGTTATCTCCAGAGTCGAAACATTAGTGCCTGGACATCAGTCATATTTGTGGACAGAATAAATAACTTGAAAATAGAAATGTTTTAGCAACATGAGAGCAACACGGTAAAGATAAGAAGTTTAAATTGGCTTTAATGTTATTTTTAATACACTCATTTATACGAAAAATGGATATGATTATATCTTGCATATGGCACTGCTTCGTGAAATCCTAAAAATGTTCCCTTGACAATTTAGTCCATTTTCTACACTTTCTTCTAAAAATAAAGTCAGCTTAGGTCACATGTCATCAAACAAAGCGCCCTTTCTCCCTGACAAAGGCTTCTAATAATATTGAGAATAAAATCAGGTGTCTTTCTCATGGCCTTCAACTCTCTGCATGATCTGCCCTCTGGCTACCTCTCCCACTGAAGCTTCCACCTCTGTTGTCCTCCCTCACTCCATCCATCATATTATCCTTTTGCTATTGCCCATCATATCACATCTTCTTGCCTCCGGGCCTTTGCACTTACTGTTCCTTCTGCCTGGAAATATCTGCACAACTTGTTCCTTCAATCTCTGCTCTCATAGCACTTTTTCAGAGAGATCTTCCTGGGCCCCTTCAATTTCTGTTACTCTCTGCCCTGTCATAACTGCCTATTTTTCTTCATTAAATGCATATGTATATTTGCATATTACTTATTGTCTGTCCCCATCGTTAGAACTGAATTTCAATAAAGTTTAAAATAATTATTTTGTTCACGCCGCATCCTGTCACCTAAAATAGAGCCTGGCTTACAGTGGGGGAACTCAACAAATCGTTGTTAAATAAATAACTTACAACCTTTTCCAAGACCAAAATAATGAATGCTAAAAGAATAGTGCTGTGAACATTTTTAATTTTAAAATAGGCTCCTCCTGCCGTGTTGATGCCTGTTTGCCAAACAGATTTACAAGTTTGCATATGTACATGCAGGCAAGAGTCTATATTTACACATGCAAGGCCAGATCCCTCCACAGAAAAAACAACCTGCATGCTTTTCAGCACTGCATAAACCCTCGCAGGATGTAGCTCTCAGGCCGCTCATTGGCACTGTGGTGTCTGTGATGATTGCAGCTGAAAGAAACCCATTTAGTTATCACCTCCCTTCCTTCTAGTCTCTGGGGTTTAAAATGATTAAACAAAAAACCAACGATAAGTAGAATCCTATTTCTCCCATGATACAGTTACACCCTGGTGTCACTAATCTTTAGAAGATTAAATTCAGCAAACAAAAAGAGAAAGATTCGATAGAAGTGATCTTCAGACTGTGTCCCATGAATACCTGGAATTTGTACTGTTTTTAACACAGCACTCAAGTGATCGCCTGGTCCCAGGAATTTGTACTGTTTTTAACGCGGCACTCAGTGTTAAAAACAGTACAAAATCCTGGGCCCTATCCAGGTATGGGGTGGAGTCTGGGAGTATATCGATTAAGAAGCTCCCTAGTGGCTGGGCATGGTGGCTCATGCCTGTAATCCCAGGACTTTGGGAGGCCGAGGCAGGCGAATCATTTGAGGTCAGGGGTTCGAGACCAGCCTGGCCAAACCCCATCTCTATTAAAAATACAAAAAAAGTAGCCAGGTGTGGTGGTGGGCACCTGTAATCCCACCTACTTGGGAGGCAGAGGCAGGAGAATCACTTGAACCCAGGAGGCAGAGGTTGCAGTGAGCTGAGACCGTGCCATTGCGCTCCAGCCTGGGCAACAAGAAGGAAACTCCAACTAAAAAAAAAAAAAGGAAGCGAAGAAGCTCCCTAGCTGATTCTAGTGTACATTAACATTTAAGAAATTCTACCTGAATCACTTTTATGCCCTTCCAAATGCATCTTACTTGAAGAGGACATACCAGATTGTTAGTAGATATATATTTTTTAATGTAAGCTTTGGATGTGGGCGTCTTTAGGTGAAGTTTCATGAAGTCTGCAACTTCATTTCAAAAGATTCAGCAAAAAGATCTCATCTCTCAAGCTCTATAAAAACAGATAAGGCAAATGTGGCAAAATGATAGCAATCGTTGAAACCAGGTGGTTATTCTTACATGGTACTATTCTTCCAAGTTTTTTGTATGTTTGAAATTTTTCATAACAAAAAGTTGAAAAAACCTCAAGCTTTGATTCACCCAAGGATTTCAGTCACATGCTGCTGGAAAATCAAATAAAATGAAGCAAGACCCACAAGGTAATGGTTTGGCCAGATGGTCACAGGGAGGACCAAGAGGGCTTAGGGGACTTCTCCTGATTTTTCCCTGAACCGGCTGTTAAGACAGCTTCTCCCCTTCAGAGGCCTGCTCAGTGTGTTCAGATGAATCATTTGTGATGCCCCAACTGAACTTCTTCCCAGCGGTCGGTCATGGAAGTAGCTCAGCTCGGGACTCCAGGCATCAGCAAAAATGTGTAGTTTCCAAATGCACTTGACGTTTTTCAAGCACAACTCAATTGCTCTCAGAATTGGCCACTTGTGCCTCCGAAAGGAAAGGCAAATGAGGGGCCCCCAAAGTGCCATCCTTGGAGTTTGCTAACACTCCAAGAGATGGAGAAAACCAGTCCTTGATGTCTTACAAAAAATAAAAGAGGAGCTCACACACTTCTTTCCCTTCCCAGTCATGTCATGCGGGGGATGGGAGCTTTGGTCACAGCACCCAGCATTCTGTCAGGCACAGGTTAGGGGCTTGGGATGGAATAGTAAGGCAAAGGTTCTGCGTTCTCAGCTCTGTGTCCTGCATTCCTGTGACTTCTTAAGAATACAGGGATCATCACTTCACCCTAAACTATCAACCTTTTTGGTAAATGTCATCACTTTTCCTCATGTGAAAACAAAACCATTTAATAAAAACTGAGAAGCATACCTAAAAGCTGAACAGCCATTCTCCTGTATCCTTTACGTGACAGCAAAGACATGGATTTCAGGCAGAATCTTGGTTAACCAGGCTTCTGCTTCAAATTGGCTTAGAAAATTAAGGGCATGCATTGTCTCTGATTAAACAACCATGAAAGATTTTAAAAAGAAACCTAACAAACAAAAAAACCTCATTCATAACATCCATGCAACAAGAGCCCCCACCAATTCAAAAGGCTGTGAATTTTTATTTTATTCTTATGATACAGAAGGAGCTTGACTAATCTAGAGTGGTAGCTTTGAGAAGCGGAGGCTGGCTAAGCTACCTGAGGCTCCAACAAAAGATTTCTTTTCTTTTTCTTGTTTTTCCCTTTTCTCTGAGTCAATCACAAGTAAACTTAGTCATTAACCTTAAATCCCACCAAAGAAACAAACAAACAAATACATAAAATTCCTTAACACTAAGTACCATTTTGCAGCTTGCAACCAGGGGGATCCCCTTATTTTCTGTTGTTTTGGCTTTATTCCCAGGGGAAAATCCTAGCAGGGCTGTGAAAAGAAATGTACTATACAAATAATTGTGCTGCCTCAACTCCAAAGGTCAATGCCTTTTTTCCTGTTTCTCTCTTCCTCTCTCTCTCTCACCCCGTATCCCACAATCTCATCACAGTGTACCACTCAGCTAACCAGGACAACTAATGACTAACAGAGCAGACTGACATGTTGTTCTTTGCTCACGAAGTCTGCGGCAGCAAACGTTTTTGAAATACAGCAAAAGTCTTAAATGGTCTCAACGTAGCGCTGTGTGCAAAAAAGCAACTCTGGTTATCAGGGAAACCAGGTGTCGACTGTTGTTCTACCGAGAAAATTGACCTCCCCAGTAAATAAACTCATGGGTATTCAGAGGAGCGGATGAAAACATTGATACACAGCCCATTAATCCCTAAAATATTCAGACTATCATACAAGCAGTGTCTGAAATTTGATCAAAAGCTAGGGGAAGGATAGAGGCAGAAACACCCCAGGAATGGGGCTGTGGTGCTCAGTGAGGGAGATCAGGTGTGCACTAGAGAACTCCAGATTTCATTACATTTCACTGGTTCTGGCCATGCACTTTGAAGCATCAGGTTTATTGTCTCTAAAAGAGTAAGTTTAATAAAGAGGCAGCCCATAAAGGGTACTGTAGCATGTAAAGTTACTGTAATTAGGTTTTCAGGAGTTATAATGAAACATTTAGCTGGAGAGAGGTTAAATAACCACCACCCTTTCTGGCACCATTAATATACTCTCCGATATGAAAAGGAATGGTGCTGGTTGAGGCAAAATTCAAGGGGCAGGGTCCTGAGACAGACAGAGACAGAGACATGGAACGTGGAGAGAAAGCAAAAACAGAAGGAGAGAAGCATAGAGGATGAGGTGAAAAAAGAGATAACGAGAAAAATGATGGATACTGCACCACTGAGCCCTACTTGAGTAGCAAAACTAGGTGATCGCTTAAGCGTTCTGTCTTTATTTTCCTGTTTGCAAATATAACATGCACACATTACAAAAAAAACAAGCATATAATTTTTTTTTCCCCCAAGACAAAGTCTTGCTTTGTTGTCCAGGCTGGAGTGCAGTGGCTTGATCTCCACTCACTGCAACCTCCACCTCCCAGTTCAAGTGAGTCTCCTGCCTCAGCCTCCCAAGTAGCTGGGGTTACAAGCATGTGCCACCACGCCAGGCTAATTTTTGTATTTTTAGTAGAGACGGGGTTTCACCATGTTGGCTAGGCTGGTCTCAAACTCCTGACCTCGTGATCCACCATCCTCAGTCTCCCAAAGTGCTAGAATTACGGGCATGAGCCACTGCACTGGGTCAAGTATATACATTTTAAAAATAGAAAGTAAACATCTCCTGTACTTTAGAGATAGACTGGTAAACATCTGATGTTTGTAGTCAGCCTTCTTTTTCTACATAGAAACATTTCCTCATTGTCATCATCATGATTATTATTCATTTAATTATTTAAGAAATCCAATAGGATGGTACCTAGAAGGCAGTTTTAAGTCTGCAAATCCTAGACTGAGACAACCAGGGTTTGCATCCTGGCTTCTATATTTATCACTGTGTGATCTTGGGCAAGTTACTTAACCTTGCTAGGAGGCTGAGAATGATAGTAGCTACTTCTTGGGCTTGTTAGGGGGATTGGGTGAGTTTATTCGTGAAATGCTTAGCATTGAGATTGACATCCAGTGAATGGTCAATAAATGCAGATATTAATGGCTTGAGGGCAGGAGCCGTGTATAGTATATTTTAGCCATTACTAAATCTCCTTGACCGAGCATAGTGCCCAGCTGATTTAAAATATGTGTTGAATGAATGAGTCGTTCTAATTAGCCTGGTGATTGGAGAATTGCAGGCACCTCCACTCACTGTCCCCTAGGAAGAGAAGGGACTAGGGATGTTACTAATGTGCTTCTTCTCTTCTTCCAGTTGAGAATTTATGCTTAGGTTGAGAAGTGAATTGTTTCCTTTAAAATAGGACTTACAGTTTTTAAAATCGTTACTTCTCAGGTTTGAAAAACAAGAAGCCAATAACCCAATTAGTGTAGTCAAAAGTCCATTTTATATCATAGTTCCCTAAGCTTCGACTCAAGCCCGTTTGATTCAGGAAAAAAATAGGCTTTCAAGGTTTCTCATCCCTGAACCTTTCGGCTCATAGGGGACTGCCACTACATTTGCATATGCCGTGAACAACAGGAAAATCCTCTATTTTGCCCTCTTCAAAATTTGCAGCCGTACCAAAAATATTCACAGCTGGAATAATTAGCAACTCAATTTATTGCCTTCCGTTTTCTAAATAGAAGCTTCGACTCTTGATATTTAAATAGTGTCACACTGTGATACAACATAGCATTTTTCATGGTAAAACTTTTTTTTTCCTCCATGAAATGATATACTGCTCAGTGTGACAGGCAAGGTCTCTCGAGGTCATTAAAGAAACCTGGTGTTTTGTGAGCAAATCCATTTCAGAGTCTTTGGATGAGATGAAGAGTCTTTTTTTTTTTTCTTCTTCTTTTTCCCCCTCTGGAGTTGTTAACTTGGTGACTTTTTTCAAGTTAATTGGTAAGAGTCTTGATATAGTAGGGGAAGAAAAACAAAGACGTCTGACTTTGACTTTAGATTTGACCTTGAATTCGCTATGCACTATCATATGGGAGTGTCCAGACAGCCATTTCGAATGGACTTAAATTTGTGTTCACCGGCAGGTAGAGGTAGATGAAGAAAAAATGCACACCCTCAGACACAGCCAAGGAGCAGGATAATTTCTCCCATTGCATTTAGTGTCTGGACCATTCAGACAGTTAGACAGTGTTCAAGCTGGAAGGACCCTCTAGGTTATTCTGCTTCATGTGATTACATTTGTTTTTGTCTTGTTTCTTAAGTCAAATTACAAAGTCAGGCTCTCTCTCTTTTGCTTTCTGGTACCCTTCCCTCTTCATAGTAGGTGCTCAAAAAGTCTGCTGAAGGAATTCACTAATTATGGTAGAGGGGAAAATGAATGGGCTTGGAGCCAGGTGCACCTGGACTCAAATCTCAACTCCTCCAGGAGCTGCATGATGTGGGGAAAGCTAGGTATTCTCCCTGGTCCTCAGATGCCTCCTCTAAAAAAATAGAGACAATAGCAATATTTACATCCCAGAACTATTGGAAGGGCTGAAAAAGAACAGGAATACAATCCGAGAACACAGAAGCGGGCCCACAGGAAGTGTTTAATATATGTATGTACTGCATTGCCTCCACCTCTGCAATGAACACAATATCTCAAATATGAAATCACTGCCCAGCCAGTATTTATTGAGCATGGAATATATATCACATGGTACTAGATGCTTGGATGCATTGATGAGTAAGTTCTTATCCTCATAGGAAATTTCCAATTGGAGAGACAGAACAAATAAACAGAACTCACATCCAGGTAAACAATAAATACATGAAATACTTTCAAAATGTCAGAAGCAC
The DNA here is from genome assembly GCF_000001405.40 of Homo sapiens. NCBI lineage: Eukaryota > Metazoa > Chordata > Mammalia > Primates > Hominidae > Homo > Homo sapiens. Next base: position 167,982,229 of record NC_000005.10, on the reverse strand, counting down.
CATGGGATTGAGGAGAAGTCTGAGGATAAGAAGTAACTGACCATATGAAGAATGGTAAAAAAGAGCATCCCAGGCAGCAGGAGCAGCCTGTGCAAAGTCCCTGGGGTGGGAAAGACGGAATTTTTGAGGATGTGAAAGAAGGGCAGTGTGTTCCGGGCCAGTGGCAGGAAGAAAAGGTAGCCAGTAACCATGGCTTGAAGGCATGGGATCTGGATTTTCTTTTTTTCTTTTTTCTTTTTTTTTTTTTTTTGGTCTGAAACAGAGCTTCACTCTTGTTGCCCAGGCTGGAGTGCAGTGGTGTGATGTCAGCTCATGGCAACCTCCGCCTCCCAGGTTCAAGCAATTCTCCTGCCTCAGCCTCCCTAGTAGCTGGGATTACAGGTGCACGCCACCACGCCTGCCTAATTTTTGTATTTTTAGTAGAGACGAAGTTTTGCCATGTTGGCAAAGCTGGTCTTGAACTCCTGACCTCAGGTGATCTGCCGTCCCAAAGTGCTGGCATTAAAGGCATGAGCCACCATGCCTGGCCAAGGGGATCTGGATTTTAGACCAAGTACGAAGGGTTCTAACTATGCCATCTCTTTGAGTTAGCAAAGCACATTTAGGAGCATTCTATCTGAAAAATTACTAGGGTAGGAGAGACTCATGGGGAATTCAGCACAGGCCTTTGTGATGAAAGAGCTCAGCTGTCTTCTTATACCTCTGCCTTGAGGGTTTTGGTTTTTGTCCAGAATATTCTAGCCAGCCCACAATATTACACCTATTACCCTATCTACATTTGGATATAGTTAGGCATCTCAAGTTTAGCATGACCAAAACACAACTTTTGATTTCCACTCCAAGCTTCTCTTCTCTTCCAGGCTTCACCTATATCAGTTACAGATGTCATCACTTCTCCAGTTGTGCAGGAGCCATCCCTAGGAATGGGAAGATATTGCATGCAGGAAGTGTATTAGAAAGTGCTCTTGGGAAGACCATGTGTGAGGAAGTGAATGAAGCAGACTGCCCTGGGTGGGGATGGCGGGGAGCTGAACTGTGATGCTGTGGCAGAGGGGCCTATGGCGATTCCATGGAAAGCTCTGGAGCAGGGATGGCTCTGCTGAGTTGTTCCAGTTAGGGCAAAGGAGGCTGGGCCTTCATATCCTTACTCGGACCAGTCACTGGATGTGAGCTGTTCCCAGAGAAAGGTCCTTGGAAGACGTGGATCTCTTCTGCTGAAGGCCAATCTCAGGGAGGGACTTGGCTGAGCTCTGTTGGCTGCCAACATTACCAGCAACTGGAAGGACACCTGCTCCAGTCCTGAAGGGTGACATCTGGGTGGGCACCATGCCATCTACTTCACTAGGCTTCACCATGGTTCCTGTCCTTCTCTCACACCCAATCCATCATCAGTTGATTTCCTCTTTGCCTCCAACACATCCCCTTCCTTTTCTTACCACTCACACCTCTACATCATCTTGCGCCTGGCCTGCTGCACACAGCAATCTTTAAAGAGGTCTCCCTCTTTCCACTTTACCCATTACACCCCTTCTCCCCACAGGAGTCAGTCATTTCCTACAAACATAAATCAAAACATATTTCAAATCTTCCCATTCCTTTACACTTAGAAGTTATCCTGCTCTGCATCATGGCCTATAAGGCGTCTTGTGATGGTCGAGGTCATCTCTTCCTAACCTCTCCGTGCTCTGCTCCTAAGGCACCTGCCATCCTCTTTGCTGTTCCTTAAAGAGGCCAAGCTCCTCCCCATGTCCAGGTGGTCACACTGTGTTTCCCTCAGTCTGGAAACTTCTCTCCTCCTCTCTTTCTGTCTTCTCATTGCATGGCTCCTCTTTCTCAGGTCTTTCAAGTCTCTCCTCAAAGCTCACTTCCTCAGAAAGGATTTCTTGATCAGCCTTTCCCATCGTAGCATCTTGCATCCTACCTTGTCCAAGGTTACAGCTGAGAACAGTCAACATCCAGAGATGGGGGTGGAATACAAAGGCCCATTTCCCTCACCCTTCATTGAGATATCTCATTTAACATGCATCACCTTGGGCAGCTATCTCCTTCATTCCTTGTTTGTCACATGCCTTTCCCAATGGCATGCACATTCCAGGAGGGCCAGGATTTCATCTTCTTCCTCACCATTGTATCTCCAGCCCCTGGAAGAATGCCCAGCCCAGGTTTGGTGTTCCAACAATTTTTATTTAATGAATAAAGGCATGAACCAATATAGAGCTTGAAAAGATCTTGAAAGATCATCTCATACTGCCTGTAGGAGGTGATGAATGTAAAAAGTTTCTCTCTGCTCTCAGATGCAACACTTTTATTTATTTTCCCGGTAGTGTCCTTTTCAAGGAATCCCGTCACTCTGGTTTTCAAGATTTCGATAAACAACATCATGTTCGTATTATTCCTACACACGGTTATTTTTTAAAATCTGTTGTGAAGTCATCTTCCTTCTATTCAAAGGAGCACTTTGGTGTGTTTTGTGAGAGCCTCTTCATTTTATTGATCTTTTAGATTGGAATTCTCCTCAAGTTTTCTGTCATTCTTGAGGGATATCAGCTATAATCATGATTATTTCCACTGTAGATACCTAATGATTTTGGAAAATCGTGGGATAATGCATTTTTGATTAATTTCTAAGAGTTTCTATAGGGATGCTCTGTATTTTGCAGCCCTATCCCCTTCTTTCTTCCCACAGCAACCCAGTGGATGTATATCTTCAGGCATTACTTCACACGAATCACCTGGCCAGTTCCCAGTTTGTAACTGGGACCTCAGAGATAATCTTCCTATAAGTCTAGAAGAATTTTTGGTAAATGTACGTGATCCTTATCTGTCACCTCTCTGCCCACCTACAGAGCAGTTTATCTTCCTAGGTTTGGTATCTCTGCAAACATGGAGATTTCATGGTGCATTTTTCTCTTCTAAATCACTTTTAATAGAATATGATAGAATGGTTTTAATCTTGGAAAAATCCTATGTTGATCCCCCTCCACCTAGAGAAGAATCCATTTAGCATTCTCTTTTCCCCCTACCTGTGTAACAAAGGAGTCCTGCCTGGTGCACCTTTCTTTATTTCCTTATCTTTGGTGCTTCAAGACATCTGTCTGAAGAGTTGCATTTACCCTGATGTTGAATGGGGATCCTGTTGACAGTCTTTCAGATGTCAACATATTACACACTCAGATCCATTTACCACTATTAATCAAATCACATGTACTGGGTATTTTGTGTTGTGACTTTAACCCTTTCAAGGAATGTTTTGAGAACAGACATTTTTTTTCCTGGCACCTTTCTAGGAGAAGACTGGAGCAAGAGACTGGTTCTCTAGCCTAACTATCTTGTTGTCTCTCCCTTGAGTAGACGTTTTATACAGAGGGTGACACGCTGATCCTCCGGCTATTTTCTCTAATTAATTAATTTATTTATAAAAGTTGAGGTAAAATTCACATGATACAAAATTAACCATTTCTAATTGCACAATTCAGTGGCATTTAGAGCATTCACGATGTTTAAATTCTGCCTCTATTTAAGTTCCAAAACATTTTCATCACCCCCCAAAAAACCTCAAATTCCCCCCAAAATCTATTAAACAGTAACTCGCCATTCCTTCACTCTCTCACTCCCAGCTCCTGGCAACCACTAATTTGGTTTCTGTCTCTATGAATTTGCCTATTCTGGATATGTCAGATAAATGGACTCATACAATATGTGACCTTTTGTGTCTGGCTTCTTTTCACTTAGCATAATGTTTTCAAGTTCATCCCCATTGTAGCATGTATCAGCACTTCATTCCCTTTTGGAATACTATTTCCTTTTGTGTGAGTGTGTGTGTACACTTTTTCTTTATTCATTCATCCATTGATGAACGTTTGGGTTGTTTCCACCTTTTGACTATTGTAAATAGTACTGCTACAAACACTGGTGTGAAAATGTCTGTCTGAGCACCTGCTTTGAAAGCTTTGGGGGATCTCCCTAGGAGAGGAATTGCTGCATCATAGAGGTGCCTCAGTACACTTTGTGTTGCTATTAAGGAGACCCTGAGACTGGGTAATTTACAAAGAAAAGGTGTTTATTTGGCTCCTGATTCTGCAGGCTGTAAAAGAAGCAATGCATCAGCATATGCTTCTGGTAAGGACCTCAGGAAGCTTCCAATCATGGCAGAGGGGAAGGGGAGCTGGCATCACATGGCAAGAGAGGTAGAAAGAGAGCAGGAGGTACCAGGCTCTTTTGAAATGATCAGATCTTGCAGGAACTAATAGAGCAAAAACTTATTCATTACCGGGAGGAAGGCACCAAGTTGATCATGAGAGATCCACCCCCATGACCCAAACACCTCCCACCAGGGCCCGCCTCCAACATTGGGGATCACATTCCAACATGGGACATGGAGAGGACAAACATCCCAACTACATAATATGGTCATAAAATGGTTAACTTTTTGAGAAACCTCTAAATGTTTTCTAAATGTAGAAAATGATAATCAACATTGAACTCTTCAGGAAGCTCAAATTCTGGTTGACAGTAAGCATTTTGCCAGTCTCTCTGCATCCTATCCATATCCTGAGCTTGTTTTTGAAAACTGTTAATGAATTACAAAACAAGAAGCATCACCAAGGAGCCAGGTGGCAGCAGTAGTAGAAAGAGCCAAAATATTTCATACCTTAGAAAATGTCTTAACATCCCCAAGTCAGCAGGCTCTCATTTCAGGAAAGAGCTTTCAGGGAGAGCCTAGTGGGGTTTATATTCTAGGAAAGCTATCGATCCATGACATTTTTTTCTATTTTATTTGATGTATTATATAAAGTATTTAGAAGAACTCATGCATCAGTTTAAGTTCTTCAATTTTTTATATAATCACTCGTCTTATTTTAATATGTGATAGACATACTTTTCTTTTTTCCTTTAAACTTTTATTTAAGGTTGAGGGGTACATGTGTAGGTTTGTTATATAGATAAACTCGTGTCATGGGGGTTTGGTGTACAGGTTATTTTGTCACCCAGGTTCTAAGCATTGTACCCAATAGGAATTTTTTCTTCTGATCCTCTCTCTTCTCCCACCCTCCACCCTCAAGTAGGACCCAGTGTCTGTTGCTTCCCTTTTTGTGTCCATGTGTTCTCATCTCATCATTTAGCTCCCACTTATAATTAAAAACATGTGGTATTTGGTTTTCTGTTCCTGTGTTAGTTTGCTAAGGATAATGGTCTCTAGCTCCATCCATGTTCCCACAAAAGACATGATCTCATTTTTTATGGCTGCATAGTATTCCATGGTGTATATGTACCACATCTTCTTTATCTAGTCTACCATTGATGGGCATTTAGTTGATTCCATATCTTCACTATTGTGAATAGTGCTGCAATGAACATACACATGCACGCATCTTTACAGTAGAATAATTTATATTCATTTGGGTATATACCCAATGATATCCATGAAATTTTTAAACAAAAGTTTTTATTGTTAGCCTACACTCTAAGCACTGTATTATAAACAGTACTTATGTACCAAGCCCAAATATTGCCTGACTTGATAATTGAGTTTGGGTATAAATTCATTTTAAAAGTTTATGCTAAGAGAAAAATTCTATTTTATTTTAGAAGGCAAGATCACAAAGTCCTTCCTAGTAAGGGATTGAAAAAATTCTGGCCTTTCTACTTCTGTCATAAGATCAGAGAGGATCTGAAATACAACATCTTAAAATGTGCTTTTTGGATCACCAAGTATATTTGTATATTACTAATGTTAGATACAGAGAGGGTTCCATGATATTTGGGAAATGGAGTAAACATTACTGCAGGTCTTCACAAACCTAATACTTAAATATCATAAATATCCCAGTACTCTACACTATTTATTATTCCACTTATTTTTGTGAGCTTTATATATATATACCCTTCTTCTCAGCCGTAAAACTGGTATTCCACAGCATCTCTCATTTGAGAAATGAAGTTCTAATTCATTTCTCTCTGTTTCTAGATCAGTATCCTAAGGCCCAGAAAGAAGTGAAAAAACAACCAACCAACCAAAAAACCCATAATGGTTATTTTCATAGGTGCTCAAGATGCATTTGCTGGGTAGATGGATGAAGGAAGGAAGGAAAGAAGAGAAAGAGGAAGGTATATAAATGGTGTAAAAATTAAAGGGGACAGACTAAGTATCATATGTGATTTCTTCAAGGCCGAGGAAGGAAAACAAAATTGATTTATCCGAATTCTTGTATAGCTACTGACAATTCTTAAGTCATCAAAACAATTCTAAATGTAGGGGCTGGCAGAGGTGAAAGAAAACAAAAGAAAAAGAAAGCTGCCACTCCTTTTTGCTTATTATAGATTTGCTCCTCTCACATCAACTGTGTATAGCAATTTCAAGCATTTAAGTTTGGGGCACTGTTGCTTTTTTTTTTTTTAACCCTCAAATAAACAGTAGTGATCTCTATTACTATCTATTTTCCCATTTGAATTTACATCAGACTCTTTGAGGCATGAGCAAACAGAAGAAACCCTATCTGCATATTTACTCACATTTCTTTGTTTGTGTAATAGCCATAGGTACAATATTTTCTTCTTATTTAGAACTCTTCATGAAATGACACAAGAGCTCTTCAGGGATATTAACTAAGCTTTATGGCAACCCCTGTGACATGTCTGCCTGCCTACATATATCTGTTGGACACTCAGGAATGTTGTGCAGAAGTGTGCCATTTAAGTGTGTTTGTAGGCCAGACACATACCCACTGACAATGCACAAAACAGATCTATATATTTCAGTCGTCAAAAAAAAAAAAATGCCACTAAGAAAGGTAACCATCATTTAGCATCAACACATAAATATCGCCATGGCACTTAATATACTCTAAGGCAGACCCTGCAGCATCCCTATCACAAAACAAGTCCCAGGGCAGCAGGTTCTGAAAGCTGGGCTTCCTTGAAAGCTTCCTAGTTTCTTAAATGCTGGGTTTCCTAGGGCCCCAGGCAAGGCTTTTTAAAAATGCAAGTGTCAAGGAAAACTGTCATGCAGGTTTGCCTTAAGTACCTGAAAAGCTTGTCACTGCCATCTTGGAAGTATTGATGCAGATACAGTTGGACAAGCCGAGGCATGGTAAATTGAAATTTGCCTGACAGGGAGGTGGCATGTTAGACTAAAAGGCAGGTGCCCGCCTTCAGGCATTTGCTTTGCAAGTGGCAGAATTAAACAAAACCTAAAGGCAAGTCTGGTAGTGGGGAGGCTGCCTTTCCAGACATCTTGAAGGCTTGGACTTGAACTGGGATCCTTTCTGGCTCTCAAGTTTTGCTTGACAAGAAATTAAGTGGTTATGTGAAAAACAAAGCAATGTCTGCATTTCTGTGGAGGGAAGTGAGGAAGGAGGGGGAAGAGAAGTGATAGAGAGGAGAAGCAAGGAAGAAGAGGGAAGTTCAGGGTCACAGTCGGTCAGGTTGGGACAGCCCTGCTGATTCTAGGAGGCTGGATGGGGCGATGGTTAATAAGGAAACTGTCGGCAGCAGGTGGGGTCAGAGCCTGGTTGCCTCACCTTTAACCTGTGCAGCCTAAGGCAAATGACTTGTTATTATTACATCTTCGTTTCCTCATATGAAAATAGTGAAAATGATGGAAAGTATTTCTTAGGAATATTGTGTCTATTAAATGAGTGGCTCAGCACACACCTGACATTGAGTGGATCCTCAATAAATGTTGGCTATTACTGTTATGCAGATAATTATCAATGAATCCCATAGACTGCCTACTTTAAGTATGTATCTCTTTCCTTCTAGTTCCCCTTTCCTTCCTTCTTTCTTCCCTCCTTCCTCCACCCCTCCCTCCCTTTTTCCTTCCTTCCTTCCTCCCTCCTTCCTTCTTTCCTTCTCCCTCCTTTCCTCCCTTCCTTCCTTCCCTTCCTTCCTTCCTTCCTTCCTTCCTCCCTCCTTTCCTCCCTTCCTTCCTTCCCTTCCTTCCTTCCTTCCTTCCTTCCTCCCTCCTTTCCTCCCTTCCTTCCTTCCCTTCCTTCCTTCCTTCCTCCCTCCCTCCCTCCCTCCCTCCCTTTCTCCCTTCCTTCCTTCCTTCCTCCCTCCCTCCCTCCTTTCCTCCCTTCCTTCCTTCCCTTCCTTCCTTCCTTCCTTCCTTCCTCCCTCCTTTCCTCCCTTCCTTCCTTCCCTTCCTTCCTTCCTTCCTCCCTCCCTCCCTCCTTTCCTCCCTTCCTTCCTTCTCCTTCCTTCCTTCCTCCCTCCCTCCCTCCCTCCCTTTCTCCCTTCCTTCTTCCATCAGAGGCACTGGTTAACTTCAATGTACTTTTAGTTTCCTCCCTTTCTGGTGTATCCTCCCTTTCCACCTCTTCATGGCAAATCTAACCGTAACATGCCTTTGTGTACATCCCTTTTGGGCTCCCCATCCCACACTGAATAGACCTTAGAGTGCTTGACTGCACCCAGAAGGTGACCTTGACTTGGGCCATGAGACCTCTCTACCCTGCCTCCTGAGTCTCACTCTGGTTGGTCCAGAATGCTGGCACAGCCTTGCTCTTCCGGCCTTTTCCTATTCTCTCACCTTTGCCTGGAATGCCCTTTTGCTGGGGCAGCTCTCACTGTTCCACCCAGATGGAACTCAGACCCCGTATCTGCCAGCCAGGCTTCCCTGACCAGGTAGGTTGGATGCACTCCACGCTCCATGCTTCCGTAGAGTCCCCTGAGCTCATGTCCAGCTTACAACATCCTATATCAATATAAATAATCTGCTCTGTGACCTTTCTCCCACTAGACTGTGATTCCCAGAGGTCAGGGGCCATGTCTTTTCGATCTTTCACTCTCTGTGCCATGGTGCTCAGCTGCGTGTTGGGCCCCTACAAATGTTGGCTGAATTAAGCTGAAGTCCTATGAACACAGCTGGTAATGGGATTACCAACAGGAGGTGGGAAATACAAAAATCCTTAGTTAGCATAAAATCAGAGTTTCAGATAAAGTAACTATATAAGTTTGGCCTGAGGGCCTCTTACTGACAGAGCCCTCACATACTTATTTCACAAAAAAGGCTGTCTTCCTCGCCAGATTTTCAAGCCCTTGATCATAATGCTTTTCTGTAATAGTTAAACAATCATACCGCCTTACTAGGCATTTCTCTTGGGATTCAGAAACTTGACTAGGTCTTTTTAGACATTCTTATAATATCCCCATTAGGTAGATAGAGGCAAGGTGGATGAGGAGAAGAGGCAAACTCAAACATTGCCAAATAATAATGAGAAAGGAAAGGCAACAAAGGTTAGGAGTTTTGAATCACGTAGGCCATGCTGTAGCACAGTCTGGGAATGAAGAGAAAGGGCCCTACAGCTAGAACCAAGGGGAGTGAGAGAGTCAGATTTTCCCCTGCAGCTATGTCTGTTTCTCATACTATATCTGGCATTAAGAAGAGGTATTGGCATTTCTAGGGTATTTATGTATTATTTATTACATTATTACTTGAAAAAAAATCCTCTTAATTCTATGTCTGAAATCTAACACCATAAACTTCTGGGCTCTTATTTTAAAGCCACAAAAGAAACTCAGGCCATCAAATAAGGAGAAGTAAAGAGAGATCGTAACATTTGAATGGAGACAGATACAATTTGGCACAATCGATCAAAATTCAAAATGCACATTATACATACCCTTTGATCTAGTAATTTCACTTCCAGGAATTTAACTTTTGAATATAATTATATAAGTATGCAAAGAAAGATATATACACAAGATGTTTCATTACAGATTTGTTTTTAATAGCAAAATTCTGAAAGCGATCTAAATGTCCATCAAGAAGAGACTGGTTAAATAAATTAGAGCATTATGGAATATTACACGGACTTTAAACAAGAATGAGGTAAGTCTACATAAAATTACCTGAAAATGCTTCCACAATATCTGATTAAGTGATAAAAAGGAAGTTGCCAAATGATATGTATATGATTCCATTTATATTAAACTTAAAATATACATGCTCAGACATCCACAAGCATTTTTGAAAGCCTAAAATAATCAACCTTCAAATGAAATTTCCTTGAAAATGGAAATTGAAAAGCAGGGAATATTCCTTTCCATTTTCTGTCTATGTGTTGAATATTTTACCAAGAGAATGTGTACATTCTACAATAAAATAACTGAAAAGACAAAAGCTGTTGCAATATGTGCTCTAATTCTTTGCCTTAAATTCATGACCTTTCCTTTGCAGAAGGAAATGGAGATAAATATTCTGTGTGGGATAAGTAGGCACCAACATTCCCTAATCATGCAGGAAATAGTGAGGGGTGCTGGGGAAAGCTCTGGCCAGAGGCCTGCCTTCCAGCCCCACTCCGGCATTTATAGTGGAAGGCGCTGGCGTGTTGTGGAACTTTCTGAGCTTCACTCTCCTTGTCTGTAAAAATAGACATTGGACTATACTAGGTGATCTTAACTTGGTTTCCAGTTTGAAAACTCTGCCTCTGTGCAGCCAAATGATGACCCCTTCACTTAAATGATCAGGGCTCAGGGTTTTTTTTGTTTTTGTTTTGTTTTGTTTTGTTTTGTTTGTTTGTTTGTTTTAGATGGAGTCTCACTCTGTCACCCAGGCTGGAGTGCAGTGGCGCGATCTTGGCTCACTGCAACCTTCGCCTCCCAGGTTCAAGCAATTCTCCTGCCTCAGCCTCCCAAGTAGCTGGGATTATAGGCGTGCACCACCACGCCTGGCTAATTTTAGTATTTTTAATAGACACGAAGTTTCACCATGTTCGTCAGGCTGGTCTTGAACTCCTGACCTCAAGTGATCCACCTGCCTCGGCCTCCCAAAGTTCTGGGATTACAGGTGTGAGGCACCGCGTCCAGCTGGGCTCAGTTGTTTTGGCCAACCCAATTCATGTTGACCTTGACTCCTTCTAATATTTTCTAATGTAGTGGTCAGAATCAAGGGCCGACCTCCCTGAAGAGGGCATCTATTTTTTTCCATATCTGCATCACCAGGTCCCTTTTTCCCCTTTCTTTCTCTCTCTCTCTCTGCCTCCCTTTATCTCTATCTCCATCTCTCTCTCTTTATCTCTATCTCTGTCTCTATCTCTATCATCTCTATCTCTATCTCTGTCTCTCCCTTTCTGCCTGAATTAGCTATTTGGGGTAAGCTCTGTGAAGAATGCTATACTTCGCTCTTTTCCCCAAACTGAATGGTATTATGAATTTGAAGATGCACATTATCGACAGGACATGAGGATGTCCCCATTGTAACACTGCTTTTATGTTTCCAAAGACAAAGCAAATAGTAGTGAAACTGAAAAAACAAAGTATACGCAGACATATACTGAATATGCGCCTTCTACCTTGTTCCCAGCCCACCCCAGTGCCACCACACACACGATTATATTGAAATTCTCGGTGGGTTTAAATGCATGTGTGCCACCCTTACCCCCTGCTGCACTGAAGCTTACAACCTCTAATAATATCAGATTAATTCACTGGAGTATAAACAGCAATGGGCACCATTATGAACATTAGGACGTGTTGCATGTTAGGACAAAAATTTTTATCTAATTAAACACAGAACTATTCTGATATTACCTATACTCATTATGGAGCTATCTGACCCCTGCAATCTGTCTCACCTACACACACCACAACAAACAGAATATACTGCATTGCTGAGAATATTAGGAGCTTGAAGCATGGAGTTAAATGTTTCCCATTCATGGTTTTATTAAAAAGCAAAACCAAAAGTTCTTCGAAGTCATTCAACTTGATAAGGCAAAACTGCTTCTCCAGCCATTTCCAAGAGAGAGGAAATGCATCGAGATGTTTTGAGTTAACTTTCTCATCATGAGCCCTCATAAAGAGCACTGGTTAGTAAGACAATAAATGAGCATGTTTTAATTAGAAAATGTGGAATCCAAGCACTTTTGCAGGAAAGAAGATGATAGCTTAAAAGAGATGTCAGGAGACTAATAAAAGTTAAAATGCATTAAGTGGCCACAGTGAACTCAAAAGTAAAGTCGTGGGACGTTTGAGAAGTCAACCAGAGAGGGTGATGAGTCAGAAGGGGGCAGAAGTTAGTCAGTGAAACTTAATTTTTTCGACTTCTTATTGGAATCAGCTGTAAACCCCCTTCTGTGCTCTGGCAAGTGAGATAACTCAATGTCCTGCAATTTCCCCACCCTGGCCGGGACTGTGTCTGCCTGGAGGAGAAAATCATTACAATCAGGCAATATGAGCTGGGCTGTGACCAAATTAACATTGAATGTGGCCTGAGTTGGTCTGTGGCTTTTGCCTGCCAGCCCTCCATTTCAGGGTCTCCTAATAGCACGATGTTTGGTTATGGGCCACACTCCTTCCTCTCCACTATGAGGCCCCCACATGGGCACGTGATCCAGGCCTGGCCAATTAATGTGGTCTGCTCGCCAAGACTCCAGGCTTGAGGCTTGGGTCAGTTGTGGGCATGTGACTCTAGTTGGATTCCATGAGACTCAATCAAGGGAGTGTTGTTGAAATGTCAAGAAGTGCTTTACTTTCTGTTAGGTTTCTAAGCTTTGAGAATATAGCATATAGTTACCATAAAAATCCCACAAGAGGAGGCCTACATAACAGCGATGGTAGAAAGTAAAGAAGTGCAAGGCTGAGAGACTCCCAAAGCCTGAGTTTAAGTATTACTTGAATCCTGTTCTGTCAGGATCTTCTCTCTGTCCCAAATCCTCCACTTTCTCAAGTTTCATTTTCCTGATATGTTGAAAGGGGACAAGAACATCTGTATTGGTCTGTTCTTACGCTGCTAATAAAGACATACCCGAGACTGGGTAATTTATAAAGAGAAAGAGGTTTAATGGACTTACAGTTCCACATGGCTGAGGAGGCCTCACAGTCATGGCAGAAGGCAAGGAGGAGCAAGTCACGTCTCACATGGATGACAGCAGGCAAAGAGAGTGCTTGTGTAGGGAAACTCCCCCTTATAAAACCATCAGATCTCATGAGACTTATTCACTACCACGAGAAGAGCATGGGAAAGACCCGCCCCCATGATTAAATTAACTCCCACCAGCAGGTCCCTACCACAACACGTGGGAATTGTTGGAGCTACAATTCAAGATGAGATTTGGGTGTCAACACAGCCAAACCCTATCAACATCTCTCCCCTAAGGGCTTTAATTCAGATAACATGATGTAAAGTGCCTAGTATCCTACTGGGCACAAAGTCGGCATTTCAGAGATGATTATGTCTAAAAACAAAGACCAAAAGGAGTGGTCCGTGGTTTCCAAGAAGTGAAAAGATTGTCAATAGAACTACAATGTCTCCTTGTATGGATTCTGAGAGTTAGAAGCTGGAAAAGATGACTGAGTACAAGAACATCCAGAAAATGCACATGTGCATAGCACCGCCCCTTGCACAGGGGGCTTGTAAATTTATTCCTTCATTTTCCTGAATTGGTGAGAGTGGGGATGGGGGAGAGTAGAGCTCCTTAGAGTCCCACCAAATGCTTCAGTGGGCCTAATAGCTCCCTGTGCCTTCTCATTACATGTCCCCAAGTATAGTGGAGAGGATCTGCGTTGATAAGAAATAAGAAAGTCACTAAGATCATCGAAAATTCTTATCTAAGAACATACCAGTGTTAAGTAAAGCAACATTTCCCACCTTCCCTTTAGGGCGGGATTTTAACCCTTTGTTCAAATAATTAAAAAATAAAATAAAAATTTAAAGGTCGTATTATTGGTGTGCAATACCTTTACAGGAGTATTAATTGTTGAGAAATGGACTCATGAATGCTGGTTCGCAATTGAAGCTCTAGCAAATTGAAATCTGATTTCAGTACCATTTAACACATAGAAAAGAATTGGTATTCAGTCTCTTTTGAACTATAAGGCATACACAGCTTAAGTACAAATGACAGCAATTGGAGGTATTTCCTCACTCCTAAACAGTTATTTTGAGCAAGAAATGATTCAATAAGGGATTTGAAAAATACACGATTTTGAGGGTGATCCTTTGTGCAGCGCTTTGCCATGACCTCTCAAAGGAGTATTTGCAAAGAATACTCACAGAATGGCCCCAAATTGTCTGGTGGGTTTTGAAAGAAAAAAACCTAATGTAGGAAAAGTTTTTTTAAACATTCCCATAAAATCTAAAGGATGCAGCTGCAGCTGAGCAGAATGGCTGAGTATCTCGTGACGGTTTGCAAGTCTGGGGACATAAGATTCCAACTCACAAAAGCAAATAAGGCCAAGACTAATAAATCAAAGGTGCCTTCAGAAAAGTTGCAGGACCTACTTCCCCTGCCTGGTAGGACTGCGGATGCCTTATCTGGCTTCTGCGAAAAGAAAAGGATCATCAGGGAGCCAGAATTAGAAAGGACTTGCGCTTCATCAAGTTTCTCCCTGTCTGAGCCAGATAAAATATCCTCTGGGAAGACTTCAGGAAGTGCCTCAAGGGAATGACAGTTGATATTAGTTGAATGGGTGAAAGAGCACAGACAGAGATGGAAATATTTGGCTTTTTTCAACTGTGAACTTAACCCCAGAGTCTTCGACATTTACACAGACTCAGGGCAAAGTCTTGCTCTTACAATGCATGACCACAGGGTGGTCTCAATTTGTAATTGGGTCCCCACGGTAAAGGCTGCTGAGGGATGGATTTTTATTTTTCTTTTTTTTAAGTTCTTTCTACCTAGAGACTTAGCTGTGGTACCCTGCAATAAGAAGTTCAATTCCTCAATAAGTTTTTAATTTTGTAGAGGCAGGCAAATTTAAAAAGGACAGCTTCTCCTTAGGTACCTCCACTTTCCAGGATGCTTCCAAGTTTGCAGACCATGCCAAGAATAGGCTGGAGTGGTCTTGAATAAGATGTAATGCTTGTTTCTTTCTTAATGCACCTTGTAATTTGCACACGTGCCACAACACTTTATTTATTTTCTTATTAATGGGTTCGAGTGTGTTTAACACCACAAGCCATAAATTACAGAGCAGTGGATTAGACTAGGCTTGCTTTATTTTCCTGCCAATTATCAGAAAGTGATGTGGGGGATGAGGTGCCCCTCCTAACCAGCTTTTTCTCTGCCACCTCCCTTGCCTCCATCCAACAACCAACCCCCTTGTTTCCATCTGCCAAGAAAAAAAAAAGACACAGCCTGGTCTCTCATTGGTGAGCTTGCCTATTGAGCAGCTCAGTTATTGAGATTAATAAGCTGCCAGTTTCCAAGGAAGACTAAGAAAACTGCAAAATTAAAGTGCACTGCAACATGAAATGCTGCTGGTGGCCAGGCGAGATCGTGGTGTCAAAAAGGCAAGGTAAAGCTATAAAATAAGGCTGAGCTTGAAAGGCTAATCTAAAGGTCTCATTAATTTCCATGTTGCCTGTGATGAGAATTTAGAGGGGGCATAATGTTTTGCAATACAGAGAAATCAAGCTGCCTATTGATTTGAAAGTGCTTCGATGCATTTGGTTCACCCAGAATGAATCCTACCTTTAAACCTCACTTGAAAACATTAAAAAACAAACAAAAAAGCAAACAGGTTGCCTAGGTTTAATATTCTAAAGATCAGGCTTGTCAGTGATTCTGTCAGAAAATTAATCCTTAGGTAGAAAAATCAATCTGAGAACAAGTTTGGAATAGTCTTTGCACTCAGCATGGTGAAGATGTTTCAACAATCTTGTTTCTTCTCTGTGAAAGCCTCATTTACTGAAGGTCTTGAATCTCGATTTCCAAATACGCACTACCAATAAGGCATCCAGATTAGTCTAAGATTGCTTCTTCTTGAAGACAAAAAGTGTGTTTTTAAAAATTCTGACACCAAAATTAGATTCCTTAGATACCACTCAGCAAGCCCAACATGCTCAATTCTTTTTCTGAGCACTTGTCATGCTTCCTGCTAACAGGAACAAGGATGATATTCAAGGGATGCCCCAAGGGTCAGCCATGGCACCCATGGCTGTTGCGCTTTCTCCCAGCAATCTGGCAGAGCTCTGTTTAGAATGAAAAAGATCCTACGAGTTGCAGAGCTAAACAAGTAGCTGTGCTTCTTAATTCTCCCTTGTCAATCTGCACTCATATTTTATAATATGCAGGGCATAAAACCTCTCCCCGTAAATCATATGCTATGCTGCCACCACCATGGAGTGGTGAGGCCTCAGATTTACCATCCGGGTTGCCACCAATTCCTCAGAGCTTCAGAGAAGGGTCTCTTGCATCTGGCCTGGCTTATGAGTTTGACAATGACTAAGTCTATGTCCAGTAACAGGCTGGAGTTCATCCCATAGATCATTTCTCGCCTTATGCCACTTGTAATGCATTGACTTCATTTCATGGCCTAAGCAAATTAATTTGTTGTTTGCCATCAGGCTAGACAGAGTTTTTTCCAGCCCCCGCCCTTCCTAGTTCCCCAGGCATTATCATATGGTCATTAAGAATATGGGATTTAAAGTCAGGTCAACCCAGGTTCAAATTTCAGCTCTGTCACTTACTAATGGGTGACATGTAAATAACTTAATTCCCCCAGCCCTGGTTTCCCTGTATTTTAAATATGGATAGTAACATATACCTAACAAAGAGCTTAAGGGATTAAATGGGATCCTGTAGGTAAAGCTTAGTGCCAAGCAAAAAGTATTTGACAAAGAAAAGTTAGTATTCACAGGCCTATATGATTGTGTGAAATAAATTTAACAAATTTCTGGAGAGAATTTTTTTTCTTTTTTTTTAAGATGGAATCTCACGCTATCACCCAGGATGGAGCGCAGGGGTGTGATCATAGCTTACTGCAGCCTCCACATCCTGGGCTCAAGAGATTCTTCCATCTCAACCTCCCAGATTACTGGGATTATAGGTATGAACCACTGCATCTGGCCTGGAGAGACATTTTTTAAAGAGAAAAATCAATTGCTGAGGGCTTTGGATATACTACATATGCTATTATCTGTAAATGGATGATTTTCTGTGTTATACATATTATTTTAGAATCAAAATAAGTCTGGCCAATAACTGCACTCAATTCTCTTGCCTCATAAATGTAACATGTCCAAAACTGAACTTTTGTTTTCTGCCACAAAAACCTGTTCCTTCTTCAGCACATGACATTGCTATTCACCCAGACATCTAAGTCAAAAACTTGAAGAATCCTAACCTTCATCTTCAAATCCCAGCAATCATTAATTTCTACTGATCCTACCTTCAAACTATACCTCACATCTTTGAATATTCAGCACCACTCCCTAATCAAAGGCATGCCACTTTTTATCTTAACTATTATTTTATTTTCCAAACTGGACCTTTAGTCTTGCATACTTTCCACTCTAACTGCCCCCCAATCCATTTATCATAGGGCAGCTATCATTATTAAAAGCAAAAAGCAGAGTGTATCTTATTATTTTGCTCTCCTGCTTAAAAAGCTTCAGTGACTTTTAATTGTTCTCGAGGTAGAGTCCAAAAGCTTTAACATGGTCCAAAGCCTTGATCCATCTTGCCCTTGCCTACCTTTCTAGTTTGCTTTCTCTTGCTTTCTCTTTCTGGCACCTTAGTGTTTCTGCCCCTAGTGGCTCATTGTTTTTGTGATCTAGAGCACTCTTTAAGCCTGATTAACCCCTACTCATCCTTAAGGGCTCAGCTTAAATGTCCATTTCTTATGGGTCTGGCTTCTTCAGCCGTCTGTGGCACTTACTGCATTTGTCATGGTGTAAGGGACATTTGTTTATGTTCTGTCTGCTTCCAGCCTAGAATCTCCATAAGGACAGAGGTTTTGTTTTTCTCCTTTGCCGGATCCTCAGTGCCTGACACATGGTAGGTTCTCATAGCTATTTCTAGAATAATTAATGAATGACCATTTAAAAAGGCAAATTGCAAACCGTTTTGCAGCTTGAGGATCTTGATGATTAAAATTAGGGCTTCTAGTATGTCAGGGCAAAAGTGAACTCAGAGAGAAGTTTTGTCCTGCTTAGGGACTCTTTTTTGTGATCTACTGCTCAGACAGATCCAAAGAGAGACGCTTGCTTCAGCAAAACACACAAAGGAAGAAAAGTTAGGTTCTGTCACTGAGCTACTTTCTACTGTTTTAGACAAGAGAAGTTGACTTTAGAAACTCCCAAAGAAGCAGCCGACCGGGAAGATTTCTCACCTTGTCACTTTCAGCAGAGGAAGGAGTAGATAGGTGATATTGAACAAGAATTGCAAGTAGACTTTGTTTCAAAACCTTCTGTGAATAGGCTGGGAGGAAGGTGGAGGGTAGAGGGATTCTGTAACACACTACTTAAGAAAAGACAGTACAGACTGCTTGCAGTTAGTTCTGCCTTATGTTTGATTTTCGTTGGATTATATTATGGTTTATACATGAATAGACTGCTTTTGGTAGTACAAATTTATATGCATTGTTCTTTTATTTTACATTGATGCAGAACTTCCCTTATATGCTTGTTTGTCTTTTGTTAAATTCCAAACAGTCCTATTTTCTGGTTATGCCTCCTTAATCAGCCCCTCCAATGTACTCATCATAGAAAAAAAAAAGCAGCATAGTTCAGAGAAGATCTAACATGCTTCATTAAGACTGATGGGGACATCAAGAGAGCAATGCAGAGAGGAAAGGACCCACTCCCCACTGGTCTAAGGAGACACACTGGACTAAAGAGACACGCTTTGCATTCTGGGAGTGGCAGAATGCCTGCTCATTACCTCTCAGAGTTTTGAAATTATTCCATCAAACCCAGAAATCTGTATTAATGAGAGTAAGGGTGGTCAAGCTGTTTGTAAATTTACACCACATTTTCAAAAATGGTGACTAAATTATAATCAACCTTCAGAATGTCTTGCTTTTAATGGTTCTCTCTCCTGGAGAGAGACCAATTCTTATTTGGTATGAAAGACAGAAATGGAAATACTAGCATGGCATCATGCTCCTAAAAAGAAGAAATCCCATATCTATACTCTCTCATGGCTAAGAAATTGACACCAATAAACTCACAATATTTTAGCATTTGAATCAGGGAATTCATTCAATTATCTATTGCTAAGACTATATGGAAAAACAGTGGTGAATGAGAACAAATAATAATATGCTATCATATCTGACTTTACTTATGTAATAGATAAATTCCTATTCATCCCTCAAAACCCAGCTGAAGCAGCCCTTCAGCTATAAAAATTTTCTTGATCTTTCTCGGATAGTAAATCGCTTCTTCCACTATAAAATCTCTGTAACTTTTAGACTTCCATTACTGTATATGTTGAACTATCTTTTTGCTTATGTACCTGCCTCCTCCTTTAGGTTGGACGATCTTTAATGGGACAATACATGTTTTAATCAGTATCTTGCCAGTACCTAACATAGCTCTTGGCATACACAAGGGACTCAATAAATATTTGCTAATAAGAGACTGAACTAATAACAATGCGGTTTGGTTGTGTCCCTACCCAAATCTCATCTTGAATTGTAGTTCCCATAATTCCCATGTGTCATGGGAGGGACCCAGTGGGAGGTATCTTAATCATGGGGGCGGTTACCCTCATACTGTTGTCGTGATAGTGAGTGAGTTCTCATGAGATCTGATGGTTTTATAAGGGGTTTTCACCCCTTTTGCTCAGCAGTTGATGCTGCCATGTTGAAGAAGAGTGTGTTTGCTTCCCTTTCTACCATGATTATAAGTTTCTGGAGGCCTCCCCCGTCATGCTGAACTGTCAGTCAATTAAATCTGTTTCCTCTATAAATTACTGGGTCTCGGGTATGTCTTTATTAGCAGTGTGAGAACAAACTAATACAAATAATATTTAAAACAGAATCATACATTTCATCAGTTCTATGGACTATGACTAGAATTTTCATACATGAGACTAGATGCATATTCTATGTGCTCAGTTCCATGAGTGGAGTTTCAAATATTTACCAAGTTTTGCACCTTGTGCTGGATTTCTGCCAACAACTCCATCCCAAGGAGCTCTAATCCTTGGCTCTTGAACATATGGATCAAAGAATACTCAGATGTTGTCTCATTTTTTTTTTTTTCCTTTTGATGGATGTCAAGGTTTTGGCACTCCTATCTTCCCACCAATTTTTTTCTTTAATGTGCTTCTTCCAAAATTAGCATTGAGAAGTCCTAATCCTTGGAGAAAAGCCAAATATTCAAAGGATCTGAAGAAGGACTCTAGACCAGAAAGTAAATTCTGGAAGAGCTTACTTTAGGAAAGCAGGACAGTGATCTGCGTGGTTTCATTGGTCCTCTCTACCAGATATTTGTCAAGAGGACACTTTATTACAAAAAGTTATTCAAAATAAATCTAGAAAACCAACTGATTGCATCAGGAGCTGGGAGCTGGGAGATATGTTTATGTGTTTCGTGTGTTCTTATCACTAAGGGAAGACTCATTGCCAAGAGCAGACACTCTGGTGGATCTGGTCCTGTAAATGTAACAACTAGGGCAATAAACCTAGATTTGTGGTTGTTCACCCATCAGACATTCCACCACCTTATTTTGGGTGTAGGAACTTCCAGTGTTTCATCCAACATGGCTCATAGTTTACTATCTTTCTGAAGCTTTAGACTTCCTGCAGGTTACTTTGTCCCTCTATCCCTAGATTCTGCATCTTTAAATGGCCATAATAAAAGTCCCTTCCTACTTCATAGGATTGTTTTCAGGCTTGAGTGAGATAATGCACGTAAAGCATTAATGTTCAGCATATATAAACTAAACAATAACAACTGATTGATAATGGTCATGGTGGTCCTCTTCTTTTTCTACAATAGCTATTACATCTCCTCTTCCCTTTCTTTCCTTCCTTTCTTCTTCTTCATCTAGTCCATTCTAAGTAGCATTTATATCCAGAAACTATTTTTCAAATAATAGTCTGTTAACGTAAAAATAGGCTGACTAATTAACAAACTCTATGGCAGTTTGTAAGTGTGGAGAGGAAAAAGACAGAAAATACCATCCAGCCTTTAAGACCACCATCAACTTTGACAATATCCTGAGTTAAGCCTGGCCAGCCAGTCAGCTTCCAGCAAAGCTGTTTATTAATGGTTTACCATATCAGGGCAGAAGTTTAAATATCTCTATTATATACAGTTTTTATTGACTTTACATATTTTAACCTTTAAAGATTAAGATTGTAGACATGGTTAAAAATAACCTATAATTCTGCTGGCTGGCAAGATGGCCGAATAGGAACAGCTCCGGTCTGCAGCTCCCAGTGAGATCAACACAGAAGCCAGGTGATTTCTGCATTTCTAACTGAAGTACTAGGCTCATCTCACTAGGACTGGTTAGACAGTGGGTACAGCCCACAGAGGGCAAGCTGAAGCAGGGCGGGGCGTCGCCTCACCCAGGAAGCACAAGGGGTCAGGGAACTCCCTCCTCTAGCCAAGGGAAGCTGTGAGGGACTGTGCTGTGAGGAATGGTGCATTCCGGCCCAGATACTGTGCTTTTCCCACTGTCTTAACAACCCACAGACCAGGAGATTCCCTTGGGTGCCTACACCACCAGGGCCCTGGGTTTCAAGCACAAAACTGGGTGGCCGTTTGGGCAGACACTGAGTTAGCTGCAGGAGTTTTTTTATTAATACCACAGAGGTGACTGGAACGCTAGTAAGACAGAACCGTTCACTCCCCTGGAAAGGGGGCTGAAGCAAGGGAGCCAAGTGGTTTAGCTCAGCAGATCCCAACCCATGGAGCCCAGCAAGCTAAGATCCACTGGCTTGAAATTCTTGCTGCCAGCACAGCAGTCTGAAGTTGACCTGGGATGCTCCAGCTTGGTGGGAGGGAGGGGGGGTCCACTATTACTGAGGCTTGAGTAAGTAGTTTTCCCCTCACAGTGTAAACAAAGCCACTGGGAAGTTCAGACTGGGCAGAGCCCACCACAGCTCAGCAAACCTGCTGTAGCCAGACTGCCTCTCTAGATTCCTCCTTTCTGGGCAGGGTACCTTTGAAAGAAAGGCAGCAGACCCAGTCAGAGGCTTATAGATAAAACTCCCGTCTCCCTGGGACAGAGCACCTGGGGGAAGGGGCGGCTGTGGGCACAGCTTCAGCAGACTTAAACATTCCCACCCTGCCGGCTCTGAAGAGAGCAGCGGATCTCCCAGCACAGTGCTTGAGCTCTGCTAAGGGAAAGACTGCCTCCTCAAGTAGGTCCCTAACCCCCGTGCCTCCTGACTGGGAGACACCTACCAGCATGGGTTGACAGACACCTCATACAGGAGAGCTCCAGCTGGCATCTGGTGGGTAGCCCTCTGGGCGAAGCTTCCAGAGGAAGGAACAGGCAGCAGTCTTTGCTGTCTGCAGCCTCCGCTGGTGATACCCAGGCAAATAGGGTGTGGAGTGGACCTCCAGCAAACTTCAGCAGACCTGCAGCTGAGGGGCCTGACTGGAAACTAACAAACAGAAAGGAATAGCATCACCATCAACAAAAAGGACGTCCACTCAGAAAACCCATCTGAAGGTCACCAACATCAAAGACCAAAGGTAGATAAATCCACACAGATGAGGAAAAAATAGCGCAAAAAGGCTGAAAATTCCAAAAACCAGAACACCTCTTCTCATCCAAAGGATCACAAGTCCTCACCAGCAAGGGAACAAAACTCAATGAAGAATGAGTTTGATGAATTGACAAAAGTAGGTTTCAGAAGGTGGGAAATAACAAACTCCTCCAAGCTAAAGGAGCATGTTCTGACCCAATGCAAGGAAGCTAACAACCTTGAAAAAAGGCTAGAGGAATTGCTAACTAGAATAACCAGTTTAGAGAAGAACATAAGTGACCTGAGGGAGCTGAAAAACACAGCACAAGAACTTCGTGAAGCATACACAAGTATCAATAGCCAAATAGATTAAGTGGAAGAAAGGATTTCAGGGATTGAAGATCAACTTAATGAAATAAAGCATGAACACAAGA
This sequence comes from Homo sapiens, assembly GCF_000001405.40. Lineage (NCBI taxonomy): Eukaryota > Metazoa > Chordata > Mammalia > Primates > Hominidae > Homo > Homo sapiens. Next base: position 167,959,418 of record NC_000005.10, on the reverse strand, counting down.
TCAAGACCATCCTGGCTAACACAGTGAAACCCCGTCTCTACTAACAATACAAAAAAATTAGCTGGGTGTGGTGGTGTGCGCCTGTAGTCCCAGCTGCTGGGGAGGCTGAGTCAGGAGAATGGCGTGAACCTGGGAGGCGGAGCTTGCAGTGAGCCGAGATCGCGCCACTGCACTCCAGCCTGGGCGACAGAGCGAGACTCCATCTCAAAAAAAGAAAAAAAAAAAAAAAAGAATGAAAAGGAATGAACTAAGCCTCCAAGAAATATGGGACTATGTGAAAGGGCCAAACCTGCATTTGATTGGTGTACCTGAAAGTGATGGACAGAATGGAACCAAATTGGAAAACACTCTTCAGGATATTATCCAGGAGAACTTCCCCAACCTAGCAAGACAGGCCAACATTCAAGTTCAGGAAATACAGAAAACACCAAAAAGATACTCCTTGAGAAGAGCAACCCCAAGACACATAATCGTCAGATTCACCAAGGTTGAAATGAAGGAAAAAATGTTAAGGGCAGCCAGAGAGAAAGGTCAAGTTACCCACAAAAGGAAGCTCATCAGACTAACAGTGGATCTCTCTGCAGACACGCTACAAGCCAGAAGAGAGTGGGCGCCAATATTCAACATTCTTAAAGAAAAGAATTTTCAACCCAGAATTTCATATCCAGTCAAACTAAGCTTCATAAGCAAAGGAGAAATAAAATCCTTTACATACAAGCAAATGCTGAGAGATTTTTGTCACCACCAGGCCTGCCTTACAAGAGCTCCTGAAGGAGGCACTAAACATGGAAAGGAAAAACTGGTACCAGCCACAGCAAAAACATACCAAATTGTAAAGACCATCAACACCATGAAGAAACTACATCAACCAACGGGCAAAATAACCAGCTAGCATCATAATGACAGGATCGAATTCATACATAACAATATTAACCCTAAATGTAAAGAGGCTAGATGCCCCAATTAAAAGACACAGACTGGCAAATTGGATAAAGAGTCAAGACCCATCAGTGTGCTGTATTCAGGAGACCTATCTCACATGCAAAGACAGATATAGGCTCAAAATAAAGGGATGGAGGAATGTCTACCAAGCAAATGGAAAGCAAAAAACAAAAAAGCAAAGGTTGCAATCCTAGTCTCTGATAACACAGACTTTAAACCAACAAAGATCAAAAAAGACAAAGAAGGCCATTACATAATGGTAAAGGGATCAAAGCAACAAGAAGAGCTAACTATCCTAAATATATATGCACCCAATACAGGAGCACCCAGATTCATAAAGCAAGTTCTTAGAGATCTACAAAGCAACTTAGACTCCCACGCAATAATAATGGGTGACTTTAACACCTCACTGTCAATATTAGACAGATCAACAATCAGAAAATTAAGAAGGATATTCAGGACTTGAACTCAGCTCTGGACCAAGTGGACCTAATAGACATCTGCAGAACTCTCCACCCCAAATCAACAGAATATACATTCTTCTCAGTACCACATCACACTTATTCTAAAATTGACCACATAATTGGAAGTAAAACACTCCCCAGCAAATGCAAAAGAATGGAAATCATAACAAACAGTCTCTCAGACCACAGTGCAATCAAATTAGAACTCAGGATTAAGAAACTCACTCAAATCTGCACAACTACATGGAAACTGAACAATCTGCTCCTGAATGACTACTGGGTAAATAACAAAATTAAGGCAGAAATAAATAAGTTCTTTGAAACCAATGAGAACAAAGACACAATGTACCAGAATCTCTGGGACACAGCTAAAGCAGTGTTTAGAGGGAAATTTATAGCACTAAATGCCCATAGGAGAAAGCAGGAACAATCTAAAATCGACACCCTAACATCACAATTCAAAGAACTAGAGAAGCAAGAGCAAACAAAATCAAAAGCTAACAGAAGACAAGAAATAACGAAGATCAGAGCAGAACTGAAGGAGATAGAGACATGAAAAACCCTTCAAAAAATTAATGAATCCAGGAGCTGTGTTTTGAGAAGATTAACAAAATAGATAGACTGCCGGCCAGACTAATAAAGAAGAAAAGAGAGAAGAATCAAATAGACACAACAAAAAATCATAAAGGGGATATCACCACTGATCCCACAGAAATACAAACTACCATCAGAGAATACTATAAACATCTCTATGCAAATAAACCAGAAAATCTAGAAGAAATGGATAAATTGCTGGACACATACACCCTCTCAAGACTAAACCAGGAAGAAGTCGAATCCCTGAATAGACCAATAATAATTTCTGAAATTGAGGCAGTAATTAATAGCCTACCAACAAAAAAAAAAGCCCAGAACCAGATGGAATCAGAGTTGAATCCTACCAGAGGTACAAAAAGGAGCTGGTACCATTCCTTCTGAAACTATTCCAAACAATTGAAAAAGAGGGACTCCTCCCTAACTCATTTTATGAGGCCAGCATCATCCTGATAGCAAAACCTGGCAAAGACACAACAAAAAAAGAAAAGTTCAGGCCAATATCCCTGCTGAACATCGATGCGAAAATCCTCAATAAAATACTGGCAAACTGAAGCCAGCAGCACATCAAAAAGCTTCTCCACCATGATCAAGTCGGTTTCATCCCTGGGATGCAAGGCTGGTTCAACATACGCAAATCAATAAATGTAATTAATCACATAAACAGAACCAATGACAAAAACCACATGATTATCTCAATAGATGCAGAAAAGGCCTTCAATAAAATTTAACACCCCTTCATGCTAAAAACTCTCAATAAACTAGGTATTGATGAAACATATCTCAAAATAATAAGAGTTATTTATGACAGACCCACAGCCAATATCACACTGAATGGCCAAAAGCTGGAAGCATTCCCTTTGAAAACCGGCACAAGACAAGGATGCCCTCTCTCACCACTCCTATTCAACATAGTACTCGAAGTTCTGGCGAGGGAAATCAGGCAAGAGAAAGAAATAAAGGGTATTCAAATAGGAAGACAGGAGGTCAAATTGTTTCTGTTTGCAGATGATATGATTGTATATTTAGAAAACTCCATCATCTCTGCCCAAAAATCTCCTTAAGGTGATAAGCAACTTCAAGCAAAGTCTCAGGATACAAAGTCAATATGCAAAAATCACAAGCATTTTTATACACCAATAACAGACAAACAGAGAGCCAAATCATGAGTGAACTCCCATTCACAATTGCTACAAAGAGAATAAAATACCTAGGAATCCAACTTACAAGGGATGTGAAGGACCTCTTCAAGGAGGACTACAAACCACTGCTCAACGAAATGAGAGGACACAAACAAATGGAAAAACATTCCATGCTCATGGATAGGAAGAATCAATATAGTGAAAATAGCCACACTGCCCAAAGTAATTCATAGATTCAATGCTATCCCCATCAAGCTACCATTGACTTTCTTCACAGAATTAGAAAAAACTACTTAAAATTTAATATGGAACCAAAAAAGAGCCCATACGGCCAAGTGATATAGCCTAAGCAAAAAGAACAAAACAGGAGTCATCACGCTACCTGACTTCAAACTATACTACAAGGTTACATTTACCAAAACAGCATGGTACTGGTACCAAAACAGATATATAGACCAATGGAACAGAACAGAGGCCCCAGAAATAACACCATACATCTACAACCATCTGATCTTTGACAAACCCGATGGAAACAAGCAATGGGGAAAGGATTCCCTATTTAATAAATGGTGTTGGAAAAACTGGCTAGCTATATTCAGAAAACTGAAACTGGAACACTTCCTTATGCCTTATACAAAAATTAACTCAAGATGGATTAAAGACTTAAACACAAAACCTAAAACCATAAAAACCCCAGAAGAAAACCTAGGCAATACCATTCAGGACATAGGCATGGGCAAAGACTTCATGACAAAAACACAAAAAGCAATGGCAAAGAAAGCCAAAATTGACAAATGGAATCTAATTAAACTAAAGAGCTTCCCCACAGCAAAATAAACTATAATCAGAGAGAACAGGCAATCTATAGAATGGGAGAAAATTTTTGCCATCTATCCATCTGACAAAGGGCTAATATCTAGAATCCACAAGGAACTTAAACAAATTTACAAGAAAAAAACAAACAACCCCATCAAAAATTGGGTGAAGGATATGAACAGACACTTCTCAAAAGAAGACATTCATGTGGGCAACAACCATATGAAAAAAAGCTCATTATCACTGATCATTAGAGAAATGCAAATCAAAACCACAATGAGATAACATCTCATGCCAGTTACAATGGCGATCATTGAAAGTCAGGAAACAACAGATGCTGGAGAGGATGTGGAGAAATAGGAATGCTTTTACACTGTTGGTGGGAGTGTAAATTGATTCAACCATTGTGAAAGACAGTGTGGTGATTCCTCAAGGATCTAGAACCAGAAATACCATTTGACCCAGCAATCCCATTACTGGGTATGAACCCAAAGGATTATAAATCATTCTACTATAAAGACACATGCACACATATGTTTATTGCAGCACTATTCACAATAGCAGAGACTTGGAACCAACCCAAATGCCCATCCATGATAGACTGGATAAAGAAAATGTGGCACATATACACCATGGAATACTATGCAGCCATAACAAAAGGATGAGTTCATGTCCTTTGCAGGGACATGAATGAAGCGGGAAACCATCATCCTCAGCAAACTAACACAGGAACAGAAAACCAAACACCACATGTTCTCACTCATAAGTGGGAGCTGAACAATAAGAACACATGGACACAGGGAGGGGAACATCACACACTGGGGCCTGTGAGGGGGCAGGGGCCTAGGGGAGGGATAGCATTAGGAGAAATACCTAATATAGATGACCAGTTGATGGGTGCAGGAAACCACCATGGCATGTTTATACCTATGTAACGAACCTGCACGTTCTGCACATGTATCCCAGAACTTAAACTATAATAAATTTTAAAAAAGCATAATACCCGATACGTAGCTTTTCATTCCTCAATTGGAATGTTTTTAATGTTTGAACCAAACATGCATGCCAAAACTGCACCTAATAAAATTATAATTATATTCTTAATATCATTAAATACCCAATCCGTGTTTAAATTACCCCAATTGTCTTGACAGATTTTTCGTGTTAGTTTGGATTAAGAGTCAAACAGATGTGGTTGTTATAACGTTTACTTTGTTATGTAACCATTCTTTGTGTGAGAGCCTGTGTGTGTGTTTGTTTGTGTGTGTGTGTGTGTGAGTGAGTGTGTGTGTGCACACACGTTAGGTATTTTTTGCAGAGGAAAATAATAATAATGCAGCACCCTTTGTATTTGGCTTAGTGCTTCATTTTGTGTCATTTTATTTATTTCTGTACCAATTCTTTTAAACTAATGTTGAGATCAAGGATATTTATTAGCTTAGGTTCATTCTTTTAGTTTCTCTTAATAAAGCAAAAATTCTTTAAAAATCCTATAATTGTCAGAAAATAAAATTAAAAGTTTGGAGTGATTATAGTGACAAAGATGTATAACATATTAATTTTCAGGATCTTATAAAAAAACAAAAAAATTATAGGTAAGAAACAACTCCAAATGCTACTTTCAAAATTGCTTCCAGCTGTGTGAAGAGAATTCACTGGCCATTATCAGAAACATTACAGATTATTTCTGTCTTTCCTCAAACCTAAGTTATTAAAGTTTAAAATCTATTTGGGAACTTTATGAAGGGTCAGTATGAATTAGCCCTCCTCTCTGTTCCGTCTCCATGGTTCTTCTAGACAAGGAAACAATAGCATTTGAAACACACAAACCAAGAATGTGCCTGGGGATAGAGCAGCAAGGCTGTTTCAGAGTCTGGCCAACCCACACAGAGCCTTCACTGTCAGTGACATTCCAGCCCCTCCATACCCTGACTGACAGGTCTTCTTTCAGATCATTAAGGTGTATATGGTTTTGGAGAACAGAATCGAAGGTGAAAAAAGGACAGAAGCAAAGGCTACACAAAACAAAGCCAGACCTGGAGATCATTTTCAAACTCTTCCCTCCTCACGTAAGTGCTGCCCCTTTTTTCTTGTTTGTTTTTATACATTACCGTTTGCCCCACAGGCATCAAGCTGTTAGTGTGTACAGGAGGGATTAAAGTGAGACTGCATGTTGGATGAAATATAAATTTAAATTATACTTCTGTCAGTTTGGAATCAGGGATTGTTTCTCAAGGTCTCCCCAAACACTTAATTTCAAATGAGTCTTCATTTATTACTTCAAGAAAGGCCAAATGCATAATTTATCAGCAGCTTTCAGTCAATATACCCTTATAAGCATGTTTCCCATGAGCCTTCGAGTAAAAATATGTTATGCTAATTCTATTAGTTGGGTACACAAGAGCTATCCGAGAAAGTAAACAAGCTTTAAAAGGAGACACATGTGAACGAAGAAATACCTGTCAACCTACTGTCCAGGGTCAAATTACCAAGGGAACAAGGAGGTGGTAAACTTGTCTCATTATTTATACCCAGAGGGTCTCTCCGACTGGAACTCTGAGACACCCAGTGGCTCTGTGTGGTGACTCAGGGGTAAGGTGACACTGAGTGTGACTGTGAGCTGGCGATGGGGACTTACCGGGTCTCCAGTGGCACGTTGCTGTTTAGCACCCAGCTGTCCTGAAGCTGAACGGACTCTGGTGTGGTGGCCAGGTCATTGGGCGCTGGGGCCGGGGCGTGGATCTGACTCCGCCGATTGGTCAGTGAGTTCCTGTTGAGGGAGTTGGCGGACGAGTGGTGATGGGACAGCGTGTGGTTGTGAGGGGGTGGGAGAGGGGGCCTCAGAGTCGACTGGCTGTGGTGGTTCGGAGGGCCTGAAAAAAAAAGGAGAAATGACTGTTAGCGTCTGCAAATTCCAGTCTCAGGCACTCTGCAAACCACTGGAGGAGAGTTTCAAACCAAAGTCTCTAAGCTGACAATTGCTGAAAGCTGCAAGCTAGAGCGACAGATAAGACTGCGGCAGGCATCCCAGAGTCAGTTACAAATAAATAATGGGCTTTGATTTGCATTTATCCACACGCATCAAATGAAGAATAATGAGAAACTAATTTAGCAAAACCAGGTGGATAAGGGCTGACCAGAGGAATTATTTGAAACATATTAATACTGCAATGAAAGTAACATGACATTCAAGGCTGATCGCTGGCGTAGCAAGTCCCTATTCCCTTTCCAGGTAAACTGGTATACTGCACACATTCTTTTCAAAAATTTCATCTTTTGAAGATATTAAGAATATGGAACACTCTAAGTCAGGGAATAGTACCTTTAAATACCTATAGGGACTAGGCAGGAAGGTGGAGTGGGCTAGCTAAGGACTGAGTTGAGGTGAAGAGACTAGGGGGCAGCCCTCACTCAGCACCAGGTCAATTTGATCACGTGGGAATGAGGGAGAGAGCTCAAGGCAGCCGTAATTTCTAATTTCTCTAGAAAAGCTGGAAATCTGGACTTGTAGATAAAATTTCCTAGTTTTTAAAAATGTTGACAATTCAAAATGAGATTTATATATATGTATGTGTGTATACACACATATTTGCGTATGTATGTGTGTATACACACATATTTGCGTATGTATGTGTGTATATATGTGTATATGTGTAATATACACATATATATCTATTTTAAAATGAGAGTGAACAAAACACACCTGTGAGCCCACTCAGCTCAGCAGGTTGCTAACTTCTTTCCTCTGAGAGATGAACCCTGAGGACTCGGTCTCTGGAGAAGGTCATGGCAGATGTTTTCAAGCCATGACCCCGACTCCAAATTGCATCCTGCGTTTTTTTAAATAACAAAATCCTCTATCCTTGCAGGAAAAACAAAGGAGAGCTCTCCCTTGGAAAATATCCCCTTGTAGATATCGCTGTCTCTGACAACTCCACACAAGGTTTTCCTAGCAACCGATTCTCAATCTACAAAATGAAATATTTTAAGCATAATGAAAATGAAAGTAGTTTGCTATGCGATGAAGCCTATAATTTCGTTTTAATGGATGCTGAAACATGACTTTTAATTTGTGTCCTTTGAGAAAGTTTTATTTTTTGAAGCTTCCAGTCAGGGCTGGCAGCTCACCAGGTGACTGCTGAGCCTTGTCATTTTTGGCCCCTGCCAACTTTAAAAATCCTCAGCCCCTGCTGTCCTGGCTTTAAGAAGTTGGCTCAAGTCATTTAAACAAGCAATTTGACACAAATTTCAACTACTTGTCTCCTTATGTGGCCGGGCTACATCTCCAAAAGGTGTAATCTACATTCTGGGGTTCCTGTGCAGGCTGCAGAAACATTCTGAAGAAAAGACAACATGTCAAGAAGATACTAGGTTTGGAGAGCATCCTGACCAACAAAAACAAGAAGGAAAAATGTGGAGGAAACAGGTTCCTTGAAGTTCGCATCTCTAGGCTGAAATTATTTGGGTGATTTTTGTTTTCTTTGTGATGTTTAGAAAAGGACAGTGACAACAAAAACCCAGTGGGAAATACCACTGTACAGTTGTATAGATTTTAAATCATGTCCTCCAAATGAACCTGTAATTCCTATTTTACATTATGCATCAGTGACATTTTAAATATATCTTTGGGAGAGTTTCATAGCTGTAGCAGGCTATTATATTTTCTGGCATTGTTGTCTGTCTAGTAATGTATTATTACATAGTTATTTAGCATTTGTCTGTCTCATATTAGTGGAAAGAGGTGGGAAAGGGGGGTGAAATGATGTAATAATGATCCTTCAGGGATGCTATCCAAGCCCCTCACACATGGTTAATGAATTCTCATGCCTTTCTTTCCCCCTCTCTCAACTCCCATCCAAGTGGTGTCATTATTCCCCATTAGTTAGGTAATTACGAGACTTGCCTCAGGAAGATGGGGCGGGTCAGTGCACAAGTGAGAACCTGCCCTCCCCAGCCCTAAGTCCTAACTTTCCATCTCCCTCTGTCCTGGCCCCCCACCCTCCCCTCTCCAGACCACACACTCTTCTAAAGTACAAAGAGGCCATATAAAGGATTTAATTCCCTAAATGAGATACCAGACCCTCCTCCTTCCTGTGTATTCACTCTGAGCTAAGTTCTCCTTATCTACTCCAGCTTGTGTGGCCCTTGTGAGGTCCATCTGTGTTATGCGTGGGCAGAATTCCTGCGGTTGCTTGTGTGCTGACAATATCCAGGGCTGGTCCCCAGGGGGAAGAGAAGCACCGACCTGGGTGCCATGTGTTATGTTCCAAATAAAATGAATTGGGAGTTTTCCAGTTAACTAGAAGAGAGGTCAAGTTCTCTTTTCATTTATCCTAATGAGAAAGCCTAGAGCTTCCTGGGGGAAATGGAGAAGGAAGAGTAAGGGAAGATGGAAGAATACTTAATTCTCCGCTCACCCAGCCCTCCTATAAAGCAAGATGATATTTCATTGCAGATAGATCAAATTATTGACAGCAACAAAAACAAAAATTATCCAGCGTTCTCGGTATTGGAAGACATTCTCCTCCTAACTGTTGCTCATTTTCACCACGGCATTGATTATATTTGCTCATTTGTCTATCTATCCTGCAGTCATATTTCCCAACGAGGTGCAGGAGACAGAAGGAAAAGACAATTACAATACAGAGTGGTAAATGTGACCCCTGGGATATATACAGAGGAATGTGGGAACATCTAGGAGGGGCATTTAGCTAGAGGTTAGGAGATAAAATCTACAGAACTGGGTTCAAGAATTGAGTCTGCCACTTTCTAGTTGTGTGAACCTGGGCGTGCTACCTCATTTCTTTCATTCTCAGCTTACTCATCTGCCAACTGGTGAAAACAGCAGTAACTACCCGCTAAGGTTGCTGTGAAAGTTAGAGAGGAAGGATGAATGTAAAGTGCTAAGCATGCTGCCTGATGGTTGGCAAGTCCCCGAAAACCAAGTGTAGAGAACAGTGATGGGTTCTTTCAGGGATGAAAGGATGGATAAGACATAACTGCAGCTCTCAGGGACCCCAGATTTGAGTAGGAAAATTAAATCCAAATTTCATCTATCTAGGGCAGATGTCACAGACTGACAGCCCTCAAGCTGAATATTATCAAAAATTCAAAGTTGAGATTTTGCATAGTGTTCCAGATTTCTGACTTCTCTTGAAAGCAAAACCAAACCCAAAATATGGAGTCTGTATCCCCTCAAAACAACTGGATAGAGCTGAATGCTGTGAGGGGTGGGGTGGCTTATCTGATTTGCCATCAACCCTAGCGATCCCTGTTCTCGTAATTTAGCTGGCTGTATGTATTTATGTTACTGACGCCTAATAGTATGTTTTTGACTCCTAGTTTCACTCGGGTGCCTTGGTATTCAGTATCAGTAACGTACCTCTAGTATGAAGCACCTCTGCTACAACAAATGATCACAAGCACCTTTTTGCATTTATCACTTTTCACTACAGTCATCCAACACACTTGCTGGGTGGGAAGGTTTTCTGTTTCAAAAATGCAAACAATGCTGACAACATGCCCTCTTGCTTTCCAAAAAGCCAAAATACATGAAAAGCCCTTCTGTAAAGCAACTGATGTCTTCAACTTACTATGAAACGGAGATGAATAACTCAGCTTGATGAAGGAACCCTCATGTCCACTGTAAGTTCCATACATTTATTGGGTTTAATTAATGTGCATATTACTAAGAGCTCTTCTATTACATAAATATGAAATTACATAATAATGCAATTTAAACATAAGAAACTATATAAGGTAAATTCTTACACAGTATCAACCTAATCAGTATGCTATTAGTAGACAAAAGGCAACTGTCATTAAAATATTGGTGCTGACCTGACACTGCACCTGATTTACCTTCAGTCCAGAACCTGGAATTTATTTTTAGGTACTGCGTGGCTTTTAGTCCTAGGAAGAAGGAACTGTCTTATTGGCTCTTTACTAAAAACCAGGGGAGGTATAAGTAAGGTGCCTGGAAATGATAAGTGAATTTATAGACAAGATGTTTCCTGTATGTTTAAAAATCAAGGGCTTGAATGAGCACTGCTGTCTGTCCTGCTAAAGAATGGTCTGTGCTTCTGCGCTTTTAGATTTTCTGTGGGACAGTTGTTGCCAGTTGATTTTGAGAGGGATGCCAGTCACATAGTCTGTCCTTCCTAAATGCCTACCGGTTGGCAGTGAAACTTGAGAAAAATGAAGCAGTGCTTCTTTGTTGAGTAACGATACCAATTCCCATAAAGTCAGATGTGGGAAGTGAAAAACCTTGGCATATCAACTTTTGTGTTGACTCCATTAGAGTTGCTCACACGGCATGGGGAAACAATCAATGCCCACGTTTTAAACAACATATAAAGGAAGACTTTCAGGGGCTCTAAGGAAGAAATTGTTAATAATCGACTATTGTTGTTGCATTCTGCCTAAATAAACAGCTGGAGGACGTGTTTAGGTTGGGTCTACTTTTGCCAAGCATCGACAAATAGATGGGGTGGGAAAGCAGAGACAAATTAAACCAGGCTTGTCTTGCGCCATAGTCTTCACCAATTTTTCCTGGTGATTAGAAATGATGATAAAATATATGAAAGAAAAAAATAAAAGTCAGGGCCTGCCTAGCTGCTAATAAATCACTCATTCCTGGGAATGGCATGCCAATGGTTGGTCTTTAAAATTTTCAACTCCCTCAGACCCTCAGATGACAAATTAACCACAAACTCTTTGCCTTCTTCTCTTGAACCACCTTTTAGGGCAAGTTACATCTCAATAGCAATTTAAAGTTTCTAAAAGAGGAGATGGTGTTGGCAGAGACTTGAGAATCTCTGGTTGATGATAACTGGCACCAGGACACCCTGTTCAAATTTGACCTTGAATTGGCCAGAGGGAATTGGGGGTGAGGATTTTCAAGAATAACAGTGTCTGGTTAGATCCAAGGAGGACAGAGTCTGTTGCAGATGTTCAGGCTAGTGGTTGGCTTGAATCCCTGCTTGGCCACTGACCAGATGTGTGGACACTGGAAAGTGACATATTTTTCTTTCTGAGTCGTTCACTTGTAAAATGGATATAGTAATCTTACTTCTCATACATGATTGTTAGGAGAGTCAAATGGAAATATATTTTTAAGGAGCCTAGCACAATTCATGGTACATAGCAAGCTATTAACACATATTATTATGATTATTACTATTTGATATAATTAATCATTCTGATAATAGCAATGGCAGCTATAGCAACTATGACTCTGAGGAAAATGATTAGTACCTCCTAGGGCACTGTGGGCCCAACTTTTCCAAGTCCTTTGAAATGGCAGTTCTTGGAGGGGGATATTCAATGAACATGCGGCTGCATTTGGCTGCAAAATCATCAATCTCTGACCCCTCCACCTTCAAATTTGGCCAGCAGGAGGGCAGAGTGACTAAGTGACGTGGCCAGGAGCTATTAACAGATAGTCTCAAGAGTGTCTCTGTAAGAGCCCACAAAAATAAAACGGGATTCAGAACTGCTCCATTTCCATAAGCAAAACAATTGATGCTGATGATAACAAAACAATAATATTGTCCATGGCTGCCATGAGTTAAGTTCTCCCTGTGTGTCGGGTACTGTGCCAAGTGTTGTACATAAATCATTTCAATATATTCCCACTTACTCCTAGGAGACAGGTCACTTATCATGCCCATTTCACAGATCCAGTAAGTGAGGTTCAGAGAGGTTAAGTAATGCACCAGATGTCATATAGCTTAGTAAGTGGTAGAGCTGGCACACGATCCCAGGTCTCTTCCCCTCCCAGCTGTATGCAAAGGAACCCAAAACCAGAACACAGGCACACAGGGAGGAAACAGGTCCCCTGCCCTGGCTGATATATGCCTAGCAAATACAGAGGAAAACAGCCTGGACTCATTTCTTTGCACATTTGCTTAAATGGCAGAATCCAATCTTGTGAGAAACTGGAGGGAATCGCCCACCTCAAAGCTCTGCACCACCTCACGGATGCTGCTTGAATCAGGAGAAATAGGCCAGAACAGCCAAACTGCAGTGCAATCTCTTTCTATGCCTTCCCAAAGGCCCTCCCCAAACTTCCTTCACTGTGCTGCATCCCTGGCTCCCTAACCAGCGGCGTGAGGGGCAGCATGAGGAATGAGCAGCAATTAGGCCTGTCAGGGGCAGAACCAAGGGCACACTCCATCCCAGCTTGTCCTGTCCTGCTCTGACCTGAGGTACTTTGCCAAGAGCCCAGGGATGGAAGGAATAGGTCCAAATCCAGCCTCCTCCCATATTTGAAGAGATTTCCTTATTTGTCTCTAAGTACTGGGCATGTGGGACAATGACCTTGCTTCCTCCTTCTGTCTTAACACCTACAGAATGACTTATCTCCTAAAGAATGGACTTGCATTTTTTGTTATTGACACACATATGGTATGGCTGGCTTCACAGGGCAGGTGGCCTGTCTGCAGTCTTTCTTGGATCTGGTCACTGCTGTCGCAAGCTGCAGCTGCAGCTTTTCCACATTTCAGAGTGGAGGAGAAACAAGAAGGGGGATGAAGGAGTGAGTCAAGTTGTAGCCTCCTCCTCATCTCCCCAGCCGCTGGCTCCAGCTCTAGCCAGTGCCTCTGGCCTGGGTTGCACAGGCCTGTATCAGGGGGCTGTCCTTGAAGGAAGCACCCCGCTCAGCCTGAACAGAGGGCAGAGAAAGAAAGGGCTGTGCTTGCCTGTAAGGAATGATTTATAGCTCTCTTTCTTACACAAAATATATGACCTCAGAGAAAAACATTCCGAATGCATTCGCAATGACGCACAGATCAACACTGCATAGCGGAACACGGGAATTACAGTCACAAGGAGCAATCATTTGCAGGCTCAGAATTCAAAGTTTTCCTCCGCTCTGCCTACGTTCGTAAAGGACTAGGGTCGGCAGGGACATCTTAGATCACCTAAGTCCAATAGCTCCCATTTAGTAAGCACCAACTGTGTGATAAGCACTCTACATATTTCATCTTATTTAAAACTTACAATAACCTTTAAAGCACTTTAAAGAAGATATTGCTCTCCCCTTTAAAGATGAGGAGACTGAGGTGTGGGGAGGTTAAGTAACATAATTCTCTCTCCTTAAATTTTGTATTTAACTGTAACGTATCTGTGCCCCCCCCGGGTGCTTGATTTGCCCACTGCTTATATTTCTTTTGTAACGCTCAGCACATGGTTTTATATTATTTTTGGACTCTCCTGTGCTCTCCACTAGATCATGAGTGCCTCCATTAAAAACAGTCTGTCTCACTTGTCTGTATATCCCAGCATAAGGCTACAGTGCCTGGTATAAAACTAGTGGTGATGAATGAATGAATGAATGAACAAATCATGTCCCTGGGAGTTATATTTAGAGTCTCAGAGGACAGGGATCAGAGTAGATTTCTGCCTCTATCCCTAGAGCATTCTAGTTGATTGCTGGAATCAATGATGCCCTCCCACTTAATTCCCTCATTTCTGTTACCTCTAGGGCTCCTTTAACAGGGAGATGGCTAGACACAGAGGGAAGGTGACTTCAAACTCCTCCGTCTTTGTTTGTTTTTTGGTTGTTTTTCCTGGCACTTGCTGCCTGATCACCTCTTCTGCTTTTTTAAAATAACAGTTTTACTGAGATATCATACAATTCAGCTTTTAAAAGTATACATTTCAGTGTTACTTTAGTATATTCACCAAGATATGCAACTATCACCACTATCTAATTTTAGAACATTTTCATCACCCTCAAAGGATACAACATACCCATCAGCAGTCACGGCCCAGTCCCTTCCTCCCTCCCATAGCCTCTGGCAAATGTTAATCTACTCTCTGTTCCTATGGATGTGCCAATCCTGGACATTTCATGGAAATGGCAATTCCCTCTGTTTATTATAACCACGACATCTGTCTGTTGCAGAGCTCCATCAGAGCCAGTCAAAGTTCAATCTCAAACGGGGCACACTGCCTAGCACTTAAAAAGATCTTCCCCTGGCAACCTGAAGCAGGTCCCCTGCAGGCCTTTTTTTTTTTTTTGGCTGAGACCCTGCAGCTGCTGATATTCTTCAGATGGAGATTGTTAGGTGATGGCATTTGAGAACGAGTTGCACATGTGAATGTCTGAGGGCGAGCTGGGAATTTGTTCTAGCGGTTCAGGCATGGCTGTAATCACCTAGCCAGGCACAGGCAGGGACATTTGTGGGAGGGGAAACAAGAAAGGATAAGGGGACTCGAACTGGGTGCCAAGTCAGTAGCTGCCCTTGGGTTAAGAGCTTAATAGCTATTGTGAATTTGGGACCATCCCGCCCCAATAGGGCACGTTCTCACACATGAAGGGTCAGAAAGGGATTTTAATCGTAGGTGCCACATCATTTGACCATTGCCCCTATACTCATTCTTTGCCTTCCTAAATCATCAGGAAAGTATTACTTGAGATCAGCGTCATCTCCATTAGCTACTTTCCAAGTGACAAAGACAAAATAAAAAAGACCACTTGAAATATCTGAGAAGGACCCTTCTAAAGAGAAGATTTTATTACACAGTTACGTCTGAGCAGTGCCTATCTGAGCATTTCAGTAAATCTACATTACCCTAGGTATTTTGGCCTCCTCTGGGAGAGGAAAGCCTATCAGTAGAAAGTAATGATTTTGGGTTTTTCAATTGCCCTAAGGATCTTGACAATACTATTAAGACCCATGCACTCCCTGTCGAGAAGTTTAGGAGTGAAATTATTAATATGCCCAGACGTTATGTTGATTGTTGTGCTGTAGCAGAAAATACTCTTTCTGTTATGTGAGCAGCATTATCACTTTCCCAGGCAGAGAATTGCATCAAAAATTTAAACTCCTCTCATTCCAGCTCATCACATAGCTTTTCAAGGTCTTATTGTAAAATAGGCTGGGCAAAATTTGGATATTTCCCTACCCATGAAAGATAATATGTTTTTCAAAGACCAGGCTATTTTTTTAAAAAAGCCAAACCTCACAGTGGAATTCTTTTCCACTGAGATGCCATTCTTTAGGTCTTTAACTAGAATTTCCTGGGGGTGTATTTCATTCTTTTTTTCTCTCTCTCTTTGAGATGTTTACAGTGCTTTCCCCCAAACATAGAAAGATCAAAACAAAGATAAAATATAATTTTGATTTGAGATTGTGCCTCTGATGAACAGAATAATGGAAACAAACTCTGATCTACACCATTCATTAATACCAAGAGTGGCCGAAGCATACCAGTTAAATGGCAAGGATGGGATAAAGGTTCCTGGAGCATTTTCACTTCAAAGCTCAGCAGAATTATTTACTATCTGGGTGAACTTTTCCCAAAATCTCTCCTGGTACATGCCTTATAGGGCAAGGGAACAAAAGTTTCTCCATACTATATAAACAGAAGCCAGCTGAATGTCAGACCTTGAACTGCATCTGGTGTCACGTCAAGTAACAGCTGATGTCATGGGATGTAAAGACATATCGCTGGAGATATTTTCAGAACCCCCTTTTTGCCTTTAGAATGCACACACATACACACACGTACGCACCCACACAAGTAATTACCCAAGATAATCAAATATCTGGAGAAACATCCACTGCCTAAGACTACATGGCTCAACTACTGTCAGAGAGAGCACTCTCTGGATTTTGCTGGTAATTGTTTACTGGTTTCTTTCAAAGTTGTCTTGGAGTTGTCTTTACCTCCCAATTAAAATAAATCAGACCTCTCACAGTGCTCAAGACCTTTCTTATGATGTTGCATGAATGATGAGTAGAAGTACCCCGCTGCTGAGCAGGCTTAGAGGAGAAACCTCTCACCCTCACCTTGAAGATCCCCAGGATGCCACTAACTTTTAGAAAAAAACTGGGACCACCAGGAGGCCAGTGTGTTATCAGCCCTCAGTTTTGCAGTGGGAGGAAGAGGCATTGCCATAAGAATCACTGGGTCCCGGTGTGCTCCACTAGAAGAAAGGTTTCTTTCTAGCAAGGGTTCAGGAGGCCATTTCTAGGGCCTTTTCAGTCTTGAAAACATTGATCTCTCCAGTTTTGCCTGGAGGACTTCTGAAGTTAGACCACCAAAGTTCTGAGGTGCTTAACCTCTGTATCCTCATCTGTAAAAGGTGGTTAATAACAATTCCTAATTGGTAAAGAGAGTTAAATGAGATACTACGTTTAAAGTGCTCAGAAAATGCATCACACATAGAAGGCCCTCAGGAAATGTCAGCATTTATTTTCACCTGAATAGGCTAATTATTATTTATTTATTTACTTTTTTTGAGATGGGAGTCTCACTCTGTCACCCAGGCTGGAGTGCAGTGGCGCCATCTTGGCTTACTGCAACCTCTGCCTCCCAGGTTCATGCGATTCTCCTGCCTCAGCCTCCCGAGTAGCTGGGATTACAGGCACGTGTCACCACATCCGGCTAATTTTTGTATTTTTAGTAGAGATGGGGTTTCCCCGTGTTGGCCAGGCTGGTCTCAAACTCCTGACCTCAGGTGATCCTTTTGCCTTGACCTCCCAAAGTGCTGGGATTACAGGTGTGAGCCACTGTGCCTGGCCTGTTTTTTGAGATGTTGGAGAGAGGGGTGACACAGACCCTGTGATTTAGATTTTTGTGTGTGTTGTTTTTAAGAGGCAGAGTCTTGCTCTGTCACTCAGGCTGGAGTGCAGTGGTACAATCATGGCTCACTGTAACCTCGAATTCCTGGGCTCAAGCAATCTTCCTGACTAAGTCTTCCAAGTAGGTGGGACTACAGGCACATACCACCATGCCTGGCTAATTTTTTTTTTTTTTTTTTTTGGTAGAGATGGGATTTTGCTATGTTGCCCGGGCTGGTCTTGAACTCCTGACCCCAAGCAATCCTCCCACCTTGGCCTCCCAGAGTGCTGGGATTACAGGTTTAGAGCCACTACACCCAGCCAGGATTATTATTTCAATGACTTGAAAAACTTTCTGTTGCCAGATACTTCTAAGGTAAATAGCACCATTAAGAATAAGGGACCATTTTCCTACTGAGTTATAGTAACTCCAGGCCTTACAGAATATCAAAATAATCAGTGCACTTATTTTTCACACTTGCAGTTTAAATACACTGAAATAAAACTGTCCAATGGTGGACAATGTGAAGTGCCTTATAGCAGCTTTTGTCCTTTGATAAATTCTCTTCTTCTTTTATTAATTAGCACAAGAAGACCTGTGTTTCCTTGAGTTCTGGTAGTCCTGGTAAACATCAGCCCCCATTTTGCATGAAAAACCTTAAAATAAAATCAAGGTTTTCAAGTTTCTTTGGCTCATTTATGAGCCATGCAAGTTGCTCTATCATTGCAATCCACTGTTGAACAATTCACTGACGTCCTGAGTTGTTCATCACATTTAGATGGTTTAAGTCATGAATTAGCAATTTGTTTCTCAGGGCTTCTTGGGTTACTGAAACATTCTAGTATTTATCATCTCAAATGGGATCATTCTTAATCCCATAATGTAGAGAGGGAGTCATCTCTCACGTGAAATAATCAGATTTGGCGGAGAAAATAATTTCCATTTCTAACACTGCCTATCTGACACTTTAATAGTGTAGTCTGGAAAGGCTTCTCGATAAGATGATATTTGATCAGAGACCTGAAGGAAATAGAGAGAGAGAGCCATTCCAGTGTCTGAGGGAACAATGTTTCAGGCAGAGGAAAAAGCAAGAACAAAGGCATTTTAAATCTGGGACTTGTGTGGTGTGTAGGAATTGCCCAGAATATCAGCCTAGGTTCGTCTCTTTCCTGCAGATTCAAGCCTAGTTCTTGAAGAAAATATTGCAAGAAATAAGAAAGGCCCTGATCTGGATCCTTACTGGCCTCTGCCTGATTTGGAACCGGCCAAGCAGGCTCCTATTTGAGACTCTTTGCATTTGCTGTACCCTTGGCCTGGAGATACAGATAATTGAGTAGTTCATTCTTTCCATGTCTGCAGGTCTCAGCTCAAATGTCATCTTTTAAGACCTGCCTTCCGAGACAGCATCAGTCATCTTATCATCCTTCCATTGCTTTCTTTTTCTCTAAAGCACATACTGGCACCCATTTTTTAAAAAACTCATTTGTCTTTCTGCACCAGGAAGTAAGTATCTTGAAGGCAAAGATGCTATTTTATTCTCTGTTGAATCCCTGGCTCTTGGAGTACTTGGTAGACACAATAGACGGTTGTTGAACAAATGACCGAATTAGTTAATTAATTACACATTGACAAATATGGCAAGAACAAAGAAATTGGAGAAATGCTCCAAATTCCATCAGAAATGAAAGTATGTTGAAGTATACTGCGGTATCATTTGAGACAAATCTCAAAAGCTTGAACTTGATCAAAGTTCAAGAAGAAAAATTATCATGGGCTTCCTTGCCAAAACACAGCTCTATCTCATGCAAACTGTAGTAATTTTTTCTCTTCCTACAGCAATCCAAACACGACAACAAATGCCTTACAAGCAGAAATCCCCATGGAACTAATGGGAGCAGAGGCCTCCCACACACCCCAAGCGGGAATAGACACATTTCACTTCCAAACTCTGACTAACAGGATCTCCTGTGGCTCTTTCTGCCACCTGAAAATGTTCACTTTTCATCACAAATCCATTGTATCAAAGAATCTTTGCTAAAGGCTTCTGACTCAACCAGGCTGGGTGAATCCTGATTCATCTGCGTAGTTGCCGATACAGAAAGGAACTCGATGTGGCACAGAAAGAGGATGATTTGCTAAGAGTTTGCAAATCAAAAGTAAGATGTATGGAATTCCGCTTCTTTCAGGAAGACTTTTTGGATTGGATCAGATGAAATCCAATGGCTTCCTCAACCCTATGCTGACAAGTATGTTGTTTTATGGTTGCTCCCTTCTAGGGCTGACATTGGAGCTAACATCAACACGTTATATATTGAAACACTTTATTTGATAATTTTTAGCCCACTAAATTGTTATAAGCTTCTCTGATTTATACATGGGGAAATAGAGCTTGGATAGAGTTTCCATTTAACAGATTTTTTTGTTGTAAAGCAGGGGTCCCCAACCCCTGGGACACAGGCCAGTACAGGAACTGGGCAGCATAGTAGGAGGTGAGCAGAGGGTGAACACGCATTACTGCCTGAGCTCCGCCTCCTGTCACATCAGTGGCAGCATTAGATTTTCAGAGGAGTGTGAACCCTATTGTGAACTGCACACGTGAACGTTCTAGGTTGCACGCTCCTTATGAGCATCTAACTCATGCCTGATGATCTGAAGTGGAACAGTTTCATCCCGAAACCATCCCCCTCTTCCGTAGAAAATTTGTCTTCCGTGAAACTGGTCCTCGGTGCCAAAAAGGTTGAGGAATGCTGTTGTATAGAGCCTAGAAAAGCCATGCGCAGGGAGTCACTTGAGAAAGTCTTTTATATTCTCTGAGAGAAATCCAAAGTGACAGTTTTCTCCACAAGATTCCTTTTGCCTTCTGTCCAATTAAATTTCTTACACAAGAACAGTGACACATTAGCTAAGCTCACTTATGACAAACAATTTTTTTTTTTTTTTTTTGAGACGGAGTCTTGCTCTGTCATCCAGGCTGGAGTGCAGTGGCACAATCTTGGCTCACTGCAACCTGTGCCTCCCAGGTTCAAGTGATTCTCCTGTCTCAGCCTCCCAAGTAGCTGGGACTGCAGGCGCATGCCACCACACCCGGCTAATTTTTGTATTTTTAGTAGAGACGGGGTTTCACCATGTTAGCCAAGATGGTCTCGATTTCCTGACCTCGTGATCTGACTGCCTTGGCCTCAATTCTTAATCATTGATTTGTTCATTTGTTCCTTTATTCACGTCTTCATTTGTTCACATGTTCCTTCATTCAGCAATTAATGATTGGGCACCTACCCTGGGTCAGAGGGCTTTTGGAGGTACAGAGTTCCTGGCCTTGACGAAGGTAAAGAAAGAGACATGTCCTATGCTGACCTTTTGGGTAAGCCACAAAGACTTCACCTTAACTCTTTTGTTCCCTTGTGGTTTTTAACCACCAAAATACTTTACTTTTCCATGTATGTTGTTTTCATGTTTCAGCTCATGTATAAAATTTTGTAGAGGCCATTATGACACACTGCTTTGAAAGTGTTTCACAGAGGCATATTGTTAAACTCTACATCAACGCCTTTCCCCTCTCCTCACCCCAGCCTTATCTCCCAAGGCTAAGTCACTATTCTGTTGGGTCTACACATATGCACATCTCAATGTGCAGGTTTTTTGCTTGCACACCATTTAAAGGATGCATCATGGCACACAGAGCAATTCACAAGAATGTTAATTATTACCTATGGAGAGAAACTGTAACATTTTGATTCATTTGTGTTTTCAACTGAATGTGGTATTTATCAACTGTCTTTTGTGTTTAATTCTAGATAATAGAGCATGGCAAATTGGAGTCTTCAATTAAGCACACGGAATACATGTGCTGAATTGCTTTCTTTGCAAGGTTCAGAGTCAGAATTCCTGCCCTGGGTTCTGAGTTGCTGAGTGGAGACGATGATGGAGAGCAGTGGAGACACGTGATTTTCAGGGTGCTCTTTGCATGCATGAAATGGAGCAAGACTTATGAAGGGAAAATGAAAGAGGAGGATAGGAAGATACGTCACCTCCTGGGTTTCCTCCAATCATCCAGTCCTCATCTCTCTATATGTCTTTGAACACTCTGAGCGCCATCATGCCAATTCCATGGATGAAACAAATACCCATGACTCAGCATTTTTCTAATGAAAACACGTGCGGTCTGACCCGAAGGAGAAACCACAAACAGAATTGAGAAAAGCAGGCAGGCAAATTTTGCTTTTCTTTTTCGTTAACCAACAGAAAATGTAAGGACTGTTTCATTAGGGAATAAAAAAAAAATGACTTACAGAATTAACCAGAAGCAGCTCATGATAAAATACAGTATCACGCTAGAAATACATGTTTTACTTTTCATGAAAGCTAACCACATTGCCATGATGGGAACTCTCACACATTGCTGGTGGGTATGCAAAATGAGACAGCCAGTCTGGAAAACAGTCTGCCAGTTTCCCGTGATGTTACACTTACCACACACCCTAATAATCCCAAGTCTAGGTATTTACCCTAGAGAAATGAGGACTTAATGTTCAACCCAAAATCTGCACGTGAAAATTTGTAGCGGCTTTATTCCTTGTCACTAAAAACTGAGAACAACCAGATGTCCTGCAAGTGACTGAATAAACAAAGTATAGTAATTCATATACTACAAAGTATAATTCATGGAGTACTATGAAGCAAAAGCAGGAATGACTAGAGTTAATAACAAAGTATTGTATTGTTGAAAATTGCTGAGCGAGTAGATTTTAAATGTTCTCACCACAAAGAACTGAAAAGTATGTGAGGTAATGAATATGTTAAGTAGCTTGATTTAGCCATTCCACAATGTACATATATCAAAACATCGTGGTGTATACCATAAATATATACAAATGTTATTTGTCTATTAAAGAAGTTAATTAAAGAAAAGGATGGACTATTGATACACACAACCACTTGGATACATTGCAAAGGTACCATGCTGAATGAAAGAAATTAGTTTCAAAAGCTATGATTTCATTTAGATGACATCCTCAAGAAGACAAAACTGTAGTGACAAGGACAGATTAGTGACTAGGAGAGACTGAGACAGGGCTGGGGTGTGTAAGTAACTACAAAAGGAGAACATGGGAAATTTTCGAGGCAAAAGGGTTGTCTTGGGTTCCTGCAGTTGTGACAGTTCCAGAAACCTGTATTTGTGTTAAAATCTACAGAACTGTACACAGTGAAGCCAATTTTACTGTATGTTAACTTTAAAAATATAATACCACAATAAAATTAAACATCACGCTGAATGCTAAGAATAGGATAGACTTGCTTCAATGGATGGGGGAAAGACTTGCTTAACGGTAGGAGCCATTTCAGGCAGAGACACTGAGGCTACTCTGTAACAAGGGAGAAAGGCAGCCTGAAAACTTGGTAAATCTGTTTCCAAAATATTTGTCATGTCCTTAAAAATAAAAGCACACTGGAAAACACAAAAACGGAATCAACCTCTCAGTAAAAGTCCTATTGGCATATCGTTAATCGTTTTTGTATTTACATTCATTTAAATATTGTTTGCTAAAGCTCATGTGATCTATTGCAAGCTGTTTAAGAAACTATACTGTGTAGAAAGGAGAATGAATGGTTTCACTGTACAAAGCTGTCGGCTTCTCTACTGACACTCAGCACAATCCATAACCTTGTTGAGACATTAACAGGACTACATTACTCATCACAATAAGATTATTAGTTGATGGGAAACAAATTACAGACCTTCCCAACCTGCTCTACTTCCTGACTGCATACAAGGCGGTTTTTCATCAATGGAAATTGCTACCCAGGAAGAGAAACTTGTTTGTCTTAGGAAATTTCCAATAGTAGAAGGGGTTCATTCTGGGAACAAAAAGTGCAAAGTGGTAAAAGAAATAAAAAGTTTAAAAATTATTTAGATGGAAGCCTAAGGGTGCTCACAGCTCGGCAACATATTGGGTAGAGATACAGAACATGAGCTGGGGAAATCGAAAAAAAAAATCATACCTGTTTTGTTTAATGCGATGGCACAGCTCTGCATGTTGCCATGGATTTATTGGAAAAACACCTTTAGGAATGGAGGGGATGCCAAATACAGTGCTGGCAACTTACGGAGACATCTAAAATGACTTGGTCTGTTCTAGTCCCTGTGTCATGAATGCCAGCAGCTAGCAGAGGCTTTCTCATCTTTTAGTTCTCAGATCATCCTGGAGTACCTTCCTGGACCACTCTCTTCCCCTGCAGGTGGAACCAACTTCTCTCCTTCACCACCTCCAGGAACCATGTACAGATGCTATTTTCCCACCCGCCACTCTCGTTCATTACTCTCCTTATCCTTTTGCACAAGGGACTGAGCTCCAAGTCCAAGGTCTGTTACATGACTGAAGGGGAGTTGCAATAACGGTTCATTAGATCACAGTTTCCAATAGCAACGGCTTAACCTGGGGAAACAGGTGTGGTGTAATTAACATAGCTGTCTGTTCAGTTTTGGCACCTGTGACCCACATCAGTCCTGTCCATCAGATTCCAGGGGGTTCCTAAATGATGGGGCTGGGAACTCACAGAAAAGAGAGGGATGTACAGAAAAATGGCACTGCCTAGGCTCACAATAGGGTCTTTGGCTCACAAAAGCTTGTCCCAGGAAGTAGACCAGGACAACATGTGAGAAGTGTGAGAATCCTAACAAGAGTGCCATCGGCACTGACAGATAATTCACGACACTCCATTGCACTAACGGCTCTTTTCACGCCTCTGTTTCTCTCTCGGTTTGTAGAGCAGTACCTTGTCCCATTGCTGTCTAGCTTTCTGGGGAACACTCTTGCCCTGGCTCTGTCCTCATCCCCTGAGGTGTTCTGACCTTTCCCGCTCGCACTCATGAGGGCACAACTAAAATGACACCTACTGTTTTCTTTCCCACCCCCTTTCTTTGCTTCCAGTCTCAGAAAGTCAATAAAAGCCATCCTTCTGCCTACCTGGACGACTCAAGGGCAGTGCAGCCTGCACACCCGTCCTGCCGAACGCGTACTAAGCTAAGCCTCCTCCGTTGCACTGGTCTTTGCTAGCTGCCCGTGATGCTGAGCACACACATGCCAGGCCCTGGAAGGCTGCCCTGAATGGGCTGGAGCCGAGTTTCCTTGTGGGAAGACGGGAAGGTTCGAGCGATATTGGTATGCCCTGAGTCAGACAGGCGAGTGCTATCTTTGTCTTCCCTCCCAGGGATCACACTGCCAGTCTGGTTAATACCCAAAGGCTCTCGACATGTCTCATTGCTCCAGCCAAACTCCCTCGTTCCAATTTCTTCCTCTGAAGCAGCTTTCATCGTGTTACATCAGTGGCTAGGCTTGACATCGGTACTTGTTTTCCAGAGGAAAACAGACCCTTTCAAGTACTTGCTTTTAAAGGTGACGACAAATGGGGATGTCTACACTCCTACCAGGTTACATTTTGGCTATAAGATGAGGTATGGTCTGAAGCCAAAACAATTTTAAAGAAAATGTTGGGAAAGGAAATTGGAATCTTTCCCCTTCTAGGAGGAGGGATGTCTTATTTTCTGAGTTAAATGCATTTGTTCCACCCTGTTACGATGCTGCTTTCTCTGATAGTTTAGGGATAAAACAATTAATGTGATATGGTGCTGGAAATTCAAAACATTTGAAAGTTTATAATAGGATCTGATGTAATATTATGTGGGCAGGTTTTACTCTTCTACAAAACAGTCTTTCTCAACCTAACCAAAGAAAGCTGTCCATGATAATATGTGTTCTGGGGGAATCAGTCCCAGTTTAACTTGATTTCTAAAATTGGTTTGATAATTCCAGATCAAGTACCACCTCCTATAAGGTGCAATCCTAGATGTCTTCGCCATATTCATATTTACACTTTTCTGTCATCTCCTTTGGCACACTGTGTGTGTCAAATTCATTTTCACACTTATTCATTAACAATATTGATGATAATGATAATAATAACAATTGCTAATTTTTTGTTAGCACTTTTACCACCTGCCAGCTTTTGTTTTAAGAACTTTACATAGGTAATGGTATTTAATCATCACAGTGACCATACCGGGGTGGAAGGAGATACCCATTATACACATCAGGAGGCTGAGGTTTAGAGAGCTTAAGTACCTTGCCTCAGGTAGGAAGTCATTGTCAGCCCAGGCCATCCCATCCCTGGCTCCTCACTCTAGTTGGTCCTGGGTCATGAATGTGCCTTTTTTTTTTTCACAATTTATTCATAAATGAATTAGTCGAAATGCGTGAACTTCCCAGACAAACCCAACTCACTGTCTGCAAACGCTCGATATTTTTATTTTAACCATGCTGTGTGGATATAATAATTCCAAATTGGAAGCTAAATTTGGCTGCATTTTTAAAGAGAGCATAATGAGCATAATTCAACATTTAATTGATGACTGAAAACCTATTAAGAGAAAACATATTGTACTATGCAGTCATATAGCTGTGTATTTCCTTTTGATTTATTTTGTCTCCATCCTTGAGGTCACGCTGTCAATCTTTGGGCTGTTTCTAGGCCTGCTGCTCACAACATCACACACTCCTTACCATTTTTGCTGTTCATCTCTGAAGTTTTTGTTTAAAAAAACATTTAATTTTTAAAAGTCATGTGTTAACAAAGAACAAACAAACACCTAGCTGAAGGCCTAACAAAGTATAGAGCAAATGCCTTCTAAAAGCCATTTTGAGAGCTTACAGGGCAGTTTTTGAAACTAATTTCTTTACTTGGGGTTATCGCCCAGAAAGTCAAAGTTGTCAAGGGCCTGTCAAGAACACTGACCGTGCTCTGAATTGTCACTTCGCTGGTTTTTGCACATGACCTTGTTTTCCCAGGTGGAATATAAAATTGGAAGGTGGAGATCACCTTATATTTGAAAAATGAATTCTTGCCACTGCTTAGGCTGGGGCTGCAAAGATGTGAACCCCCTTTCCAGGAGTCTAGAGTTTAGCTCTTTTCAATACAACATGTAGGCTGCTATGGTTGGTGGGGAAGACAGGAGACACTTGGTTTGGTTTTGGGGTTGGCAAACGGGCAAACGATGGCCACGGACCACATTCAGCCGCCGAGCTAAGAATGTTTTATACATTTTTGAAGGATTGTGAAAAAGAAGAATATGTGATAGAGACTGCGTGCAGCTCACAAAATGAAGCCTGAAATATTTTCTATCTGGATCTTCATAGGAAAAAAAAATTGCTGATTCTTGGCTTAGCGGATGAGGGAAGGCTTCCTGGAGGAAGAGGTACAGGCACTGTCTCATTATTAATTCAACAGGGTCTCCTTCAGTCTTACACACATATGTATGTATGTTTATTGTATATTATATGTATGTTTGAATGAATGAAAGATGAAACAAACAGGCATAACTGGTAGGGTCAATTAGTGTTGACCATGGACAACGATTCGACCCTACTAATTATGCCTGTTTATTTCATCATTCATTCATTCAAACATACATATACATATGAACACACATACACATGTGTGTAAGATGGAAGAAGACCCTGAATAATTAATAATGAGACAGCTACCATGAGCAAATACAGACTGTAAATCAGCACATTCACTTTAGCTCATTGAAGACACAACTGAGGAGAAAAGCCACAGAACAAGAAACAACCACCTTTCCTTTCGCAGGTCCCATGTTACATCCACTCACCATTAGTCTGTAGGGGACTGAGACCTTCACGATGGAATTGCAGCAAGATGTGTGCTGCTAAGCAGCCAACAGATGATGCCTCACAGAAGTTAACACTCTCTCCCCCTCCTGCACCTGCAGTCAGACTCCCGACTTACAACTGTTCACCTAGGCAGCTCAATACGGACCTCGGTGAAATCAGCAAACATATCTTTTTTCTTCTCTGGTGTTTTATATCTCGCCTACTATTTGGGCTTTATTGAAACAGAAATGTCACACTGCTATCTTTAGAACACTCATAGAGGTTGAACTAAGAACACTGTAGCTAGTGCCCTACACAAGAAAGTGAGGGGATGCAGATTTCATCTCTGCAACGGCAGAAGTAGACACAGCTTCAAAACAGCTATTAATCTGCGATAAGGGAAAAGGCATAAGGGCTCAAGATCTTCCTTCCAAATCCCATCAAAACCAAAGTTAAATAATCCAGCTATTTCTGAAGCAATTAGCAGTATATATTATTTCCCAACACACATGAACGAAATCATTTTGAAAACCAGTGCTCTTGACACGTTTCGCTATAAAATCAATTACTTTTAAAGGCAAGAAGCTCATTCTCCACCCGGGGAACATATGATACACCACCTGCCTGCTCCAAGAGATGTTTCTTGTTTTTTTTTTTTTTTTTTTTCCAATGGGTTTATGGGGTTGGGGTGCTCTCCCTTCTGGTATTATCTGCACATTTCAGCAATAAGGAATTTCAAACATATCCCAATATTCTACGACTATTATATGGCCCAATTTACAGGCCTTTTGAGTCTATACCATCAGGAGACTCTTTATCTTCTGTTAGGAATTAGGCTTTCCCAACCCGATATGATCTTAATTATCAGAAGTGCATTCTCACCCCAGTTCAATCTCTGACATCACAATAAAGTACAGTAGCTCCATTTCTGATGAGAAAAGCTGATTCAGGGTGATACTGTATATATCTGTTTGCATAGCAGGAATCAGGCCTGAATTTATTTTCCTAGAGATTTTTCATGGATAACATTTTCATTTTCATCAAAGGCAACCAATTTAAAAGTTCCTCTTGCTGTTGACAATCTCTATAGTTGGAAACTTGGGATGATTACAAATGGCAATGCTTTTCAAGGGGCAAAGGGTGTTATCTTATTTCCAGAGCTTATAGCATAAGGCATGGTCAGAATGGTGCTGCACTAGTTTGCGATCTTCTGCTTTTTTGTAAGAATTAAAGGCAAATAACTCCTCTTGGCTAAAGGTGGCACTGACAAAGTTGTAAACCTTATGCAACTATACGGTGTGCACACATTGCTTAATAAGTGTTTGAAATTGGGCATTTTCTATCAGAGCAAAAATAATAACTCTTTTGGGGCTAGTTTAAATGTCATTTAATGCATTTTCAGTTTAATTCCATTAATGGCACCTTGAAAAGAAATCATGCTTTTTTAAAAAAAAAAAATTCTCTTCTTTAGAAATGATTCACTCTGTCAGAAACTGGCTAAGAATTAAAAAAAATTCTACCAGCCTGGGCAATGTAGTGAGACTTTGTCTCTACAAAAATAAAAATAAAATAAAATAATAGCTGGCATAGTGGCATGCACCTGTAGTCCTAGCTATTCAGGAGGCTGAGGTGGGAGGATCATTTAATTCCTGGAGGTCAAGGCTACAGTGAGCTATGGTCAAGCCATTGCACTCCAGCCTGTGCAACAGGGTGAGACCCTGTCTCTAATAAATAAATAAATAAATAAATAAATAAATAAATAAAATTCTAAGAAAAGCTCAGCTAATTTAAATTAAACCATAAGTCAATTGTTAACAGACACTAAAAATGCCTTTTTAAAAACGATTCTTCATTGATTCTTCATATATTATCACTAACTTATTTGTTCCTATAGAAAACTGAAACATTTATGTCTAAGCATCCCTAAGCACCTTGATTAAAAAAAATAATAAGTGTTAAGAAATCTGTATTTGTGAGGATGTGTCTCAGGCCATGTCACGACTACCATTCAAATTACCTCTAAGAAAGCCCCCTCTATCTGAGATAGGCCAAACTCAATTGATCTTTTTACATCTCTGGTCTGCTCTGGAAGAAAGTAAAAACTGCGATTTCCCTGGAGTGCAGTAAAGAGATCTGAGCATGCCTCTTCTTTAAGCAATAACCATTAATATGGGTTCCGCTTGTACCAGACATCTGTAATGCTTTGGGCTGTATTTTCTGGCAAGATAACAGTGTTGTCTTGAGAATTGGTGCATGAAGAGGACAGAAGGCAGAGAGGCAGAGCTGAACTGCTCACTTGTGCTCCTATCTGAGGCACAACAACTCTTATCTTGCATGAAAACATAGCCCTGAGCCATAAGGAAAAATTTCCTAACTCTTCCCCTACCAATTTTGTCAGTCTCTATTTTTGCTTGTGGCTCATGGCTGACCTTGATTAGAATCCACTCTCCCATGTAGCAATTCGAGGGAATCTGAAATAAGATCACTGAGGAACATCTCTTAGAGTCCTTCAGGTCCAGAGTCCACTTCTTTGACAAGCCATTCTATGGGCAATCTTTCTGGAAAATGACCCAGAAATAATATTCCATAAATTCAACAGCCACTTATGAAGCATCTATTGTATGCCTGAGCCTGATTGTGATGCTAATAACATGGTAATATCTAAAATATAGTCCTTATCCTTGAGGAGTTGGTCCTTTAGTAAGAGAGACAGATGACTTCAACAGAACTTGATAAATGGAAAGAAAAGGGAATGTGCAGGGTATTCTGGAACTATCTTCTTCTGATGGTAACATAATAGAAACTCATATGCTTTTGCATAGACTCAGAATTTTCTAGACTAGGGCAATTTCATTGGCAAGCAAGATAGGCTGTAACATCCTCTAAGAGGCATTTCTCAAATGCTCTTTAAACAGTCTAGGAATCATCCTGATCTTCACCCTCCCTCCCTTCCTTCCTTCCTTTCTTCCTGCCTGCCTGCCTTCCTCCCTCCATCCCTCCCTTCCTTTCCCTTTTCCTTCCTTCCTTCCTTTTTCCTTCCTTCCCTCCTTCTTTCCTTCCTTCCCTCCCTCCCTCCCTTCTTTCTTTTCTTTCTTTCTTTCTTTCTTTCTTTCTTTCTTTCTTTCTTTCTTTCTTTCTTTCTTTCTTTCTTTCTTTCTCTCTTTCTTTCTTTTTTCTTTTCTTTCTTTCTTTCCTTTCTCTTTCTTTTTCTCTCTTTCTCTCTCCTTCCCTCCCTCCCTTCCTTCCTCCCTTTATTTCTTTTATTTCTTTTCTTTTTCTTTCTTTTTCCTTCTTTCTTCTTCTTTTTTTTTTTTTTTTTTTTGAGCCAGGGTCTCCCTCTGTCACCCAGGCTGGAGTGCACTGCAGCAAACTCCGCTCACTGCAACCTCTGCCTCCTGGGTTCAAGTGATTCTTGTGCCTCAGCCTCTTGAGTAGATGGGACTACAGGCACGCACCACCACATCTAGCTAATTTTTTTGTATTTTTAGTAGAGATGGGGTTTCACCACGTTTGCCAGGCTGGTCTCGAACTCCTGACCTCAAGTGATCCACCTGCCTCGGCCTCCCAAAATGCTGGGATTACAGGTGTGAGCCACCACACCTGGCCCACACATTCTTTTAACACATATTTTGGTGTCTCTTCTGTGCCAGGGGATGATATAAGCATATCGCCCTCCTTCAGTAATAACTAAATAATTAAATGTGCTGTTTTCCCATTGGATGCAATTTTGAGAAGACCAAAGCTCTAGCTATCTGCCTAACAATCTCTCTCTCTCCCACAGCTCTATCATGGTGCCTGGGATACGTTAGTAATATCCTTTATGGGCCTAGAGGAAATGAATGTCTTCAAATTTGCTAAAGCTTCATGTTATCAAATTAAACTCATTGTCATCCAATGTCCTATTAAGACTTGGGGTTTTGAGGGCCTTGAGAATATAATTGATAGGTTTTGATGTTGGAGTGAGAATGAAATGGGAACCATAGACATTTCGGGGGCTCCTAGAGAGGGTAAGGAAATGCCAATAGGAGAGACAAGAAATGACAAAGATAATTCTTACATTTGTCTTACCATTGTTATTATGCCCCCATACCCCAGAGAAGAAGGAGGGAGAGGAGGAAGAGTAGGAGGAAGAGTTGTGATTAACTGATTTTCCTTTTTGCTGAATGAAATAAACTGTATCAACCCACCTCCTGGACACTGTTGGGTTAACTGGGATAATGCTGGTGATTCCCTACCAAAATAATTTCAAAAAAGCATTTAGTCTTCCTACAGTATGCCTTTATCATCGTTGGCATATGTATTTCAGAACATCAGCCTCTCTATAGCAGGCTCCACCAGGCTAGGTCTGCTTTAGAGTTAGGGTGGGCAGGCACTCAGGACCCGGGCCAGAAATGGAGACTCAAGGGTGGCGTCCTGCGACCTCAGGCAAGCCAAGGCAGGAGCTCTGTTTTTTTCCTGACACCAACCTCACTCCAGCTAATGAGTCCCCTCACTCTGGTTCTGTCCAAGCCAGAGCAGCCTTCCTAGGGGATTTAAATAAAGAAACAAAAATACCCAGAAACCAGTTTCCAATACTGCTTGCTTTCTTCGAATGCAAACCACTTGCTCAAGGAGGCATCCTGCCCTCCCTCCCTATGTGCAGCACACACAAGGAAGCCTTCTGTATGGATTGGCATAAAAATAAGGATTGATTTATGCACTTAAGGCCACCAAGGGAGTGACATAAGCCCCGTTGGTGTCCCTGCATCCAGGAGACTACATTAGCACCGCTGCATTACCTGGAAGATGTGCAGAATCACATGTGGCTGACATCTCCCCCAACTCAGTGGCCAAGATGCTCACAGGCACTATTCACTCTACAATGTCAGTAGAATAATGTAACATTCAAGAAGAAGGCTCCTTGTATAGCAAGGACACTTTGGAATTATAAAACATTGGGAAGAAGTAGAAAGTGGCATAGAGATTTTTGACTTTAGACCGATGAACCCAGCCTGATGGAAAGGGTGACTTTTAAATTATGAGCCCCTATCTGTGGGGGAAATCAAAACAAAAATCAAAGTAAATTTTAAAACACCTCTGTTTTTCTCTCTCTCCCATAAGACTTGTATGTGCACACACACACACAAATGCAGGCATACACACGAATACAATGGGCTACCTACAAGAAGTCCAAATTAAAACCTGAAGCTGGCCAAAAAATTAAAAATTAAAAATATCAAACTCCAAGCTGTTAATACCAAATTTTGTTGTGTTTTAATTAAAGTTTTTAATTTGAGATAATTGTAGTGTCACATGCAGTTGTAAGAAATAAGACAGAGAGATGCCAAGTACTCTTTGTCCAGTTTCCCCCAAAGCTAGCATCTTATAAAATGATATCATAGTATCACAACTAAGGAATTGACGTCGACACAGTCAACATACAGAAAACTCCCATCGCTAAGACACTAAGGTCTTGTGTGTGTGTGTGTGTGTGTGTGTGTGTGTGTGTGTGTGTGTGTGGTGGAATCTCACTCTGTCACCCAGGCTGAAGTGCAGTGGCAGTGATCTCAGCTCACTGCAACCTCTGCCTCCTGGGTTCAAGCGATTCTCCTGCCTCAGCGTCCCAAGTAGCTAGCATTACGGGTGTGTGCCACCAAGCCCAGCTACTATTTTGGATTTTTAGTAGAGACAGGGTTTCCCCATGTTGGCCAGGCTGGTCTCGAACTCCTGGCCTCAGGTGATCTGTCCGCCTTGGCCTCCCAAAGTGCTGGAATTACAGGCATGAGCCACCTTGCCTGGCTAAGAAGGTCTTTCTTGTTGCTCTTTTGTAGCCATGCCCATTTCTCTCCCACTCTGCTTTTTAAAAACTAAGGGGAAGTTTACATATAGAAATCATTTCTTTTACAATGACAAGTTGAGGAGTATTTAATTATATATATATATGCAAAACAACAGAGAGGAATTCAACAAAATTTATAAAGAGGAGTATTTCTGTGTGGGAAGAATACAGGTGATTTTCATTTTCATCTTTACGTGGGTCTTTCTTTCCTATTTTTATTTCTAAAAATTGTATTCAGGTTCATCATACTCAACCCTGAACTTTATTTTTATTTTATTTTTCTTTTAACTTTCATTTTAGGTTTGAGGGTACACGTGAAGGTTTTTTACATAGGTAAACACGTGTCTTGGGAGTTTGTTGTACATATTATTTCATCACCCAGGCGTTAAGCCCAGTTCCCAATAGTGATCTTCTCTGCTCCTCTCCCTCCTCCCACCCTATTCCCTCAAGTGGACCCCAGCGTCTGTTGTTTCCTTCGTTGTGTTCATAAGTTCTTATCATTTAGCTCCAGCTTATAAGTGAGAACATGTGATATTTGGCTTTCTGTTCCTGCATTAGTTTGCCAAGGATAATGGCCTTCAGCTCCATGCATGTCCCTGCAAAAGACGTGATCTTGTACTTCTCATGGCGGCATAGTATTCCATGGTGTATATGTACCACATTTTAAAAATCCAATCTGTCATTAATGGGCATTTAGGTTGATTCCATGTCTTTGGTATTGTGAATAGTGCTGCGATGAACATTTATGTGCGTGCCTCTTTATGATAAAATGATTTATAGTCCTCTGGTTATATACCCAGTAATGGGATTGCTGGCTTGAATGGTAATTCTGCTTTTAACTCTTTGAGGAATCCCCATATTGCTTTCCATGATGGTTGAACTAATTTACACTCCCACCAGCAGTGTCTTAAGCATATAATTTGAAACGTTTTGACAAATACATATACCCATGTAACTATCGGCTTTCTCAGGATAGAGAATATTTCCACCACTCCAGAAAGTTCCCTCGTGCCCCTTTCCAGGTAATCCTCAACCCTCTGGAGGTCACACCCATGATTTCTATCATCATAAGTTAGTTTTACATGTTTTGAACTTATATAAATGGAATGATAAGCAAGTACTATTTTATGTCTGACTTCTTTCATTCAGCATAACATTTTTGAGGTTGATCCATGCTGTTGAGTTGTCAGTAGATTATTCCTTTGTATTGCTGAATAGTATTCTATTGTATGATGCTATTCAAGTCTGTTCATTCATTCACATGTGGATAGACGTTTGATTTATTTCCAGCTTGGGGTTACTGAGAAGCAAACCTGCCATGAACATTCACGCATAAATCTACAGTTGAACATATATTTTTATTTGGGGGGTCAATACTGATGAGTGGGATTGTTGGGTATATGTTTAACTGTATAAGAGAATGTCAAACAGTTTTCCAAAATGGTTGTACCAGTTTATACACCTACCACATGTAGAGTATGTGAGGTACTCTACATCCCTGCCAGTATTTGGTGTTCTCAGTCTTTGTAATCTTAGGCATTCTGGGGCTTATGAAATGATACCTAAGTGTTTTTTCCCTTTCTACCTGAAGGCATGGTAGAAAGAGGATCTTGAGACACATTTTGTAATATGGATTAGACATGAAGTCAGACCTCATTAAAGCCCCAGGTTTTGCCTCTAGGTGGAACCTTTAGACAAGACGTGCAATCTCAAGCTCTCCAGGCGCTTCTAATGCAGGTGGTCCTCCCACTTTACTTTGACAAAGGGTGCTGGGAAATAAGTTTCAGATGTTTCTGATGTATCCATTTCAGTGGAGTCCCTTTGGTTTTGATGAATGCGTTCTTCATGCTGCTGCCACCTTGAGTTGAAAGAAGTGCTAACCTATGTCATGAACTCCAGATATTTTACCATTTTAAAGCTATTGCCTGGAGAGATAAAAATTGGCTGACAGGTCAGACGCAGCCAGTTGGACATTCTTGCCTACTCTGCATGCTCCTGTCGAGAAAAACAACGTTTGGCCCATCAATGGGCATCCTATTGACTCGCCTGAATGGTTCCTGGCAAGCGCTCATGGACAGAAATGGATCAGAGCTGGTCCCCACGACACTGACAGAGGAGTCAGCAAGAGCACTTTGCGTGTCATCTGTATTCAGCTAACTGGGCCTGAGAGCCAAAAACTGCACCTGATTCTGCTCACCTGTAAGGAATATGCATGAAGACAAATATGGGACTGATGTTTGGATGTGGGGAGACGATGCAACCAGATCCCTGAGCTAAAATGAAGCATCCTGTCCTCCATATGGTCTATTTAAGCAATAAGAAAACAGAAATAAGGAGACCCGGGACTTGGACACTCTTTGTCAGCACTGACAACTGGTCACACATATAAACACAAAAGCATGCTCACACCACGGGCACAATTGCGAAGCATTAAGATAGACTTTAATGTATGCCTTATTCTGGCATGTTTCTGCTTGACAGTCACACCTTATCTCTTTATTTCAACGCACATGCACCCTGAGAACATTTGACGGAAAGGTGATGGCCGGGAAAGAGAGTTCGTTCTGGGTGGGACAACATAAGACAGTGGGAGATACTAGGCTTCCTTCCCGAGAGTTAATGCCCAACTCTCCCACTTTCAAGTGCAGGAGGGAGCTATGTGGGCAGAGTATTCAATAGATCCAGGGCCCTGATTTGCTTATTTGTAAAATGGAAGTTAAAACATTTATTTTACAGGGCTGCTAGGAGAAATCAATGAGCTAATACATGTGGCATTCATTTACCATGCAGACCAGACATGACTAGGACCTCAAGTGTGGACTGAATCTGACAACCTATCCCCTGGGGACATAATTCTGATTTGAAGTCACCCAAGCCGTCTTTCTACCTCAGCGGCGGAGGTTCTGAGATTATACAGGTAATTTAAATTATTTATGCATCAATTAATCCTATTTCTATTCAGATGCAAACAAGGCTGTTGGCACAGAGGTGGCAGGTAGACCAGGTGGTGTGCTTGGATCATAAATTAAAGCCTGAAAACATTCTATAACCTCTTCCCATGGCTTTTTTTTTTTTCTTTTTTGGAGACAGAGTCTTACTCTTGCCCAGGCTGCAATGCAGTGGTGCGATCTCAGCTCACTGCAACCTCCACCTCTCGGGTTCAAGCGATCCTCTTGCCTCAGCATCCTGAGTAGCTGGGACTACACACCACCACTCCCAGTTAATTTTTTGTATTTTTAGTAGAGATGGGGTTTTGCCATGTTGGCCAGGCTGATCTCAAACTCCTGAACTCAGGTGATCTACCTGCCTTGGCCTCCCAAAGTGCTGGGATTACAGACATGAGCCACTGCACCTGGCCCTCATGGCCTCGATTAGAGTATAAGAGACAGAGGCACTGGGGGGAAGCATCTAAACTGTCTTAAACCCAAAAACAGGTTTGAAAGTTCAGGTTTTCGGCCTGTAAGCCATTCTACTGTCTCCTTGCCCTTTCTTTGTTCCAGGGACATGATGGGAATCTATCTACATCCTGGTCTAGGAGGAGCAATAAACAAGGAAGACAAATGCTGATGGATCTGAAAGAGGAGGGAGTGACTGCTTACACCGAGGTAAGGCTAAGGACAAGGCTTCAAAGAGGCAGGCACAGCTGAGCTGGCCCTTGAAGGATGGGTTGGTGTTCACAGGATAATTAAGGAGGAGGGAACATCCTGGGCAGTGGAAAGAGAGTGACTGAGGAGAAGCAGGAAGTGGCTGAGAACCAAGGACTGCGCCTGATTTCTGCTCACCTGTAAGGGATATGTATGAAGACAAATACAAGAGTGATGTGTGCAAGCACAGAGAGAGGAAGGTGAGATGGGAGTGGAGTGGTAGACAAGGCAGAGTGTGAGGACTTTCCCTGGGCTTGTTGCTTCCTTGAGGGCAGGATGTGTGTTTTATCAGCATCTAGCACAGAGTCAGAAAGAAAAGGAACATGGTTGAATTGGGTTCTAGGGAGATATGGTGATTCATGATAGAGGGGCTGGAAAAGGGAGACTATGGAGCTGCAGGGGCCAATTTGGAGGATGTTGCTCAAGACCCAGCTACTGATGATGAAGTCTGAACTACGACAGCAGGTGCACTTCAAGAGCCAGGGACACAGTCAGTGTACACTAAGGAGGGGACATGATGGAAATCAGAAGTCTCATGGATATGGGTCATGAGGAAAAGGAAGAACCAAGGATGACTGCAGGTTTCTAGCTGGGGATTTCAAAGGGAGGCATATGCTAGTAGAACCTAAAAGACCATTTTGCCAGTTTTCCTTTTCTCCTTATGTACAAAGACAGTTCCTACTTCATGACTCTTTTTTCTTGATATTTCAACATTTCCCTCCAATATGGCTGGCCCTGTCCACTAGAGTTTCTGACTCATGAGACTTCACTGAAATGTGTAAGAAATCAGATAAGTGTGATTGTGCATCCTGGCTCTGCTACTTGCAAGCTTTGGTAGCCAGAGAAAGTTCTATAATCCTCTCAGCCTTCATCTTTGTATTTGTAAAGTTGGGGTAATACTAGTATTCCCACAGGGCTGTCTTCATGAAGATTTCATGAGGTCAAGTAATCTTTGTACAATGTCTGTTCATAAGTGCTTAATAAACATTAACCATGATTTTCATTGTTTTATTTTTATTATTAATATAATTTCTGTCATGCCTCCCATCGAGCACCCTCCCTGAGATACATTAAGAACTTCTCTCTTCCTGTCTGGCTTCCCGTCTATCATAGTTTGTTTTTCTCATTTCTCAAACAGTTATGTACCACCTGGGGGTCTTGTTAAGAGGCTGACTTTAATTCAGGGAGTATACATTTCTCAAAAGCTCGCGGGGACTGACAATGTGCTGGTCCATAGACCACACTTTGAGAAACATGGACCTAGATTCTCCTCTCTGTGGATATTCTTCACATTGACCAGGAAACTCTTACTTTTAGAACAAATACTTTCATTTGTAATCACTACACAGTTTTCCCATCTAGGAACTCAACTCCTGCGAATGAGGCCAACGGAAGATCAGCTAGTCTTTAGAGACTGTAGAATATTTGGAACCAAAGTAGGCGTTACAACACAAACTCTCTTTTTTTCTGTACACAGCGAGTGAAATCCTTGCACATCCAAATGTAATAAATATATTTTTCAATGTCTGTTCCATAATTTATCACACAACTTCTCTCTCTGCTTACTGGAGCTTATCATCAGGACAACACCAATCGGATAAGATGAAGACGCTGCCAGTAATTTTTAATATTATGGTGAAATCATATATTTTCTTAGATGGTTGATTTGATATAAGGCCTAAGCCTCAGTCCATAAATCTTTGGGTGCTTGAGATTTGCAGTAATTTCATATTTAATCCATAGCCTATCAATATATCATCAGGACCCGAGAAATGATTAAGAAGAATTTGGGAGATAAGCATGGGTGAGAGAGGATAATAACCTAGTTTCAAACATATTTATAGACAGAGGACCCTAGAATGGGAAAAATATGTCAGGTGTTCATTTTTATTGTCGCTGATTCTTACTCAACTCCTAACTCACACCCTTGCTCCTCTGGGCTGTTTGCTTAGTCACTGTGGATGCTGTCATGTTATGAATGGCACTAAATACACAGAAAACTGTTCCTGTTTTCTGGCAGTCTTACCCAGTTAAGCCTGTAGTCAAGTTTCAAGATCTCCCCCAATTATTTATCTCCTTAGAGTTTATAATTTGCTGCGAGCTGGGTGTGAGAATGTAAGTGTCCTACACAGTCTGGGACTTGGCTTTATTTGCTGCTGTGCCCTCAGCATCTACAATAGTACCTTGCCCATGCTATTTGTGTGTGTGTGTGTGTGTGTGTGTGTGTGTGTGTGTGTGTGATGGAGTTTCGCTCTTGTTGCCCAGGCTGCAGTACAGTGGCACGAGCTTGGCTCACTGCAACCTCCACCTCCCGGGTTCAAGCAATTCTCCTGCCTCAGTCTCCTGAGTAGCTGGGATTACATGTGCCCGCCACTATGCCCAGCTAACTTTTGATTTTTTTTTTCTTTTTTTTTCTTTTTTTTTTAAGTAGAGACAGGGTTTCATCATGTTGGCCAGGCTGGTCGAGAACTCCTGACCTCAGATGATCCACCCTCCTCGGCCTCCCAATGTGTTGGGATTACAGGTGTGAGCCACCGCGCCTGGCCCATACAAATATTTTTTAAGTGATTTAATTTTGGCGTTTAATCCTCATTCATTTATCAGAAGCCACCAATAGGGTCACTTCTGAAACGTAGCAGTTTTGCATTTTTAGTCTGAGCATCTACTTGAATTGTGCCTCCCATAGCCTCTCTATTCCCATCTCCTTTCCTGCCAGATGGACTCATCCCAGAACAATCCTCAGGCACTCCGAAATGCAGATGCCCTGATGTGAGTCCTCTTACTTCTACCACACTTGCCTTTTCTCGTCCAAAAAAAAGAATGTCTTGATTTATTCCATTTCTAGTGGCCACACACTCTTGTGGGAATTTAGGAAACACAAATAAAACTGGATGTCGTGATAGTCATAATAGTTGTGATCCCGTCTTCCTCTAAGAGTGTTCTCCAGTTATTTCACCAAAGCACTCTGATAGGCACTCATACATTTTCAGTTTGCTTCTCATAAATTCTTCACCACTTGCTATTCTATATGCTTTCTGTAAGGGGATTTCAGGAAGTGAGACCTAGATCTACAGCTTCTCTCCAAACAAAATGCATCCCCCTTAAGTTTCAGATCAACGCTGCTCTCAGAAAGCATTTTTCCTCTTAGGTCAAGGGGTTACCTCTTCGCCTCCCGTTCTGGGAACCCAAGGAAACCTGAGCTCTTCTCCTTTACTTAGAATAAAAGCCAAGGAATAATGTGTCCTTAAACTATAATTTGCTTGCATTCAGAGGCTTCCTACCCAATACCACAATAGTCCTCTATGTAAATCAGATTTATTTATTCATAGGCACTAGCATTCCATTACTTTCATCAAAACCAGTCAAGCTGCATTCAGCGGTTTCTGCATTCTTATAAACTAACTGGAAAAGCAATTAACATTCGCCAGCACTTTAGACAGTGGGGAGAGGGTGAGGGACCCCACCACACTCTCGACAGCACAACCTCTGTAGGCGGATGGCGGTGCAAAATGACTGCTCCTCTGTGTCGAGGGAGATAAGAGAAGTGACACAGATTAAAACAAATTGTTGATCCATACCAGGGAGAAGCTAGGGAAACAATAGAAGTAAAAGCATAAATGTCAATTTGGGATGATAAAGGATACAATCTAAACGTAATATGAGAGGCCCCCAGACAAAAGCAAGAAATAGAGATTGCACATTAGTGAAGCATCAAAGTACTGGAGCATTATAATACACACACAGTGCACACACGGAGTCATATGCTCCCAGCATATGAAAATACAAGCAACACATTGTTGATTGCTCAGCAAACCCAATTATGAATTAACTCGCTATTGCAGAAATTCTCCAAAATTATGCTCATTTCAAGCTGCTCGGAAGAACATTTTGTCCCCGTGGTAACTTTGCTTCCCATATTGGCTTCATTCTCCTGCTCCTTTTTCTTCTAAGTGCCTACAGGCTACAAAAAAAAAAAAAAAAGGAGAAAAATATCCAATCCCAAACGAACTGCTCTGGTTGTCAGCCTAACAGGAGGTGCTGGCCAAATGCTTACTGGTCTCTCTAATAGAAAGATTAAGAGTGAGGTCAGCCTGCAAGGTCACCATCTCAGCTTCCAAAACACTGCCACACGGCTCCTGTCTCCCTCCCTGGCAGTGTGCTTGATAAGTCAAGATCTGAGAATTCATTCCTAATTACTCCAGTGTCAATTCCAGTCCTGCCTTTATGGTGACAAAAATCAAACTGCGGGCTCAGCTGTGGCTCTGTCTAACATAATAGCTGCAGCTTGCTAATTCGGCAGGTAAGAGCTTATAGGGAGACGTGCAGGTGGTGACGTGTCCCACCGTCCTCCCAGACGAGGCAAGCATCTCATTCCTGATGGGCTTCAAGTGTCAGGGTGGCTATTAATTCTCAGAATGGTCAGCCTGATGCAGTGGGCCCCAGGGAACCAGTCACATCCTGAAAATGTTCAGCGCTCGCTCAATACACATCTCAGAGCTCCTTTTTAAGGACCTATGGTAACTGTTTGTATTCACTCAACACAACCGCTAAGCTTTCATAAAAAGAGAAATATAAATAAACCCGTCATGATCTCACAGATGCAAGGCTAAAACTGCATGTAGAAATCAATGTTTTGAAAAGCAGGCAGTGTTTTTTTCTCACTGTTGTTTAACCTTCACGGAGCACTAACTTTGTGCTAAGCACTGTACTAAATGTCATATGTCAGTAAGCAGTGATTGTTGTTATTGTTGTCTTTTATAGCCAAAAATAGTAATAATAATAACCTATAATAATAACACTAACCAATAATAATAATAATAGAATAATATTGGAGCGGTTACACAGATTCTTTATTTTACACAATACTTTGTCACAAGGTTCCCTTATGGAGACTTTTGTCAACATGTTGAACTATTACCTTGAAGGTCACTCAAACTAGTCAACGCACTTTGAATCTCCATCAAATGCAAGGCAACATACTAGGGAGATAGACAAGTGTGAGACCCCTTTCAGTGAAGGCTTCTTGATTCACTCCAACTCAACTATGAACTTGTAGGGCAAGAACTGTGTCAGTTACAGGGAGAAGTGCTTTACATGGATTTTTATCACTCATCCTCACCACAAAATCCCCATTTCCTGGGCAAGGACCCTAAGACTTAGACAGGTGAGGTGGGGTTTTCAAGGTCACAAGCAAGCAGGTGGCAGTGCTTTGCTCCTCCTCCAGGCTGTCATTACGTACCCTTGCTCCTACTCCCAAATAGGTGGAAATAAATTCCTTAAACTTGGTAACTATTATTTTAAAAACTCCCTGCCTAGGGAAGCCCCAGGATTCCCAACTCACAAATGAAGCCAGTGCGGCACATCTACTGGGTTTAGAGCGCCCAATCCCTACAACCCCCCGAGACTCCAGCACCACATCCATGCATGAGGCATTTGCAGCTAATTGCCCCTTTCTTTTTGCTCGGCTTCTGAGGGAATTTTCTCTTGGGCTAGAACTGGGATTTGCGAATCACTCTGGAATCCACAGGCATCTTGTTTGGTGAGCAAGTCTCTTAGTGTACCTCAGTTTCCACATTGTAATCTAGGAGTGAGGGAAAGGGAGTGGGTAAAATGAAGGAAAGATGAGCTGCTGCAAGAATTCCTCCTTCCAAAAAATTATCAGGTGCATCTGATGCCTGACAGTATCAAACAAAGGCCTTTCCCTGAAAGGCACCGGTACAGTACCTCCCCTTCAGGGCAAGCTTTTCCTTCCTGCCCTAGCCCTGGGTGATGGTTACATACCTCCCATTGCAGCTCTGAGTGAGAAACCCAAAGCAGCTCCCTGCTTAAGCAACAACACCAAAACCACGTGAGGGCAACAATGCTGAGATCAGCTGCGGCTGCTGCTGTTCTGTGGAGGGCAGAGCCTGGGCTGATGGTTTTGCTTACCCCAAGAAGGAACTGAGCTGCCAAGGCAAGGGCAGTGGGCCACAGAGAATAAGTGAGGCCTCCCACGGATTTTCTTTTCTTTATTTTTTATTTTTTTTGGTTCTGGGGCCTCCCTCCCTTCCTCTCAGGAAGATCCGAGCTCTGCTCACAGGCGTCTCAGCCTTTCAAGGTGAACTCTACTCCTGGAGATGCGCTTCTCGGCAAAGGCTGGGGGAGAAGGGAGGGAGGGGGGCCAGATCAAAGCTGGCTTTGAAGTGAGTATAATTTTTGGAATGTTGCTAAGAGTATAACACACAGTTCAGCAGGAAATTGGCTCTGGAAACAGCTTTGTAGTTGCTCCCCGGGATTGATGATTTCCCTGACCTGGTGGCAAAGGTGCACCACCGAGCAGTGGGGGAGATGAAGATTGCTGCTTCTCACCGATCTGATTTAAATTTTTCACCAACCAAGTCCTTTGGCTCTGACTCATTGAACAAAAATGTAGTACAATAACGTCTGAAGGTACCAACCCCCCAGAGACACCAGGGGCCTTTCAATGGATTCGGAGCTGGTTCCAAGACTGGACATCCAGGATAGAAAGAATATTTTGCTTCCAGCGGCAGACTGGATAAAGCAAGCCACGTACTCACAAAAATAGTGACGGTTCTTTGACTGCTGGCGAAGCCTCAGACCCTGCGCTAATGGACATAACACAAACTCATGCGATAATCCATGAAAAGTGTTGAGCACAGTACCCGGCACCTGGCACGTGCACGATATCTGTTATTAGCTTCTTTAATCCTCATCACAAACCTATAAATTAGGCCCTTTTTAAAATCCTCATTTTACAGATAAGGAAACTGAGGCCCAAGGAGACCAAATAACTTCTCTAAGGTCAGTCAGATAAGATAGCAGTGTGGATAATCAAATATACCTATTGCCCACATTTCTCACTCATATACCATGTCACTTGCATGGACAAGATTACTTAACAGCAAGTCTATTTTGGAAGAGTAATTACCCTCCCAATCAAGGAAATACAATCTTTTCATGAAATAAAATGCTGAGTATGTTTTCCTAGGGAAAAAGAAATACAGATCATCTTTCTTGTTAATACATAGGTTTTCTCTCTCAGGGATGCTATGAAGGCTGAAGGTGTTCTGTTCTTTTGGTTTATGCCTTTAATTTTTGTTGTTGTTTTTGTTGTAAGGGGAGGGATTGGAGAATGGGGATGAGGTGATAATTGGTGAATCGATACAGGGGAACAAAAGATTTTGCTGGGAAAGTGAGACCCACCCACATGCTTCAAATATCAGCAGAGGAACAGAGGCCAATGCCAGCTGAAGGGAGCTGGTGGTTGGTGGGGGTGTAGGGGAGAAAAGCAATTCAATATGGAGCAAATTTTAGCGAACAGGAGGGGAAAAGACACTTCCAAGAACGGATTCAGACACCTTACATGAAAGCTCAGTTGGGATGAGATTTGACCATATGTTGTAGGGATTTAATTTCTTCCTGTTTTCCTGTCTTTCCATCTCCCTTCCCTACTCCTGTGGACTACAACCCTTTCTGACAATACCACGTCTAGCTGTGCTGCATGTGTCATTTGGGGTCTACCTTTTTTTGCAGTAATGGACATTGAGATGTTAGCATCTCAAGGTTGGGGAAAAACTATCTCCATCCACTCTACACTATCATCTTCTCATCCCAATCGGGAGTGAAGGGAGGTATGGTAGGTGGGATAATGGCCCCCTAAAGATGTCCACAACCTCATCTCCAGAACCTGTGAATATGTTAACTCGCATGATATTATGAGTTAAATTGTGTCTCCCCACCACAAAGATATGTTGATGTCCTAACCCCTAGGACCACACAACGTGACCTTTTTTGGAAATAAGGTTATTGCAGATGTAACTAGTGAAGATAAAGTCATACCTGAGCAAGTGGACTCGTAATCCAAAATGACTGGTGTCCTTATGAGAAGACAGCCACGTAAAGATGCAGAGAGACACAGGGAGAGCACCGTGTGACCACACAGGCAGAGAGAGAGTGAGGTGTTGCAGCTGTAGGCCAGGGAACACCAAAAATCTCTGGCAACACCAGAAGCTAGGGAGAGACAAG
This sequence comes from Homo sapiens, assembly GCF_000001405.40. Classification (NCBI taxonomy): domain Eukaryota; kingdom Metazoa; phylum Chordata; class Mammalia; order Primates; family Hominidae; genus Homo; species Homo sapiens. The sequence goes on along the minus strand of NC_000005.10, from coordinate 167,914,730 downwards.
GAAAGATCCTCCCTGAGAGGCTCAGGGAGCATGGCCCTGCTGACACCTTGACTTTGGACTTCTAGCCTCTAGACCTGTGAGACAACAAATGTCTGTTGTTTGAAGCCACCCATTCAGTGGTAATTTGCAATTGCAGACCTGAGAAATGAATAGAGATGGCCAGGGGGAATGAAGGTTGCAGATGAGGTTAAGTCGACCAATCAGCTGACGTTGAGATGGAGAGATTATCCTAGATTATCTGGGTGGACCCAATGTAATCATAAGCGTTCTTATAAGGGAAAGAGGGATGCAGAAGAGAGAGAACCAGAGAGACAGGAGCATGAGAAAGACTCAGTCTAATGATGTTGGCTTTGAAAACAGAGGAGGGGACATGAGCCAAGGAATGCAGGCGTCCTTTGGAAGCTGAAAAAGGCAAGGAAATTCAGCCTTGCTGACTCCTTGATTTTAGCACAAATCAAACCATTTTGTACTTCTCATTTCCAAAACTCTCAGATAATAAATGTGTGTTTTTAAAGCCACATCACTGTGGTAATTTGCCATAGCAGCCATAGAAAACTATTGCAGGGAAGTAATGCTGAACTTGTACAAGTCAACTCAGAGAGGTAGAGGTCCCCCAGGCTCAGTCAATATAGGAAGACAGGGGAAGACTCTACTATCCTCCCCTTCCCATTTAAGGCACACAGGTGATTTTCCCTTCTATACACATACAATAAAAAGAGTAGTCATAATAACAACAGCTGCTAACATTTATTGATTGCTCACCAGACGCAGGCACCATTCTTAGCAGCACTTAATATACATGGTCTCTTCTAATCCTCGCAACAACCTTAAGTACTAAACTCTGTGCATATGTCCATTTTACTGATAAGAAGACAGAGGCAATAGAAATTAAATAACTTCACCTAAGTTACAAAGCTGGTCAGTTGTGCAGCTTGGACAGGAATCGACAGAAATGGCAGTTAGGTGGGCATCACAGTAGTTTCTGGAGTAAATAGACTTCCTGGGGATGGGATGGCCAGACAAGCTGGAGAACGAGATATAACCCCTCTGTCCTTTCTGTCTATAAAAGCATCAGGAGAGGAAATGTACACTGCAAGTTGCTGTCTATCTCGGTTTCAGATTTCTATTGTTTCAATTTCTCCACCAGAAACTAGCAGTAGATCAATGCTGAAGATATTCAAAATCTTGAAGCTAGTCTCAATTCAGAAATTGGCAGTAAAGAGATTGAGAAATGGGAACATGTTGCTTTTTTTCTCCCTGTTTCAAATGTAGTGCCAATATCCTGTCGAGAAAAGGATAAAAAGAGCGTCTGCATAAATAAATATGCTTTGTAACACCACTTAAACTTATTCTTCTTGCCCAATATGAAAATATGATTGGTGGCAGTATGTGAAACTTGCTTCTTTACCGCTTTATCAAAGTTTATAAAACCCACTGATCTTTGGCACAAAGTCAACACACTGAAATCCCATGCAAAGAGGATGAAGTCAGCCCATTAGAATGTAGTCAGAAACTCCAGGTTGTACTAGGAGAAGAGGCAGGTGGATGCAGAGTTAAAATGGTCCACCAACCAGCTGGCCAGGGAGCTTGGGTGAGCGCCCCCATGGTTCTCAACATTATGGCAATGCTGCTCTATCTCGCTGAGGTTGCTGCATAGTTTTTTTTCTCTGGAATGCAGGGATGCTATGGAATGAATGCCCCCAGGCCTTTTAAGAGATAGCCCTGTCATCCATCACATCATGCCTGCCTGAACCTTTCTTGCTGCTTGGCTGGTCCTGTTCCATCTGGGAATACCTTCTCCTTTCCTTGCCTTTGCCCAGGGTGTACCAGTGGCTGGCACAAGGAATATTGATGGACAAAATGTGTACATTAAGTAAATTACCCCCACTCTCTAGTTACTCTTGGGAGAAGGAAAGGTATTTTGAATTTCTATATTCAAAATCAGTGTTCTAAAAGTTTCTTATGCTTTGACCATTCCCTTTGCTTCACATCCTAACACGTAACTGACCTCTAACTGTTCCTTGGTTACCTCCAAAGTCATTCCACAGACATTTTTGGCATGCCCATGAGATGCCAGGATCTCAGGGCACAGGAATAACAGACTTGTGCCCTTCCCTTCAGGAGCTCATTGTCTGCAAAAGCAACGTGCAAAAGGACTTTCCACTCACCCACTCCTTCCTCCCACTCCCGTTGTATAATTGATTCAGTTAACATGTGTCGACTGAGTGACTACTATGTGCTACCACTGTACTACCTGCTGGAGAACAACAATGAACTGGGAAAGCCTGGCCTCTGCTCCCAAAGAACTCTATTCAAGAGAAAGCTAAGTCTGCATCAATAGATGAATGGGTAAAGAAAATGTGGCATATATACACAACAGAATACTATTTATCCTTAAAAGAAAAAATCCTGTCATAGTGACAGTAAGCCTGAACCTGGAGGACATTATGATAAGTGAAATAAGACAGGCACAGAAAGACGAATACCACCCCTCTCAATTACACGTGGTATCTGAAAAGGTTGACCTCACAGAAGCAGAGAGTAGGGTGGTGGTTACTAGGGGCTGGAAGGTGGAGATTGGGTAGATGTTGGTCAAAAGATACAAAATTTCAATTGGAATGAGGAATAAGTTCAAGATATCTATTGTACAACATGGTGATTATAGTTAATAACAAAGTATTATATACTTGAAAATTGCTATGAGTAGATTTTAAGTGTTCTGACTACAAAAAAAGTGTGCAAGGTAAGAGATATGTTAATTGATTTGATTTAGCTATTCCATAACATTATGGACATATCCATTACATACATATAACAGAATATCATGCTGTATATCATAAATATATATATATTTGTTAATTAAAAAAGGAAGCTTATTGTAAAAGAGAAACTTAAAATCAATTATTCATGGTAGTAAGCCACCATCCCCAGTTGTACGTATTTCTGTAGTCTGGTAGTGCCCTTGGAGGACAAGGACACTGCCTGGCACACAGCTAACACCAATAAATATTCGCTGCGTGAATGACTGTTGGAATTTACTTATTTCTACACGCCATGGTGAGTACTCCTGCCCCAGTGCTCCTGGAACTAACCCAAAGCACTCCAGTTGTAGTTCCAATGTGTAACCTAGGGTAGGTGCCCAAGAGATATTTGCTGATGTCATCTGAGTTTCTTTTGTTTTTGTTTTGTTTTGTTTTGTTTTTTGAGACGGAGTCTCGCTCTGTCGCCCAGGCTGGAGTGCAGTGGCGCGATCTCGGCTCACGGCAAGCTCCGCCTCCCAGGTTCACGCCATTCTCCTGCCTCAGCCTCCCGAGTAGCTGGGACTACAGGCGCCCGCCACCACGCCCAGCTATTTTTTTTGTATTTTTAGTAGAGACGGGGTTTCACCGTGTTAGCCAGGTTGGTCTCGATCTCCTGACCTCATGATCCGTCCGTCTCGGCCTCCCAAAGTGCTGGGAGTACAGGCGTGAGCCACCGTGCCCGGCCCTTGAGTTTCTCACCTCACTAACCACTCTACAACATGGATTATCATTTTTGTGAAACAACTCCATTCTACAGTAACAATTAAAACCATAGATAGTTACATTCATCCCAAGTAAAACATGATATGATTGTACCTTACTACAAAAGGAAATATAAAATTACTCTTAATTCTTGAGATTGTTGTAGTTGAAAAAAACATCAAATCTTCTAATAAGAAGTTTACGTTTTTTGAGCTCTTAATAACAGGTTTTTGATGCATAAATACGCTTTTTTCCTAGGGTTTGTTTAACCAAAAAATATGTATTCATAAATTGTATAGTCCTCAATTTAGCAGAGATCCAAAGAGAATCTGAGAGTAATGATAGGTTCTTGCTCTTATGAATTTAACTGTGCTGCCATGGATTTACTTATTTTAATGTAACTTAGGATAAATTATTCCTCTATAAATATAACTCCTTCAAGATTAGGAATTTTTTTATTCTGTGGAAGGACACTATTTAGTAAGAGTATTCAAGACAAAGAACGCAAAAAAGCGTTCAGAAACATCTGCTCCATGGAAGAGTGATTTAATAATAGTAAAACTGTAGTATAAAGGTTAGTTTTTTGGAGGAAATAAATAAGAACTGAGGTATAAGTTAGTGGAGTTCAATGATGGGTCTTTTTTGTGTAAGAACAGTTCGGATCTTGGAGCCACAAAGAAATGCAGATGCTAGAAGGTTTCTTTTTGTTTGTTTTTTTGTTTTCTTTTTTCCTCCCAAACCAAACCTACTTTGCATGACTTTATTCTTTTTGCTTGTGATGGAGGGAAAGAGGATATTTAATCACATTTTGAAGAGGCAATTATACTAGGTTTTGGAATTTTGGCTACCCCAGGGACTCACATCTGTGTGATTGTCATTTTCTGTGATTATTGCCCTGAATGGCAAGGGCATTTAATCTTGCATGCCAATTCTGATTGATTAGTAGTAGCTGCCTGGAGGACCGCTGAGAAATATTGACAGGCTCCATCTGTTCCCAGTGGGAAAGAGGGCTGTGATCGATTAGTGATGTCTGCCCTGGGTGCAAGAATGAGAAGTGTGTAGCACATGTGCCTGTATCTGCCAAAATGAAGATAATTCCAAAACCATGAGAGAACATTTTCATTGTGTTGCATTGTAGATAGATAAATTACACATCCAAAAGTACCAGATCAAAATCTCATTTTGTGGAAGTCCTAAGAGACAAGTCATAGGTCAGTATTATATAATTATAAGCCCAATCTGCCCTTCAAAAAAAATATTGACACAGAGTCTTACATTTTGTCTAGATGTGTTTATGCTGGAAAAAAAAAAAAAAAAGCCTTACTCACAATTTCAAAGCCAGGCATTAACTTTGGAAGGCATAATTTCTCCCTAAACACATGACTTTAATAGTCTATCCTCTGTTTTATCCATGAGATAAGTCTGTTCTATATTTATGTTTCTCTCTTCAAAATAAAACTACTTGTTCAAAATTTTATTTTTGATTTGCATGGTAACATCTAGGCATTTGGGTGATAATACAGTCCTCTAAACTTTGGGTTCAAATCCTAACTCTTTGTCTGTTTTTACTTAAAAATGAGATTTCTAATCTTTGCAAATGCAGATTTGATGATTGATTGTTAAATAAAGATTAGATCTTAAGGCTGTAAAAAACCTCTTAACCTAAAATGTACTGACAAATAAGAATTAATGACCACACAATTATAAATGAAGGGCAATATCTGAGTAGTGACAATGTAGATTTCATTGAGTAATTTTACAGTGGCAGTGCAACAATACTTTCAATAAAATTATTATTATTTTAGATTTAGGGGGTACATGCACAGGTTGCAGCAATACTTTTAATAATCCATCATTCCCTATAGAAGGGAGATTAAACACAAGTGATTACATTATGCAACAGAACAAAGGAAATGTAGTTAATACCGTGAAAGTAAGTCAAGGACCACACATTTGGTCCACTTCCCTTACAAAAGTCCAACTGTAAACTCGGACACAGGAGAAAGTAAAAAACAAAGCAAACTTCTGTGTGTCACCAAAGATAAAAAATATATGCTGTAAGTTTCTAGTTTGTTTCCTCTTCTTCCTTTAGAAAAGTGAATTCTCTTCCTTGAAAAAGAATAAAACTGGTTCAATTTTTACTAAAAAAAAAAAAAAAAGAGAGAGAAAAGAAAACGAAAATATAAAATTCAGCAGAAATGTCACACTGAGGAATCATAATAAGAATTAAATATTATTTAAGTCATGCATAACCACTAAAATATATGACCCCTTTCCATAAATTGAAAGGCACTCTATTCAGCAGATTATGGGCCTCAAATGCTGAACTAAGGAAAGCTTCTATGATGCCCATGGTGTGCAGACCTAAAGATTAACTCTGATCTGTGGTAGCTTCCTCTTTACACAAGCAATACACTCTGGCTGGAGAACTGCCAAGCTTGGACTTTCTTTTCTCTTTCCTCAGGGCATATTTGTTGAGAACCTATATGCTGAGGACTGTGTTGGGAAAAGAGAGAAGGAGAGAGAGAGGGAAACAGAGAGGGAGAGAGAAAAAGAAATAGAAGAAAAGCAAAGAGGGGAAGAGAGGAGGGAAGGGGAGGGGAGGGGAGAGGAGGAGAGAGGAAAAGAGAGGGGAGGGGAAGGGAGGAGAGGGGAGGGGAGGAGAGAGGAGAAGAGAGGGCAGGGGAGGAGAGAGGAGAAGAGAGGGGAGGGGAAGGGAGGAGAGGGGAGGGGAGGAGAGAGGAGAAGAGAGGGGAGGGGAAGGAAAGAGAAGGGAGGGGAGGGAAGGGGAGAGGAGGAGAGAGGAGAAGAGAGGGTAGGGGAGGGGAGAGGAGAAGAGAGGGGAAGGGAGGGGAGAGGAGAAGAGGGGGGAGGGGAGGAGAGGGGAGAGGAGAGGAGAGGAGGGGAGAGGAGAAGCGAGGGGAAGGGAGGGTAGGGGAAAGGGAGGATCGGATCCTTTTTCCTGAAAGGATTTACAGCCTGCTGAGGTCCTGCCAATTGTCTCCAGACAACATTTTTAGGCTCATCTGTTACTAACAGAATGTGTGGTTCTAACAAGAGAAAGTCTAGGACAGAGTGATTCCGAGAACCAATAATTGGCCAGAAGTATTAAATCTGCAATCAGAAGGAATGCTCTAGTCAAAAACTCACTTTGATTTTACAGACAGACAGAGATAATCAAATTGAATGTCCTCATTTTACAAATGAGGAAACTGAGGCATATGGGCACGTGACTGGCTCTCTTATGGTTATCTATCTATAAACATGGTGTCTTTATTAACCGGAGAACTTTATCTCCCCTAAGAGGTTCAATGTCATCAGCTCTATCAGATTTAATTAAGTTAGGGCATCATCATTTTAACAAATTGGCTGCATGGTTATTAATGCAAGGTTCGTGGAACTTTTATCTCTGTGGTGGGGCTGCCAGAGACAAGATGGAATACATAACTTCCTAAATTTTTTTAAATATATTTTATAATTTATTTATTGTAGAAATGGAGTCTCACTATGTTTCCCAGGCAGTTCTTGAACTCCTGGCCTCAAGCAATCCTCCTGCCCCAGGTTCCCAAAGTGTTGGGACTATAGGCATGAGATACACCCAGCCATAAATTCTTAGCTCTATAAATATGCTTTAAGAATTTATGATAATACATACATATATATATATATATATATATATATATATATATATATATATATATATTTAGGGTGATCTAAACAAAATTACTAAGGCAGAAAGGCCATCTTGATCAAGAAAGTTATTAATTTTTCCTGGCTACTATTATTTGGACCTTTTAATCAGTTAGTGTTATTAGTGACCACATTTAAAATGACAATGTTCACCTTTCGATACAATGCTTTGTAAACAAGGGTCTGTGAGTTTTTAAAGTTGACATGTAAATGTATGGAATATAGTATTTCAAACTTGTACTCTTTTAAGTTGCTATGCTTCTTTTATTTTTATGTTATTTATTTATTTATTTATTTATTTATTTGAGACGGAGTTTCACTCTTTTTGCACAGGCTGGAGTGCAACGGTGCGATCTTGGCTCATTGCAACCTCCGCCTCCTGAGTTCAAGTGATTCTCCTGCCTCAGCCTCCCGAGTAGCTGGGATTACAGGCATGCGCCACCACACCCGGCTAATTTTGTATTTTTAGTAGAGATGGGGTTTCTTCATGTTGGTCAGGCTGGTCTCGAACTCCCTACCTCAGGTGATCCGCCTGCCTCAGCCTCCCAAAGTGCGGAGATTACAGGCGTGAGCCACTGCGCCCGGCCTGCGTCCTTTATTTTAGATGTCGTCTGCTGCATCATCCAGGATGGAGGGTCTCTTTTAATTAGATTCTATGTCAGGTCTCAAAAATATCTGCTCCTCCCCACTCCCTCCTCTTTTTTTAGCTTTCCTGACTCTCTTTTTTAATCAAAGGGATGTAACGTAGCCAATTAGCAGAGAGCCTAAAAAAAGAGAAGTAAGAAACAACAGGGGGCACCATTCACATTGAACACCCCCCAATGCACAACTTTACATAAAAAACAACGTGAATGGCGCTCCCTGGAGTTGTGTACCCACCCAGAGTACACTCCTTGCCTTCATCAGATGGTCTATGTGGAGTCAAGATCCTGACTCTTAAGCCTCATTATGGACAGGCTGAGGCCAGAGTGGGTAGGAGGTGCAGGTGATTGCTTCAAAATGCTGACCTTGAGTAGTTTTGTCAAAGAAGAAATTGAGGGGTTTGATGGTGGCCACTGAGTTCAGGGTTGGTGCCTTTCTCAGAAAATCAGGGGCTGCACTTGGGCAAACAGGTGCACGGGCTAATTGTCAGCTCCCTGGTGCGGCTTGCTAGTCACTGGAGAGCAGGCTTGCACCTTAGGAGTTCTTTGAAATGTTCACTGATTTGATTGTTTAGCACCACCCACAAGAGGTTCTTAATTGCATTCCTAGAGCATTGGCTTTCTATGAAAATTACTTAAAACACAGCTTAAGTGTTAAATCTGAACTGTGTAATGTGCAATTGAGGGTTTTTATTTTATTTTATTTTTTTTAAAATAACCTCACTCCTGGCTGCCTCCTTGTAGGAAGCTCTGACAGGTTCAGTGGGAAATCTTGGGGCTGGCGCACATTATAAGTTATCTCCTGCAGGGTTGGCAGGTGTGAGCTATGTCAAATAAATTTATTACAGTCTGTGCTAATAATGAAAATTATAGAAAAGCTAGATGAAAGTGCTCTACAGCCAGCTAATTTGAAGCTACCTTACTAGACAATAACAAGCTCCTAACAGTTTTTCCTTTTTTTAAAAAACACTAATTATGCTTAATGTTCCCTGTCGCATTAGCTTTCATGGTAATTATATTTCAAAACTTTTGCAATTAGGGTGCAGTTAATATTGTGGAATATTGCAATTATTTTTCATTGTGACACCTCTATTGAAAGCTGGTGGCATAATGATCACATTGTTCAACTAAATCAGAACTGTAGAAATATGGCAAATGAACCAATTACACATTATTATTTCTAATTACAGATAATGTCATTTTCTCCACTTTTGTCCAAAAGAATTTCTCAAACACAGATATCCCAAATTCTCCTATTTGTAAAGACTCCCTCGTTTTCTCATCCACACACTGGTATATTCTTATATTAGTGCCTTGAGTGCTAAATTTAAAAAGGTCTCATAGGGATTTCTTGGATTTTCTTCCTCTACCCCTAGCCCCCTCCTGTGGAGTTTTTAAGCCAGATGCTCTCATTGAAAAATCTCAGCCTTAGCCCAGCTACTGACAGCGTGCCACTGTTACGAGCTGGTATGAACTTAGCTTCTCATAATCATCTTCAAGGATGGCTCATTTTTATTCATTCAACAGGTCTAAACTCCCATCCCAATGAAGATTCATTCGTGGTAACTCCATCTATCCCAAATACCTTCTAAATAGTGCCTATTTCCCCCTTTTCCCAGCCACAAAACGATGAGGTTGAAAGTTGATTTTTTTAGACTACCTGTGTATTCCGAACTGTCGGGAAATGGAATAGACATCGACAGAGGGTTTCTAGGAAACAGTTATGTTCGCATTTGGGGGTTTCTTTCTTTTTACCTCTGATTTTTCCACATACAACCGCCCTAGTAATAATAGTTGCAACCGTGAGATCATTTTTGGACTCAACATTTCTGATCATGTGTTTTATGAAATGCTGTCTGACTATCCTATAACCATATCCTGAAATATATATGTCAGTTTTACAGATAAAGAACCTGAAGCTTAAAGAGTTGTCCAAGATTTCATACGTACTCTGTGGCTATTAAACTGAGAGAAAGAAGCTCTTTTGACTCAACCACAGACCCTAAAGTCAAAGTGACCAACTGTCCCTTTTGCCCAAGACTGAAGGGTTTCTGAGATGAGGCATTTTCAGTGTCAGCACCAAGACAGTCCTCAGAGAACTGGCAGCGTTGGTCACCCTCCTTATGGGTTAAGTTAACTTGTCTATGAATTGGGAGTTAAAAAATGTTTTATACATTGGGCTTTCTTTAAGTTCTGAGTTTTCTGAATACAAGACAGACACAGGGGGAAATGAGAAAAAATAAATAAAAAGGTGGATTTAATCACTTTCTGATGCTGTTTTCTGATTAGCACGTAATCTCTGTGTGGGGCGGGGCTGGGCATTGTAACTCATACAAGCATGCAAGCTCGATCAGTATCCAGCGTGTGGTAGGGACTCTGTACTTATTGTTATTGTGAAATAATATTACTAATATTAATAGCTTCATTTATAGAGGCCTTATTAAATTACTTTGCTAGTTAAGTGCATTTTCTTAATTAACACACACATCAATGTACTAAGGAAAGCAGTGTTGTACTATCTTTATCCCTTCTTTACCAATGAAGAAACCAAGACATAGAGTCTAGGTGATTGCTCACCATTGTCCAGGTAGGATGTGGGGTGGCAGGTGGGGATGCAGCTCTGATGATCCTCTAACCCATGCTCCTAACCACACAGTGTACTTCAGCTAATCCAGCCCCTTGATGGTATTGACTCTCCAAGAGTTCTAAGACAAAGTATCTAATTTAGGGGAAACAATTTTCTATTTTCCTGCCTGGGGGGCATAAATAGGCATATATTTTTCTGCTTGCCAATAACCATGAGACAGCAGACAACCTTCCCAGGCACATAGCAATGCTTGGAAATTCTCTGTCATCTGGTCTAGATTAAATTGACCGCTCAGATGAATTACTATAACAGCCTCCTAACTAGTCCCCCATTTCAATTCTTGCCACTCTGCAATCCTCTATTCAGCCAGAGTGATATTTAAATACGTGTTTGAGCACACCACATCCCATTTTAAATCCACCAATAACTTCCACTGCAGTGAAATCCCAAACCCAAGCCTCTTGCCATGGCTTGCATCAGCACTTAGCCAACATTGATGTGCTTTCCCAGGAACCACTTGATAATCAAAATTCAGAAGGTCTAAGGTTGGGATTCTCCATTTCTGAGAAACTCCCAGATGCTGCTGATGCTGCTGGTGTGACATCCACCTACTATTCTGTCTCCTTTCAAACTCCTCTCATCTGCCTGGTTACACTGGAGCTGCACACATTTTCTCCTAGTTCCTCAACACAACCAAGAACTTTCCTGCTTCTTGTCTTAGATCCTTTTCCCTGCTGTTTCCTTGACCTGAAAATAGCCCTTCCACCCTCCACCCCCACCCCAGCCACCCAAACCTTGTCACATGGGTGACCGAAATTTCACTTTTCAGTTTCAGCTAAGAAGTCACCTCAAAAGCCTTTTTTTCCTCCATTCTACCTGAGTAGGCGGCTTCATGTGATTGTCTAGCTCAGCACCCTGTCTCTTTCTGGCATCGCTCTCACATTGGTAATCATTATATTTTTATTACTCCAAAATCTTAAATTTCACTTTAGAAGAGAAGCTTCGTGAGCTTAGAGGCCACATCTTTCTTGGGTACTCTTGAGCTCACAATGCTTATAACAGTGCTGGCTTGGGGTAGGTGTACAATTATTATTAGCTGAATGGATGCACCATCCAGCCAAATATAAGATTTACTCTTTTCTTGCATGAAGGCATCTTTTATATATATGTTTTCTAGTTGTTTTTGAAATGTTATTGAATATTGACAAATTATAATTGTACATATTCATGGGGTACAAAGTGATGCTATGATATATGTATACAATATGAAATGATTGAGTCAAGCTAATTAATGTATCCATCATCTCAAATACTTATCATTTATGGTAGATTTACTTAAAGTGCAACAAAACGTTCATGGGAATCACTACCATTTGAACTGCCTTTTCCTTAGGCTGTCAAAGCTGTTTTTCCCAGGAGTACAGAATAATATGTAAAAATGCCAGATTTGTTTTCCTGTTCAGAACAAATACAGCCAACCTAAATGTCCTGCTCCTTTTATATAAAGTGGGGGAGTACAAAAGCAAACTGTCACACACGATCACTTTCCAGGCAGAGCTGAAGTATTGCAATATGAAAACAGGTTCCCCTTCATAAGATACAGAGAGTGACAAAACATTTAAGTGACATCGGGTCTCATTCTCGATGAGTCGGCTGCCATAACACTTTATTTATACAACTCATTCCATTTCTCCCAGGAGTTTTACAACCGTCTTATCAGTTTTCCTCCTGAGGAGGTAACTCCATAGGACGGATTAATCCTCTTAGGCTGGGGCAGCCCCAGGAAGTGAGTTAGGAAGTGAGTTATGTTATCTGTGTCGCGGAGGCAGAAGCTAGGGGCCGAGGAGGCTGGATTGGCCTTGAATCTGATCTTGAGAAGAGTAAGGTAATTAAAACGACAAGGCAACCAACTGCACCAATGACAGAAGCAGAGTTCTTTTCTCCAGCCAGCCTTCCAGATTCCAACCCCAGTCCACACCTTGAGAAGACAGTTTCCAAATCCTTTATAACAGTTGTCGAGCACTTTTTACACTTTGCTTTGAGTGTTTAGATTTACTGAGGGTGAAAGTCTGGTATCTTTCATACTCACTGCAGCTTCTTGGGACAGAGGGTACATGCCCATGCACCCCACCCCACTCCCCACTCCACTCTCATGCACAAACACCCAGAACCTGCTCCTAAAAATCTGTTGCATGTTGGCAGAATTCCACTTAGCCTAACCCAAGATGGCCTCAAGAAATGGAAGGGGATTTGCTCCTCAAAATGAGCCTGCATAAAATGTGCAAAGGATAGGACGATTACTTAGGATATGGGAAAACAGACTCGCTCATACACCGTTGCTTTCTATGCTAATATCACATTTTGTTGGCAACATATAAAGTTATAAAAAGATTAATTGCCTGCGATCTTATATTTCTACCTCTACAATTTTATTATAAGGAAATAAGTATAGATATGCAAATAAATTCTTATATAAAGAGGATCTATTTAGTATTTTACATAACAAAAAATTGAAGCAACAAAAATGCCTGTCAAAAGGGGGTAGATTTTTAAAAATTGCGATGTGCCAGCATGATGGAAGAACATTAATACGGTGCTCTAGCATAATATTTAAAAACATACTATAATATCAATAACTATTATTTACCAAGCAATTATGACTGTACCAGGTGTGGTGCTAGGCCCATTCAATGCACTAATTTATTCCTTCTCACAATAATGTTATGAGATGTTATGAGTATTGCTCCTACTTGACAGATTAAGAACTGCTAGTTAAGTGTTGGAGTCTGGTTTCCAATCCAGGCAGACTGACTTCAGAACCCAAACTCTAGACCACAGTGTCACTGCGTGCTGGTTCATGGTGCTGTATGTTTCCATATGATAGAAGTGTCCTTAGGTAATAGCTCAGCCTGGTATTTGAAAACTGTAAAAATATGTAATGATCTAGAATTAGGTAATACCTATTATATAATTCTATACCACAAATCATAAATATGATTTTTTTCATCCTTACATCAACATTTATTGAGTATCTACCATGTGCTAGGAACCGTGGTAGGTGCTAACAATTCAGTCAGGACCTATTAAGATAAACTGAAAAAGCGTGTGAGAAAGAGAAAGAAAGAGAAAGAGAAAAGGAAGTTATATATCAAAAGGGTAACAGTGATCATCTCTGGGTGTTCAATTTTGGGTGGTTTTCATTGTCTTCTTAAATTGCACATGCATATTCCAATTATTCTGTCGTGTTCTTAGAATGTAGGAAAAAACATATCTAATTCATGTTATTAATGAAAAAAAATTCAAGGAATTAAAAGGCACACATATTCCAAAAAAGACATCTCAGGCCTTTTTTACATTCCTGTCCCCCACCCCGCAGGACTCCTCAGGAGTACATCCAGTCCTGTCAATCTCCCACAGAAAAGTCCCCCAGGTGGTCACTGCTGTCTCCTCTCAAGGCCTCAATCCCACCTCACCCCCCCACCCCAATCACTCCAGTCTTCCTGCTTCCTGAGCCTTCAATCAAGACAGGACACGCCAGGCTGACTGAAGGCTTGACCTATTTCAGACAGTCTTTCTCTGCCACGGTCATAACTAGGTGGTTATTAACCAACGCAGTGATTAACAAGAAAATTAGCCGTTTGAAAACAAGGCCAATCCTCCAGTCCTTCCACTTCAAAAACTAATCTGCATCAGCCTCATCTATCCAGGCTCATTTTCGATGAATTCTCACAGCCAACTTTCACTTCCAAACATGAGAAATGATGTTTTAAAAACCTTGGGCTTATAAATCATTACCCCCACTCCCAACTTTTATTTGGATCATCAGAGCAGCCCTAATGGGAACACATATACAAACAGAGAGGTCCTCATGCCAAGCCTGGAAAAGTTTCTTCTCTTGCCTGCTGGGAATATCATTTAACCTCTCAGTACCGTAATTTCCACCTTCATGATACACAGATAATAATTCCTCCCCCACATAACTGACGGTGGTTTCATGTATGGAAAGTGCTTTGATAATTTTTTTTTTAATTGCAAGAGAAGTCCCAATGCTGTTTCATAGCTCACCAGCTTCTCTCATCTAAGGGCTTCCTAATGCACCAAAGGGAAAACGTTTGCCTCAGTGCAATGTTTCCGGAGAAAGATATCATTCCTTTCCTTTCCAAAACCCCCCCCCCCTTTTTTTTTTTTTTTTTTTTTTAGTGGGTTGAGGGCACAGACAGAAAGATACTGTAAGAAACGGCATGAGATCTAAGCATTTCAGGTGTGAAATGAATTTTTCCTGGCATCATCCAGAATGTGCTCTGAGCTGCCACACTAACTAACTGAGGTTAGGGTAGAATAAAAGCCTTAAATTGAGAACGTCTTTGCGTGAGTGGATTTAAACAAGACCTTTCAAATTAATTTAACATACTTGCTTTTATTTCTCTTTGTTCAGATGTCAACTTTTTGTAAGAGTCGGATGCCGTTCTTTCGCTCCATCCTAATGGGCACTTGGTCATGTGCCCAGCAACATTCACTCCAGAAAGGGAATCTGCTTCCTGTGCAATAGAACTCTGTCTGGAACAACCAGGGAGATGTTTTCATCCACATGGACAGAGATTTCCGGCACCTACTGGTTTTCCCACCCACACTGAGTGTTGCCCTCTAAATGAGTCACTCTGGTTTCCACAGAGAGGTCAGGTGTCTCTCGGGAGCTGGACTTCCTGAATTCACTCCACCACGTTTTATCTGTGTAACCTTGTGCAGGGTACCTAAAATCTCTGTTACCTCATCTGCAAAATGGGGATACCTAATACTTGGAGAGTTGTTGTTGAATTAACGCAAGGCACTTGGCCAGGAGCGTGGCACACGATAAATCCATTGTGAACACCAATTATTATTATTATTGTTATTATTACTATGCTATCATGATGACTTTGCAAGCTTTCTTCTTGCCTGAAATATCTCACCCTCCTTGCCTGTCTTTGGCGTTTGGTATTGCTGGCAATTGACCTTTCCTGCACCCATCCCCCAACCTACTCTTTCTTTAGCTTTGATAATGCGACATTAACGTGACTCTTCTCCTAACTCTTGCCCCTTTTGCTTTCTTCTTCTCTTTCTATTTTTTCCCCTGCACATGCAGGCATTATTGGAGGTTCGGTCCTCTTTCTCCTCTTTTCTCTTTTCAGCAAATGCTCTTCTTTCAGTAATGGAATTCTTGTCACAGGCTTTAAAAATGCAAAATCTCTCTCAGTGTTTCTCATTGTCTCTTCTTCCCCCTCCCTTCATTCCTCTCTATCTTCTCTTCCCTTCCATTCTTTTCTTCCCTCTTGCCTCTCTTCCCTGAAATCCAGACCCAAAGTTTCAGCTGTCTGTTGGATATGACCATCGAGCCAATCCACGCCTTTTCAGATTCAAATTTATTTCCCATCCCCCGCTCAAACGAAGATCTCCTTCCCTCCCAATCCCCATTCTTGCTTTTCCTAAGAAGGGCTCATCACACTAGCCATGCTCAAGAACTCAAAGCTATCTTTGACTCCTCCTTCTCATTTCCCTCCACATTCATCCAGCCTATGGCTCTCTACCTTCTTTCCTGATGAAGTCCCTGGCAACTCCTATACCCAGTGACTTAGCCTTAGGCAAGGTTCTCCTTAATGCTGAGAGCCTGGTTTAGGTCTTGCAGTAATCAACTAAATATCTGTACATCTCCAGTCTCTCTCCCCCAGCTCCTCTTACACTTGCTTCCATATGAACTCTTTCTCAAGAGCATCTGGGCAGCTTTTAAACACTGTGGTGTCCAGGCTGCTGCCTGGCCCTATTACATCAGAGTTTCTGGGTTGGCATCCCGGCATTTACATTGTTTCAAACTCCTGAGGTGATTCCAGTGACTGGCCTAGGCTGCCAATTTAAGCTTAAAGGGATAGCTAAGCAAGTCCAAGCTACTAGATCAGTGCTTCTCAGACGTTAGCATATATTAGACTCATTGGAAAGCTGGTTAAACCACAGCTTTATGGGCCCCACCCCTAGAATTTCCAATTCCCTAGGTCCAGGGAAAGGAGAGAGGTAGAGTGCTGAGGACTTGCATTTCTAACTAGTTTCCAGGAGCTGGTGATGTTGTTTGTCTGTGAGGACCAAAATTTGAGAACCATAGCAGTAAATTATTCTCTCTATTGGCAACATCCAAAGGTGGTTTATGGAGAGGAAAACCACATTTCATTAGGTTTGAGTAAACTAAGGAGTCCTAAGCAATGCTATAGCAAAGGGCTCTTCAATGACAAACCCAGATCAGCAGGAGGTAGGGGGAAGTCATGTCTTCTGTGTGCAAATCTCTTGCCTCTCCAATCACTTTGCCCACCACGAAGGGGCTGGAGTTCATGCTGCTTCCAATGTTTAAGGTAGTACCCGGTGCCCAGCAGATGCAAAAAAAAAAAAAAAAAAAACAATTTACTACGGATTACCCAACTGAAATTCCCAGGCTCATAAACTTAGTTCTCTGTTTCGTTCTCTCCATACCATCCTACCTATATCTACCTACTTAGCTATCAATCTATATATCTATATATCTGTATATCTTTCTTCTAAAATAAGGACCCTTTGACAAACCTGAGGCAGCCCTCACAAATGAGGCAAAGACTGTGGGTGCCAATGAGACTATGGCTGGAATATCCCATTACTGGGAAAAATGCGGTTTCTCTTCCTTCATTTCATTTAGATTTTAAAGGTAATTGTGACCTGGCAGGCAGATAAGTCTGTATTCAACATCTCCTGACAGGGATCATTGTAAATAGCATCCTTTATTCTCCAGGGTGTATAGCAAGAAAGGAAGATGATGAATACAAGCTGGAATGGGGTTTATAAATCTTTTTAAGACCTGATTTTTTCCTACTTTTTCTAAGCATCTGTGTTACAACCAGCTCTTTAGCTAATATTGTTTTTGTGCCAAAAAGAAAAGTTTACCAGGGCTGTCTTGATTGTGAGCACTTTATAATTACAAGAGAAGGACAAGTCTCTGAATTCTGAGCAGGAGGGAAAAAAAAAAGGTACCAGTTCAGCTAATGGCACAAATGAGACTTAAGAGCCAAATGAAAGAGTAGAAATAGTGCGGGTCCTCATTGCTTGCTAAATTGGAGGAAAAATCCTACAAAGCTAAACTAAACCAGCTCATCAGTCAGCCCTTACTCATATTCTAAAAGTGTGGATTAATCAGGAAGCGAGGGGAGAATGGAACAGGGCTTCTGCCTCCCATTCTTTGATGCGTGATAGAATGATGAGCCTCACATTATAAGCCTTTCTGCCATCGTAGACCAACCGAGTTAAGCTCATTTCGGGTGGTTATAAAGATTCATGCAGCAATTATTTAGAGGCTTGCACATGCACTCTTTAATCAGGCTGGGGAAACGCACATGCTAGCTATTTTCTGGACGTTTTAGCAACGAGGAAAAAGCAAGCGTGATTCTAAAGGCAATTCCTCTCTAACAGCTTTCGGAGTTTCCACTTCCCAGCTTCTATCCTGGCACTCTTTGAGGTGACTAAGAGAACCATCTGTAAAAATATCCATAAAGGTATTGCGAGGTTGATAATGGCACCTGCTTTGCTTCCCATCTTTGACTCTTTTACCAGAGTTATCATAAATGGAGTGACCTTTCCCTCTTTGCTGTTCCAGGACTTCTTCCTATGTCTCCGTGCTTTTTAATAAGGGCACATTTCCACCTTTGTATTGGATTTTAGATTGTAAATGTTTTATTTCTCTTCCTAGAG
Source organism: Homo sapiens (assembly GCF_000001405.40). Classification (NCBI taxonomy): domain Eukaryota; kingdom Metazoa; phylum Chordata; class Mammalia; order Primates; family Hominidae; genus Homo; species Homo sapiens. Next base: position 167,896,572 of record NC_000005.10, on the reverse strand, counting down.
GACAGATTCAGTGTTTCAATCCTCTTTGTACCGCCCTCATCAGCCAGTAGGGTTGCAAAGTTATTTATGAAAGGAATGCATGCCTGAAGAATGGTTGGAAGCCACATGTCTCAACCATGAGTTCTCTTAAACATTGCTCTGACTTTTGTGTATAATCCACGGAAGGCAGACAAGGGCCTTCACAGCCAGATTCCAGCCTCAATCCAGTCATTCCCCTCTGCTAACCTAAATCTGGACACATCTGTGTGCTAGTCTTTCCTTTAGCTATTCAAGCTTTCCCCAAAGGCCCCATGTTTTCTCGTCTCTCCAAGCCTTTGCACTTGCTGCTGGCATTTCCTAAAATCCTCCACCCCAGCTGACTACTGATCATGATTAGGATGCCAATCAGGTGCCATCTCTGTGGGAAGGCTTTCCCCAGTCCCAGCTCTAGCCCAGGTGGGGAGGGCCGCGATGTGCCATGCTGGCACTGGGTCGACATCTATCAGACTGCCTGACCTGCTGACTCACAACCATCTGTTTGCTTTTGTTCTTCTTAAAGCTTCATCCACCTCATGCTGCCATTAACTAGACTAAAGTACCCTTAAGGCCAAGTACCTGGTCTTAGTTATCTCAGATTTCCTGTATGTTGCATAACGTCTATAACAGTAGATGCTCAATAAACATTTGTGGAATTGAAATGAATTGTTGAGCTCCCTGTTATCTAGTTCTCTGCATTAACAAAGGCAGTATAAACTAATTGAAAAAGTCTTCAGCTTCTTAAGCTTCTAATAACATTATTGCAAAGATCATTAAACAGGAATCGCAGGGCTTTAAGTCAATGGTTCTCAAAATGTGGGCCCCAGGCCAGAGAAACAGGCATCACCTGGGAGCCTGCTAGAAATGCAAATTTTTGGATCCCAACTCAGACATAGTGAATTAAATAAATCTGGCATAGGGTCCAGGAGTTTGTATTTTATAAGCTTTGTATGTATTTGAGAGTGAGAACCTCTGTTTTAATTAATTAGAAGTAATATTTTGCGAAGTAGTACATAGCAGTGAGAAGATCAAAGCCATTGGAATCAAGCAGCAATGGTTCAAATCGTAGCTGCTGTGCTTGATTTGATGGTTACATGCATTTGGTCAAGTTAGCTAAACTCTGTGAGGCTCATTTCCTTCATTAATGAAAGGACGAGAACCAAAGCAAGTGACAAACTTAAAATGCCTAGTACAGTGCCTAGGGCACAGAAAATGCTCAGCAGATGGTGGTTCCTACTTTATTGTTTCCCAAAATGTATGCCATCAAAGATTAGTCTCAAAAGTACTCTGAGAAAGAAGAAGGAAGGAGAGGAGGAAGAGGAGAAGAGGAGGAGGGGGAGAGGAAGAGGAGGAGGGAGAGGAGGAGGAAAAATGCTCTCTGGTCAAATAACTTTGAGAAGTAAAGCCTCTATTCTAATAGAAAGTCTCAGTTCACATAAACATGTTAAAGGCCCTGAGAAGTTTTACGACTCTGTTTTTCTTAAGCTTTGTTTAATTCAGTCTTTTCTAAGTTTTCCGTCCTCCCTGCCTCCCTCCCTCCCTCCCTCCCTTCCTTCCTTCCTTCCCTCCTTCCTTCCTTCCTTCCTTCCTTCCTTCCTTCCTTCCTTCCTTCCTTCCTTCCTTCCTTCCTTCCTTCTTTCCAGGGTGAGTAGAAGAGGCAACCTCTTAGCTTCTAGTAAGTTACGAGAATAAAACAAAAGAAACATTTTCACCTTTGTTTTGAGTTTTTGGTTGTTTGCTTTTTAATTGGAGTTTGGGAAGAAGAAAAACCTCAGTAATTTTTAAGTTAAATATACAATAGTAACATTAAATATTTGCAAAATATGCACAATAATTTGTCAACCATCCAACAGATATTTATGGAGTGCATACTAAGTGCAGGGCACTGTTGGGTGTTGAGGATACTGAAAGGGAGGAGGGGAACAAATTTGGATGGGGCAGGGGTATCCAAGGAATGATATTTGAGTATAGTGAATGACCATACCAGCCATGGAAAGATAGGGGGAAAGATTCTGGGCAGATGGAACAGGAAGTACAAGGCTGTCAGAGGAAAGAGTTTGGATGTTTCCAAAGAATGCAAAGAAGTCTAGTCACAGAGTGGGGAGAGAAAAGGAGAATGGAAGGAGCTGAAGTTATGAATGTTAGCCTGTGGCCAAATCACATCACACTAGCCACAATAAACGATCTGGGTTTTATTCTAAGGGCAATGAAAAAACATTTTATTAAACGTGCTGGTTTGGCCTGATTGTTAGGTATGAGAACCTTGCCCTATACTCTGTATCTTCACTGGTAATACCCAGAAACTTCAAAGACCAAAAGAGGGAAGTATTTTTTCTCCATTCATCATCTATCCATCCATCCATCCATCCATCCATCATCTGTGATTTTTGATGTGCCAGGAATGGTGCTTACTGGGTAACAAAGATACAAAGATAAATAAGAAAGCTTCTGCCCTCAAGGAATTGATCGTCTATTAAACTTCTTGAACTGTGAAAGAGGTTTGGTAGATGCATAAATGATTATGCTGCCGCATTGGACTACCTTGCTATATTTTTCTAGGACTCATTATTCATAATGGGACTGTATCTTTGGATGGAAAAACGACTGCAGTATTTTTATTACTGACTACATAAAATGCATGATTTTACCGTATTCAAGAGCACGTTAGGCATAATTGCTTGGATCTTAAATTTGTATGAAGCGCAGGAACTAGGGTAATAAGAAATCAAGGCTGACACACCAAACTTAGTTCCTCTGTCACCCATAAGACCTAATCTTGCTTAAGGGTGCATCCCATACTTGAATGATTGTCCTACTATGTAGTTTTAAAAGCGTTTGGAAATTATCTCTTCTTTATTTCATTAAGCAACATTCTTTCTCCCTCTAACACGTTCTTGAAATGCCTCTTACTAAAAAAAAAAAAACAACAAAAAAACCTTTTTTGTTTGTTTCCTGTGGCAACGGAAAAAAAGAAAATACAAGAAAATACTAGCAACGAAGCATATGCCAAGGTAATTTAAGAGTTGTGATAAGCCAAAAGGAAAAGATAAACAGCCCCCAGAAACTCACAGAGTTAAAGAGGTTGTTCCTTTTTAAAGAAGTCTAATTGGACACAGCAGGGGTCTTGATACGTGCGCCTCGTTGTTTTATGAGAGGAATTTTCTACTACAATATAGGAAGTTAAAGTCTGCTCAACTTGTCTGACGCTGATTTGCTCACATCTGTCATCCAACCTTGAACTGGTCTGACCAATTTTGGAGGGAGTAAGACCATGGAAATATGCATATTTAAACCCAGAACATGAAGGATGTGAATTGTTTTTAATGGTCTACCAACTCTTTGGCCTGAATAGCTATGGAGTTACCATCCTGTCTGAAATTTCCCTTATTTATCACAGACAGGAATTTCTGAGCAGCCCAAACCCAGTTACTTACAGGAGGTGCCGATGAAGAATAAAAAGACCTCAGGACAAGAAGAAACCTAGCCAAAAGGTAATACTCTCCCTCCACATTGCCGCCAGCAAAATCTCAGAGTTAATGTCAGTCATAATGAGTTAATCAGGACAAAGGTTCTGAGTTCTGTGGGGAAGAGTGCTGATTCCACTGTTCATGTGGGATGTTATTGCTATTAATAAACAATCATGATAACTTGCATGTCCACTTCTCATTGTGCAATGGAGAGGTATTTTTTTCCACACATTATCTTGAAGTATAATTATCTCTGTGTTATAAATGGTGAAACTAAAACACAGAGAAGTTAATTAAAGAACTTGCCCAGGGTAACAATAGTCCAAATGGGGAAGGGAATAAGGCATAGACTTTGGAGCTCTTAAGAGAGGGTTTTTGCAGAACTATAATCGAGGCAAAATGAGGGCATGGGCTTCCAACTTTTCCCCAAGCCTACTAAGTACACACTTTTCAAGCTGCTTTGCTAAGCTTGACCTCTGAAACTTATGTGGTTTTGAAAATGGAAACACTCCTATCCCTAAGCAGCTGCACAGTGGATTCTGGATGGCATATGCCATGCCATTCTGTGTAAGCTCTCCCCTCATGATCTATGCTTTGCTATACACCTTGACAATGAAGAGTGCTACATTTTTGGTTCTCCACCCAAGAGAGGAAAACCACTCCTCTGCCTAGAGGCCCTGTTAAAGTTTGGTTGCATTGTAACATGGGAATGTTTCTTAGAAGACTGACCTAATTTGATTCAGGTTGTGCAAAACTTACTACTCTAGGCCTGCATATGAGTTGGGCACATATCTTCCATGTATTTATAAGGAACTGTATTTGACTTATAAGAACCTATGTGCTACAGATCATCCATTCTGGAAAATAATTTTTTCAAGTTTAATTTTCCTGGAATTAGAAGCTTTATGAATAATGTGTACGTTTAATGTAGCACTTCTCTTTTCTTCTCATGAAATGTTGTAATTCAGTCCATAATGTGCTTACAATGCTATATTACAATCAAGAATATGTTATATCACAAGCTCCTTTCAAGTACTTGCAGCATCTGACAACAGAATACAATAAAATATAAATAGAGTTTGCTTAGCATAGGAAATTTCACTTTGTAAAAGTTGGAATCTTTTCCAAAGCAAGCTACAACTCAATCAAGTCCAGGAAGTCTCTGGGTTATTCTGGAAAAGAGGATCTCATGCTGAGCCTGTGCTGCTGTGAGGAAGTGGGCAAGTCAAGGCCAGCAAGGTCTCAGAACTCATCAGTGTCAAACAGAATGCCAGAAGGAAGCCAAGGACCTGGCTCAGATGCGATGATAGATCTTCAGACCCAGGCAATGCCCAGCACCTGTGACATGGTGGACACATGATAGGTGTTTAATCAAAATATGCTGACAGTCCACAGCTTCTGAGTACCAACCTCAGAGCCAGAGGTGAGGTGATCTCCCATGCTGTATACTCCCGTGTCAAACATAAAAACAGTAACAAAAACTTGAGTTTGAATTCTGCTTGTAACTCCCTTAGCACTGATCTTAGTGGGTCAGCATAAGCCCCAGCTATGTAATAAGGATATTGGGTCCAGGATCCCTAAAACTCACCTGACCTTTTCATGGCCCACTTAAGCTTTCCTTCCTCCTAATTGTATGTACTTGTTAAGAAGTCCAGCTAGGAAAGCACTGAAATGAAGAGTAATTGTAATCAGGAGGCTGAGGCAGGAGAATCACTTCAACTGGGAAGGCTGAGGCTGCAGTGAGTGGAGGTTGCACCACTGCACTCCAGCCTGTGTGACAGAGGGAGACTCTGTCTCAAACAAAGAAACAAACAAAAAAGAGAGTAATTGTGCAAAGGAACCACAAAATTTGTCTATTAGCAGTTACAACTGTACTTGGTAAACAAATACATCATTGAGAGTAGAGGTTAGAGGTACCTATCTATCTATATATCTTCATGTAACACAAAATAAGTAAACAACCTATTTTTTTTAAATACATGTGAATAGGTAGACCAAGTCCTACAAAACATAGAGTACATTAAGAAAATTTAAAAAGACCTTGATAGTGGAAAGTTTGAGATCATTAGACTAAATATGGTCCACCAGTAAGTCACTTGAAATTTTTATCCCTCAAATGGATTATCTGTTAAGTAGAGATAATAATACCTTCTACATCTTCCTCACCAGATGGTTGTAGTGGGGATTTAAATAGGTAATACACATGATAGTGTTTCCTAAAAGTAAAGATGGTGTGCCAACATGGAGATGGAGATTATTGTTAATGACATTAGCAGTGGTAACATCATCATCATTATCATTATCATCATCATTGATGCCAACAAGCTAGATAACTGAGATTGAAGATACAAATGCTACAAAGGCCATGCAAATCTCATACATGAATAAATTAAAAGATCATGCCTGATCTCAAACGGGCAGTCTCTACTGGACTCTAGTGATTTGTGGCCATGACATAATGCAGGTAGGTATTACTAGGCATGTTATTATTTCAGGAAGGATAGAATTATGAATGTTTATGTACGTCTCTTGGTTTTTCAACATTGTCACCTAAATAAAGCATAATTTTAAAAATAATACCAAGCAGGACAAATCAAACTGGTTTGCAAGCTCCTTTGACCAAGGGTCAGATGTTTGCAACCTAAAGGAAAGGACATGATCTTGTTCCTTGAAATAGAAAATATTACACAAACATAAGTGATGATGATTATTATTTAATATCATTATCATCACCAATCCAGAAAGGGGCAACAGCTTTAGTTTCCTCCCTTTGGGAGGAAAAAGTTGTTTCTGTGTGTTTTTAAAGAGAGGCGACAGATTCGGCGACTCAGCACATCATTGGAAGTGGAATAATGTGTCGTGCCTAGTTCTCAGTCTTTTCCTAGAATCATGATATTTGAAAGTTGGAAAAGAACTTTCAAAACATCTGACTCAAAGCCTCCCAACACTACAAAAGACAAAACAGAGGGCCCAAGAGGAGAAGGGTCTGCCCAGGGGACACCGTGAGTTTTGGGTAGAATTAGGACTCAGACGGATTCTCTGGCTGCCACCATATCAGGGCCGTTTCTTTCTTCACCATGGTTTCCTTTCTTTGTTTCACAGATTCTTTTTATCTTCTGAACCCTTTCAGCAATTTGAGATCAATAAAGAGCGGCAGAAAAGGCCAAGTCTGCCTAGTGTAATATGACTTTTTCCCCTCCCTGTGAATTATTTTCACAACAGATCCTCCATCTTTTATATTCTAACCAGTTTTTAGTCTTCACGAGAAGGCACGCAGGTTAGCAAAAGAAATCAGAAACCCAGCATCCTAATGTCGTAAACAGGTGGTGTCCCAGCCTATCTCTTTTCATCTTTAAAAGCAAATTGCTTGAACTGAGCTGTAAGACCACGAGAAGAACCCACAGAGAAAGAGGGAGAGTCACAAACTGGTAAAGATCACTGCTCCCACAGGAACAAAATCGCTGATAGGAATGTATCAAAGACAGTGGTTACTACAGGAAGAGCGACATGTAAAGCAATATTCTAAGCAGACAGAGTGAAAGGGGGGTGGGTAATGGTCAGGCTCCCCAGGGAGATGCAAAAGGTCATTGAGATGAAAATAACCTTGGGAACTGGGAACGAGTGCTCCATTACCACAGACGGGAAGAAAACACGGTATCCAATCAGATGGAACAGATTGAAATGCGATCCTAGTCAAGTGTGAATGCCACCAATTGCATCGTGGAATTATTCGGGGAGCTGGCATGCAGGAAGATAGTCCTGTCCCACAGCCCTCCGTCCACAGTGGACATCAACACAATTCAAAAGCAGAGGTTTGCAAGGTTATAACTTACGCAAAGGCATCTTTGTAAATTCTAAGTGAGGGTGAGGGGTGGGAAGTCGCAATAAAGATAAATTTGGGGGTCATTTTCTATGGGGAAACTGTTCTGCTGAAGTGTTAAAAAGGTGCTCTATCATCAGTTTAGTTTTTTTGTTTTTGTGTGGTTTTTTTGTTTGTTTTGTTTTGTTTTTTAAAGCAAAGAGATGTGAAGTCTGCCTTTGGAGTGGAAGAGAGAAAAGAAGAACGATTGATCACTGCATTTTATTGTTAGCTTCCCATGGTTGAGTGTTCACTGATAGAATTGGTTCAACTCCAAGATGCTGTCTTAGAAACAATTACTGTTTTCCACTAAAATATAACTCTAGCAGAAAACATTAATTTAAGTGATAACCGCCTAAATGCTTCAGTATCAAGAATGCATGTGCCCCCTCATCTTTGGCTTTATAAACACCAGAAAGGAATAAGGATAATAAGCAACAGAAATCGTAAAACAAAAGATCTGATGGAAATGACAAAAGAGAGAGCTGGTATTGGCCCTGGGGGAATCAAAGGAAAGGCCTGAGCTAGAATTTTAAAGCACCACACAAAACAGTTTTTCTATGTTTAACTAGTTTATTTGGATTCTAGAGTTTAAATATTAACTACATTGGTTTTCTCTGTTTGCTTCTGGCTTTCTTTGCCATTCATGTTGCACTATGCCATCATCCAGAAATGCCTTCTTCATTCTCTGTCTCTCCTACTGCAGATAGAGGGAGCCAGCATGTGAGAAAGGGTCTGCCTCCACTTTTTTTTTGGACCATTCTTTGGATATTGCAAATACCCTCTGCATACCTTTCCTCCATCCTTTGACTGCATGCACTATTTGTTAATTCACCTAATATTTATTGAGCACCTGCTATGTGCCAGGCTCAGTGGTAGCTAAATGCATAGAACGAAATGAGACACAAGGGAAACAGGGTGCTTGCCTTCAAAGAACTTAAATCTAATGGTGAATGCAGTCAACGAGCATGGTGGGTTCAATAATAGAGAAGACATAGGGAGCTATTTCTAGTTGCTCTATCCTGCTGAGTATTCAATTGGATTCTGTTGTGGGCTGAATTGTGTTTCCCCAAAAGATATGAAGTCCTGACTCTTGATAGCTGGGAATGTGACCTTATTTGGATCTTGTGAAGTTATTTGCAGACTTAATTCAAATAAATTTATCCACAATTATGACGAGCCCTAAATTCAATAATTGGTATCCCTATAAGGAGAGAGAGTTAGAGACCGACAGACACACGCAGGGAGAAGAGGGCCATTAGAAGGTGGAGGCAGGGACTGGAGTTATGCTGCCACAACCAAAGAATGCTAAGGGTTGCTGGCAGCTACCACAAGCTAGAAGAGGCAAGGAAGGACTCTTCCCTAGGGCATTTGGAAGGAGCATGGTTTGGAACTTGTAGCCTCTAGAACTGTGACAGAATAATATTCAGTTGTTTTCAGCCACCTAGTTCGTGGTACTTTGTTAGGGCAGCTCCAGCAAATGAATCCATACACTAAGCGCATGCATTCCCTAGGATTGTAGCTGTACCCTACAAAACATTTATCAATGAAAGCAACTATTTCCAAGGCAACATCAACTCAGGACAGCAGCTACTAAACAAATGAAGAAAGAACTGTTATTTTGGATTCACACCTCTCTGTCCTTCCCAAGGAAGACGCAGGTTAGACAAACACACTTCTTTTCTCATCATGCCCTGTGGTATTTTTTCTGTTCTTTCTAAATGTGATCACATCCACAATCACAGATGGTCTCAGATCTAAAAATGTTACAGTGACCTGCAGTCAACAGGCCCAAATCTGAAGGACTGGGTGGGGGCTGCTGCCACCTTTTTGTTGCCCCACTCTAACATTGTCCTTCTTAAGGTAGATCAATAAGGATCTAGCTCTTGAGCGTATCTCTACCTGCACCATGTGCTAAGGGACACAAAAAGACCAAAGAAATGACCCTTGTCTTTAAGTGGTGACAATTTAATGTTGACACAAGTGACTTACATGCATGAAATGCCAAGAGAATATTACAAATCAGAATGCAATGAGGTGCTAAATTGAATAAGGCAGACTATAAAGCTGTTCTGTAATTCTGAAAAAGGGAAGTTCTAGTTGGGCAGTGTTGGTTGGGAAAGCTCTGAGGAAATGATGGTACCTGTGCTTAGATGGACACTGGATTAGAAATGAGGAGGAATAGTAGTCATGATATCTTCTCTGTTCTCATGCCATCCTAAGCTGTGTTGGGAAAAAGAGCTAAAGCCCCAACAACTCCACAGGGCTCCCTAATCAACAGAGGCAGATACAGACCCATCTGTGGGTTTGACGCAAGTGCTCCAATGCCTAACTACTGAGGTTCACAGCACCTGATGTCATTTCAAACACATCGGCCCTGATCAATACATACTTGTTGAATAAAATATATTTGAGAGAAGTAAACAGCTACTATTTTGGGGTTTTAACATTGTACTAAGTGTTTTGCCTGCCCAATCTCATGTAAATGTTTTCTTTTCATCAGAAGAAAAAAGTGCACATGGTTTAAAGAATTAAATCGTTCTATAACGTTCAGTTCAAAAATAGCAATCTTCTTCTATCACCGCCAATTTCTTCCTTCCCAGCAGCAACCACATTTACCTTTTTATAGCTAATTATTTTGGTATTTATCTCCAGTTCTATAAATAACATGCTTTGCTGCTATTTCTTGCATTTTCCATTTTATTTAGTAACTTCTTGCATTATCTTGTAACTTCTTACTATAAAAGATGCAGGTCTTGGCTTTTTCCTCTATCTGCCCAGCCCACATATCCTCTCATCCTTCTGATTTAATAGCTAAGTCATTATTCAATGTTTACATTACTGTGGCCATGTAAATGCTATTCAGAGCTGGGCCATGCGGTAAATGATGACTACATTTTATTTCTTGAATATATATATTTTTTCTGGAATTGTCTTTTAAAAATTCACTTAAATTTCTATATATCACTCTGGAGACCAGTTTCTTTGGGTCAAGTTCTTGTACTGCTTAATAACTATGTATCCTATGGCAAATTACTTAACCTCACTGTGCCACAGTTTTCCCACCTGTACAACAGGGATAATAATCCCAATTCACAGCTTAATGGTGTCCATGTCCTCTAGCCAAAACACCACCAGGCAGGAGCACACTGTGGCCAAACACAGTTGATTAACTCATTGCTATGAGGGAGAAGACACACAAGGGGAGCCAGAAGGGAGCTTCAGTAAGAATGTTAGAAAGGGCTTGTGGGCTGGGTGCAGTGGCTCATGCCTGTAATCCCAGCACTTTGGGAGGCCGAGGCGAGTGGATCACCTGAGGTCAGGAGTTTGAGGCCAGCCTGTCCAACATGGTGAAAACAGTCTCTACTAAAAATGCAAAAATTAGCTGGGCGTGGTGGCACATACCTGTAATCCCAGCTACTCATGAGGCTGAGGCAGGAGAATTACCTGAGCCTGGGAGACGGAGGTTGCAGTGAGCCAAGACCATGCCATTGCACTCTAGCCTGGCCAACAGAGCGAGACTCCATCTCAAAAACAAAACAAAAAACCAGTAATCACCCATTTTAGCCTAGAGAGAAGGGTGTTTTGTATTTTTGTTTTTTGGACAGTGACTTTGGTTTTGTCTGTATTGGGGCAAGATCATGGTGTGGTCTTCTTGTCATCTTATTTCATGTCACCACAGCCATGGAGTGGCCTCGTGCTTGGGTTCTGTAAAATTGTTTATGTTCAGTAGGAGAACACTACAACCTAGTTGTGAGTGACAAGCCAGCTCCTAATGCACCTAAGCCTAGATGTTATTGTCAGGTCTGTTCCCAGAATCAAGAGCTGCTTTTCACTTTCTCAGTGGTGAGGATTAAATGAATTACCATTTGTAAAAATTTAGAACAATGGCTGCCATAGAATAAGCCTTTAACAGTATTTGTTGCATGACACCAAAAGCATAGACAACAAAAGTAAAAATAGATATACTGGACCACACCAAGATTAAAAACTTTTACACATCAAAGGACACCATCAAAGAATGAAAAGACAACCTATGCAATAGGATAAAATATTTGCAAATCACCTATCTGATAAGCAATTGGTATCCAGAATATATAAAGAATTCCTACAACTCAACAATATCAACAAAAAACAAATGATCTGATTAAAAATTAGGCAAAGGACTTGAATAGACGTTTCTTCAAAGAAGATATAAAAACAGGCAATAAGCACATGAAAAGAACTAATCATTAGAGAAATGCAAATCAAAACCATGAAGAAATACCATTTCACACCAATAGGATAGCTATTATCAAAAACACAGAAGGTAACAAGTATTGGAGAAGATGTAGAGTGACTGGAGCCCTTGTGTATTGCTGGTGGGAATGTACAGTGGTACAGACACTGTACAAAACAGCATGTCAAATCTTTAAAAAATTAAGTATAGAATTACTGTATGATTCAATGATTCCACTTTTGGTTATACATCCAAAAGAGGTCAAAGCAAGTGCTCAAACAATTATTTGTACACCAATATTCCTAGCAGCATTATTCACAATAGACAAAAGGTAGAAACCACCGAAGTGTCTAGTAAGGGAGGAGTGAATAAACAAAATGTGGTATATAAGGAAAATTGAATAGTTTTCAGCTTTAAAAGGAAGAAAATTCTGTCCTGTAGAATTACATGCTACAACATGGATGAAACTTGAAGACATTATGCTAAGTGAAATAAATCCATCACAAAAGGACAAGTACTGTGTGATTCCATTGATATGAGGTACCTAGACACAAATTCATAGAGACAGAAATAAAATAGTGGTTGCCAGGGGCTGAGGGAAAGCGAGTTAGTGTTTAATGGGTATAGAGTTTCTGTTGAGGAAGATGAATATGTTTTAGAGGTGGATGGTGGTGATGGTTGCATAACAATGTGAACATACTTAAAGCCATAGAACTCTACACTTAAAAATAGTATAAATGGTAAATTTCATGTTATATATATTTGCCCACAATAGAACATTGTTTGTTAAATTAGGAAACAAGTACTCTCAAACCCAATCATTGCTTCAATTGTCTAAGCCTCTTTTAACGGTATTTAGATGTATCGGAATGTCATTTAAATGTTTATAACAGCTTTAGGACTTGTAGACACTTATTGTTGTTTTACAGACAAAAATACTGAGATATAGATTAAGTAAGTTGCTCAAGATTATAGTGTTAGAAAGTGGCTGAGCTATCATTTGAAAGCATGTAGTATGGACGTCAGAGTCCACACTCTTCATGATTATTTTGGGTATGGGTCTAAGAGATGTACCCAGGGCTGGGGCTATAATTTCTGTTGAAACTACCCACTGCTAAAATAATGAAATCCTTTGATTCAACCCAAGAATTGAGACATCCCTAACAAGGGACTGGGGACACTTTTAAAAATTACTATTGAATATTACGCAGGAAGCTAGTTAGAATTGAATGTACTCTTTAAGTGAATTTGCGAGAAGCTGAAGTTCTGGGTAAAAATTACTAGGGCACGAAACTGTTAAGATATCACTTGTAGTTCCCAGTCTCTGGGCTTGCCTAGGACATCTTTTTATATGTACCAAGAAGCCAGGGACAGAAATGGAGAGGTAGAATGTACACAATGCCTATCGACCCTGAGAATTTTGTCAATATCAAGATTATTTGCTGAGAAAGAGCAGTTCTCTGCCGTCTGTCACTTCCATGCTGTGCATCTCCAAAGGAATTACCTGTCCATCTTGATTGTGTGCTCATTTGCACCATGGTGCAGAAGAGTGGTCCTGACCCTAGTTGGGCTGGAAATTGCTGGACCTACAAACTACACATTTACGTGTGTGTGTGTGTGCGTGTGCACACACGTGCACATGTGCAGTATTTGTCTGTTTCAAGAAGGCACAAAGGAAAAGAAGGAAAAGTCTGATCTCTATTTGGTACATTGCTAGGCAAGTTAACAATGCCGAGAGAGTCCTGAGGACTATTTGTTCCCAATTATTGAGGTGGGAGACCTTGTTTAGGAGGCCAGGGTGAGGGTCTTTGGGAGCCCAGGTTTGTGTTGGTGGAGCTGTACTTTCTCTCCTTGATGGGATTGCCATCAACATTTTCAGCCAAGTGTTATAGCATACCAAAACCACTCTTCTCAACTTTTGCATGTAAGTTACAAGGATCTGCTTTGCATGACTGTGTAGGCCTTAGTTTTGACAATGTCCCAGATATTGGGATGAAATCCACACTATACAGAGGAGGAGTTGGGGAGCCTCTAACATTGGGACAGCTTGGTCCAGCCAGATGCAAGGAGCTTACAGAGACAGAATACTAGAACAAGAAGAAAGCTTAGAGGCCTTTTAAGCCAATGCTCAATCTAATCAGATAGGGAAACTGAGGTTCATGGTGATTGATATGGTTTGGCTGTGTTCCCACTCAAAATCTCATCTTGAATTGTAATTCCCATAATCCCCACATGTCAAGGGTGGTACTAGGTGGAGGTAATTGGATCACTGGGCAGTTTCCCCCATGCTGTTCTCATGATAGTGAGTGAGTCTCATGAGATCTGATGGTTTTATAGGCATCTGGCATTACCCCTGTTTGCACTTCTCCTTCCTGCTGCTTTGTGAAGAAGGTGCTGTTCTTCCCCTTCACCTTCCGCCATGATTGTACGTTTCCTTAGGCCTTTCCAGCCATGCAGAACTGTGAGTCAATTAAAC